>NC_000005.10:160306778-160609808 GCF_000001405.40 Homo sapiens
AAAAACAGGACCTCCTGTTAGAAGTCTGGGAGGAATTATCTACATTTCTGTTATCTGGGCGCAACCTGCAGTTATTTTCCTAAGATCCTTAAGCTGTACTTTGGTCCAGGCCAGTAAATCTGCCCTTGCAGGTAATTGCTTTTCTAACTTCCTGCCCCATGTTACCTGACAGGAGAACATGCAGGTCTGTAGGAAGCTGGGGTGGCATCCTCCATCAACCAGATCCTGTGCTGGGCACCACAGTCAATGCTGTGCCCACACACACAAAGACTGTCCTGGCAGATGCCGAAGACGAGATGAAGGATTCCCAGGAAGCATCCCTGCACACAAGCATTCATTCAACATTTCCCAGAAGAGTCCATTTGGGGCTGTCTCACTCTTTTGTGCACTCCCAATGCCTGTGCCTGCATCAGGTGAGGTGGGGGACACCCTGAGGTCCCTCTCTGACTCAGACACTGGTCTGGGAATGCCAAGGTAACAAGGCACACCTCATACCTGCAAGGAGCTCACAGTCTAGTGGGTAGGACAAGTCACTATGCAGGGTGACAAAGATGGTGAAAGAAGCAAGGATGAGGGTGGGGCCAGGACACATGACAAAGGAGAGGCTTAAGGGACAAGGAACGTGGCCCTCAAGCTGCATACCATCCAATGCTCTCGTTCCATCATGTGTAACCAGCACTCACCAAAATCTGTTAGTTCTTGGATTCAACACCCTATTAATTTTAAACTTAGGTGGATGCATCTTTCAAGAAAAAAACAAATGGCCCCGAGTTTTAATCTGGACAGACCTGGCACAGACTTGGTTACCAGAAAAACATCACTAGCAGCCTCCTCACTGGTGACGCCAGCCTGGTGACAATCTACTCCTCCTTTTGGTTCAGGGAAGAGGGTCAAGGGGCACACGTAGCAGGCAAGAAACCCCACATCCCTGTACTGGCTGGCACTCCCACCCCCAGCAGAAAGGTCAGAGGAGCTGAAGGGAGCGGGGTCCTAGGTGGGCTTCTGCAGATGCAGCAGGGACAGGAAGAAGGATCCAAGGAGGAATTTAAGGGCTGAGCATGGGATAAAGGTGGCCTACAGGAAGGGGAGGGAGAGATTTCTCCAGAGCAATTTGGGCTGGAGGAGGGTTCAACTCCCCACATTCACCCATTGGGATGCCAGGCTGCTTAGAGGGTCTTACCAATGGGGTCTCACTCCTGGTTCCCAGCCCTCAGTAGATACATGATTTTTGGTGAACTAGTCCCTTTCCTGACTTCAACACCATCATAGGACCAATGGTCCAAGTGGCTAACAGTGCCTTTCTTACAAGGATTACCCATCACATCTGTGGACCCCTTGGAGGGTGGTCACAAACCCTAAGCCTTACTCTGAGCAGCACTATGTGAACGGGCCATCACTGTCTTGCAGCAACCCTAAGTGGAGAGGTGCAATGCCTGCCAAGTACCCACCATGCACCTCACACTGTTCTTAAGTTATCTCACTTAATCTTAACATTGCTGTAAAACGTTTCTCCCAGCTTACAGAAGAGGAAAGCGAAGACTGACTTATTCATTCTCCTTGTCATTCCATACACATCGGGAAGCTGTGTTCATGGCACTGAGGCCCCCGCAAGGAAGAAGACAGACACAGGTCTCTTCTCGTGTAGCATGTATTCTAGTGTGGGAAGAAAGGCAGCAAACAAACGAAAAATAACTTCAGGCCAGGCACGGTGGCTCACGCCTGTAATCCCAGGACTTTGGGAGGCCGAGGCTGACGGATAACGAGGTCAGGGGTTCTTCGAGACCAGCCTGACCAACAGGTGAAACCCCGTCTCTACTAAAAATACGAAAATTAGCTGGGTGTGGTGGCACATGCCTGTAATCCCAGCTACTCAGGAGGCTGAGGCAGGAGAATGGTGTGAACCCGGGAGGCGGAGGTTGCACTGAGCTGATAGTGCCACTGCACTCTAGCCTGTGCGACAGAGTGAGACTCCGTCTCAAAGAAACCAACCAACCAAACAAACAAAAAACAGAAAAACACTTCAGATCCTGGTAAATGCTACAAAGAAAAAGCAAGGTGATTTAATAGAGTGACATGGAGAGGCAGCAATAGATTAAGGGAGACAAGCAACCATGTGAGAGTCTGAGAAACACAGAATCCAAATAGAGGAAAGAGCCAGTGCAAAGACCCTGAGACATGAACAAGCTTGACTTGTTCCAGGAACAGAAAGGAGGTCAGTGTGGCTTAAGAGCAATGGCATGGAGGGTAGGGAAGGGGTAAGAGACAAGGTCAGAGAGCAGGCCAGAGCCAGGCTATGCTGGGTATTCCACGCAGTGGTAAGGACTGGGAATTTTAAGTGCAGTGAGATGACATTGGAGGTCTTTAAGCAGAGAATGACACAATCTAAATTCTGGCTATTCTGGGAAGAATGGATGATAGGGGCCAGATTTAGAGAGGTTAAATGAGCAGATCAGGGTTTCACTTCCATCACTAGCGTGCATGCAGTACCAAGACTTGTTTCCATGGTGTCAAGTTTTTGATACCCTGTAGTATGATGCCAGACTGGAATCTCATATTTGACAAACTGGGGCTCCCAACGTCTCAGTGATCTCAACTTCGCCTCCTGTGTCGGTCAGGTGAGGATAATTGCTTGTGGTTGTATGGAAACAGTTACACAGCACATATGTAAACATGCTTTGTATTCATCAGGCAACATTCAACTAAGAGTGTCTACTGTGTGCCACGCTCTTGTAAAGTTGTTCTACAGTGTTAGAAACATATTATCAGAGTAGACATTTGAGAAAAACAATTACCCTGTCTGAGAAAAACAAAATGCCAGCCCTCATTCCTCAAGAAAGGCGAGGCTAGTATGGCTACTAAGTTCCCCTATTCTTCACTCTTCTTGCCAAACTCCATGAAGCCAAATTTTTGAAGAAGCATTTTCTTCTTTGAAGTGGGAGAGGAAATAAAGTAAAGGAGAACAATAGCAGTATTTTGAGGAGGTGGGACATTATAACCAAAGGAACTTGGGATTTGTCCTAATAAGGCCAGCTTTAAGTCAAGGTTGACCTTGGCCATCAGTCCTTGGGTGAGCTTTCTATTTCTAACCTGCAAAACTGGGACAAACTCATCGTCTCTCCGAGGTGGGCAGCCCAATAGTAAACTCATACGGCACTATGACATGGCTATAGCAGTTCATGGAGCCTTTCTTGCTTCTTTGAGCAGCCGAAGGAACATTTAGGACATCCTCCCTTATGTATAAAAGGTTGGGCATTCTCAGGTAACTAAACAAATGGCATTTATTGCTCTTAGAAATCCTTCCCTCTAGAAAGGGGCAAATCAGGTAGAAGTCGTTCCTCCTAAGCTATGAGCAGAAATGACAACCACTTGAGTCTATGATAAACAAGGAAGCCCAATTTCCACGGCAGTCCTCACTAGCTCCATTCAGCCACCTCCTCCAGAAAAGGGCCAGGACCATACCCCTACCACTTTCCTTGCTTTTCAACTGAACCAACAAGACCTGGATTTCTTCTTGTCCAGATGCCTAGAATGTGCCACACGTTGGCCACTCTGTTCTGGGAAGAAGACCAAGGGAACAGATGAAAGCCACAGCCTTGCCAAGCAACGCAGGACAAAGACAGGTCAGCAGGTACAGAAAGAAAAGAAAAAGGCATTAATTGGACAGGAAGACAGCTACTCAATGAGGTAAAAACACTGAGTAGCTGGTGACCCTTTAAGCAGAACTCCTCCAGACACTCGGAGCAAATGCACTGACTGTGAAACCTGTGTGGGGGCTCAGGTACTGCACTAGGAAGACCTTTTCCTCCCTGTATTGGGCGCAGTAGTGTCCCCCCAAATGTCATGTTAATCTGGAACTTCAGAATGTGACCTTACTTGGAAATGGAGTCTTTTCAGATGTAATTAAATTATGATGACATCACATTGGATTAGGGTGGGTTCTACTCCAATGATCGGGTATCCTTGTAAGAAGAGAAAACAGACAGACAGATAGCACCATGTGACAGTGGAGGCAGAGACTGGAATGATGTACCTACAAGCCGAGGAATGCCAAGGATGACCAAGCACCAGCAAATTTAAGAAGGAAGAAGGAAAGATCCTTCTCTAGAGCCTTTTGAGAGTCATGGCCCTGCTAACACCTTGATCTGGGATCTTCAGCTTCCAGAGCTGAAATAAATTTCTGTTGCTTTAAGCCCTCCAGTTTGTGTGGTCCTTTGTAATGGCAGCCCTAGGAAACCAATCCATTCACTACTTCACACCTGTTCCCCAAGCCACCCCTTGCCAATCTCAGCCCAGGGACTGGAGGCAAGACACACAGGCCATGCCTCCAGCCCACCTGGACTCTTCCACCTTCCCAATGCCCCTCAGCCCTTCTCTCCTTGAGGGGAGGGGTGTGCAGGGATCACATTTCAGCTGCTCCCACCCACCTTCTGCCACAGGAGGCAAACCGGCAGGGGAGTTTTTGTTTTCTTCCCTCAGCCTCCCTGTTTTGTAGCCTCTTTCAATTATACAGGTGTTCCTTAAATTTCATTCGGTCCCATTCTAGATATACACATAGATACACGTATTTGGCCATAACCATGTATTCCCTGTACTACCACTTATCTTTATATAGAGTTACTACTTTTACTTAAATTTGTTTTAAAATAAACTGCGACATCATTATTACAATAAATGGAAAATCGCAAACGCAGAGCTTGCTAGATACATACACATTCTTAAATTACACATTAGAATGAATACACAATATTTTTTAAAGACCCCTTCACGTACGGTTTAAAATAACCTAGGGTGGCAATACTATAGGAAACACTGCCTTAGAGGTACAGTGGCTGTCTCTGACTAGTTGGCCCAGAGTTCTGAGCTCCTTATCAGAAAAACCAACTTCAATCTCTCCCATCTCCAGTCTCTAACCCCCGCCCCCCAATTCCGCTCAGACACTCCGGGAGAAGGTAAAGGGTAAGAGGAAAAAAAGGCACCCGGGAGTTCTGAGTTCCCACGCAGGCGACCTGAGAACACGAAGTCGAGACCGAAGGAGACTGTACCCAGTCTTGAGAGTGACAAGGGCAGGGAGGGACTGACCTTCTCGCGCAGGGTGCAGTGGACGTCCGAGGCGACGCGCCCTTCCCACCACGGCTCATCCATCATCGCGTACGCAGCGCCGCTATCCGAGGCTACCCGGCTCTCAGGGCGCACCCTGCGTGGACACGGGCAACTTCAGCGGCCAGAGCGTACCCCGGGCTCCGACCCCCGGTGTCCCTATCCTCTCTCGCCCCTGGCCCCGGGCCCCGGCGGGCGCCCCCTCCTGCGCCGCTCAGAGGAGCTGGAGGTCGCCTCTGGTCCGCGGAAGGCTGCGGTGCCCCCTCCCCTCTGCTCGCCGGACACGGGGCGATATGGAGCTGTGCAACAACTTGCAGAATTTTTATCTTCCCTTTTGCAAAAGTTGCAGAGAAAGTTGTCAACTCCGCTAGCTCGCTCGAGGCTGGGGCTCTGGCGGCGGCCACAGGCTCGCCGTCCCCAACTCCTCCCCCGCCGCCCAGCCTTTGTCCTGCTCCCACATCCTGCCCTCGAGCCGGGGCGAAACTCACGCATCCTCTCTGGGCGTGGGGGGCTGCGAGCGCCGGGCCCCTCCCAGTGCCGAGCCAGCCGTGCCCTCTGGTGCCTGCCGGCGGTTGGACCCTCGTCCGAGGCGCTCCGCACTCCCGACGGCCGCCTCCGCAGCCCGACTAGCCCCCGCCGTCGCCGCGCCCCTGCGTGCGCTCGGGTCCCGCCGCGGCTCGCAGGCTCCCGGCCGCCGGGGGCCTCCCTCCCTCGCTGGGGGAATTGGGGGCCGGGCCTCGCGCATGCGCTGCCGGCGCCCCCGCGCCCCGCGGGGCGGGGGGCTGGGAATTGGAGCCTTTCTTTGCCAGCTCTGGCTCCGCTTCCTGCCCGCCCTCCTCCCTCGCTTCGGCGGAAAGCTTCTCTCTCACCTTCGCTGAGGCTAGTGGTAGCCTTCTGGGCACCCCTCCGGCTTGCGCAGGGAGCAAAGGGACCGCGGCGCCACCTGCGCGCACCACGCGTGAAACGTGCGGACAGGACGCCCCCAGAAAGTTCTGCCTTCCGCGCGCACTGCTCTAGCCATCCTTACGTCGGTTCCACCTGTTTTTCTTTCTCTCTCTCTTTTTTTTTTTTTCCTGTTTTTGTTTTTTGTTTGTTCTCCTCTTCTTTGAAACCCGCCCTGCCATGGGGAGGTAGATTTCCAAACGGACAATTCCAGTGAAAGCTGCAGAAAAACCACCCTTGTTCACCCACGAGTCCCTAATTCTAAAGGAGCCTAAGTCACTGGTATTATTGTGCTCCTGCAGAATATGAACTATGCCTCACATTGGAGGAAAACCAGTCTTTTTTTGCCGGGTCCGGTGGATGGAAAACATTGTCTTTTTAATTCAATTGCTTGCTTTTGGAAAGTCATCCTTTTGAGTCAGCCCATCTGATGGCATAGCATTGGGCTATCCTTCTTGGCTGATTGATTTTTGTGATAGTTTTGGAGATTCACAAATTTGGAATCAAATCCACTTACCAACTGGGTGATTTTTGTCAAGTTCCTCAAACTCAGAGCCTCGTGTGTAAAATGGAAATAAAAGTTAAACCAACCTGCTGAAAATTAAAGGAGATAATGCGTGTAAAGGGATAATCACTACACCAGGTATTAAGTGAACACTCAGTAAACAACTGTGACTGAAGAGCCTTTAGTTTCTGACTGCTTTCCTGCACATAAAGACACACCTGGGAAAAAAAAATTAAATCAGCTTTGATAAGCTTCAATTGGACCTTGAAGAGCAGTTTTAATGTAAAACAAACGAACCATTTTAAAAGTGTAAGATACCTAAAAATAAACTGAATAAATGTGCAGGCTCTTAATGAAGACATTACAAAGGTTGAAACATAATAAAGAAGGCTTGAAGGAATAGAGGCACAAACACCAACTTAACCCAAATTACTCTATTTAATAAAATTTTAATGGTTGTGGGTAGATTGGAGGAGGGGGCACTTAACATGTTTTCTAACCTTCAAATGGGAGAATATCTGCGAGAAAAGCTAAGAAATTTATATTTTAAAAATGGGGGGATGGCGGGGCGCGGTGGCTCACGCCTGTAATCCCAACACTTTGGGAGGCCAAGGGCAGGCAGATCACCTGAGGTCAGGAGTTTGAGACCAAACTGGCTAACATGGTGAAACCCTGTTTCTACTAAAAATACAAAAAATTAGCCGAGTGTGGTGGTGCACGCCTGTAATCCCAGCTACTTGGTAGGCTGAGGCAGGAGAGTCACTTGCATCTGGGAGGCGGAGGTTGCAGTGAGCCGAGATCGTGCCACTGCACTCCAGCTTGGGCAACAAGAGTGAAACTCCGTCTCAACAAACAAACGAACAAAAAAACTGGGGGGACAGACCTGTATTATCAAATCTTAAAGCATATTGCAACACTATAGTTAAAACAGTGTAGTGTTCACACAAGAATGGATGGATTAAGCATCAGTGGAATAACTGAAAGTCTAGGAAAATTTAATATATTTAAAAATTCACTGTATGATAAATGTGGCATTTCACTTTGTTGGGACAAGTATAAACGGCTAAATTATTTAATAAATTAGGTTGGGGGAAAAAAGTAAAACTAAGGACTTGTTTAAATATCACCAAAATAAATATAAGAACTCAGAGAACTACAAACAAGCAAATCACAAGAGGATAAGAAGAAAACATACACGAATTATACGGAGGGGAAGGCCTAGATACTAAGACATGGGAAGAAACCAAAGGCAAGGTGAGTAGACAAATTTGAATAAATATGCAGGATCTAGATACATCAATTATCATTGCCAAAAAGGCAAACGACAAATTTGAGAAAATATTTTTAACAAATGTGACAAAAGGTTGATGCTACTTTCTAGACCTCTGATAAATCGGTATGTAAAACATTAACACCCTACGTGCAGAAATGGATGCAAGACATGAGTAGGTATGCCGTCAGAGAAGGAATTCATATGGATAGATGTTATTTTTAAAATGCTCATACTCCCTAGCATGCAAATTAAAAGCTTTTTTTAAAAAAACAGTGGGGTACTTTTTTGTTAAGGAATTTTGGTCAATCCACAGTGTTGTTGGGAATATAAATTAAGACCATCTTTCTGAAAGACAACATAAATCAAAACATTTTAAACTGTATTATTTGATCCAACTCTTCCACCTGTAGAAATTTATTCTTTTAAAAAAAGCAGATTTATTTCAAAGGTGTTTCATCAAAAATGCTTTTTCATCATAGTGAACCATTAGAACAGGGAACTGGTTTAATAATTATTTGTCTCTTAAAAGCATTTTTTAAAGGATGCATGATGAATTGGAGAAAATGTTTATAATTTATTAAATAAAAAGGATAAACTGGGCTGGGCACGGTGGCTCATGCCTGTAATCCTAGCACACTGGCAGGCTGAGGTGGGAGAATTGCATGAGGCCAGGAGTTCAAGACCAGCTTGGGCAACATAGCAAGATCCCGCCCCCGCCCCCCAACACACACACACACACACACACACACACACACACACACACTAGCCAGGTGTGGTGGTATACACCTGTAGTCTTAGCTGCTCAGAAAGCTGAAATAGAAGAATCACTTGAGCACCAAAGGTTGAGGCAGCAGTGAGCCGTGATTGTGCCACTGCACTCCAGCCTGGGCAACAGAGCGAGACACTGCCTCTGAAAACAAAAACAAAAACAAGAGAAAGAATAAGCTGTCTTTAAGGGGATGAATAAAAACAAAAAAAGATTAGAGTACGATCCCAGTTAAACTACATTCATGCACACACACATATGCAAAAATATTAACTGTGTAATCAGAGTGGTAGGATTATGGTAAATTTTAATTTACCTTTTTTCCTAATATTTCTGTATTTTCTAAATTTTCAACAAGAAATATGCATTATTTCATAACCAGAAAAAAAGAGTGAATGTTACTTTAAAATAATCACATGACATATCAATATGTACTAGAGGGTTCTTCCATTCAACAACAATGAACAGCATTGTTGTTTTGTTTTGTTTTTCATAGCAGTATTATTTATTTCCCAGTCTTTCTATGCTGGGTACATTGAAAGAAGACAGGCCTTTATTATTCACTAATATGTACTGCCCTTTTCCTAAACTTCAGCTATCAATTATCAGGAGTTTGGATAACTAAGAGGGAAAGCAGAAGCTTTGGGCTTTTCTCCAGGGGTATTTCAGTAGGATTCTAAGCATACTCATTCCACACCCCTTTGTGTATCATTCTCCAGAGTCCCTCATTTTCTCAGTATTTCTGAAGAGTAAATATACATTGCACCAATAAACAGATGGTTTTGTGCTGAGTCACTGTCCACAGGTGCCCTTAGCAGAGAAGGCTTCCTGTGCCGGGCAGCAGGAAGTACCAATGCAACTGGAATCACTTCTCCCATCCACCCCCAACCAAGACAAGAAGAAGCATTCATTAAGCCATTCAAAAACTAAACTTTCATTAAGTGCTTACCATGAGTCAGTTACCATCCCTCCACCCTCAACCTCTGAAGCTCACAGGTTGGGAACAACAGATTTAGAGCAAGTGCATTCTACTTATCTTCAGCTTTCTTATATATCCCTAAAAAAAAAAAAATCTGCCCTTTTCAATCTTCCTTAGAGGACAAATTGGTCTAATATTTTCACTGTGATATTATCAACTGCCCAGTTTGCACTGAACTTTCCTTTTGCTTTTCATATGATACAAACTCTCAAACATGGAAAAATGTACACGTTCTCCCTCTGGTCCCAGGCCTTGTTCTCCTCCTCCCCAATGATAACCAGAGTCTTATGTTTCCTTCGGAAGTGATTTATGCATTCACCAGTGTAGACATTCATGCCTTTTTCTCCTTTTACATGAAAGGTAGCATACTCTACACATCCTTGTGTGCCTTACTGTTTTGTGTTTTGTTGTTTTATGGCAGTGCCCAAAGAACTGCATGGCATCCCGTAGTTCCATAGTATGGATCCATCATGATGTGTGGACATTTAGCCTGGGAATGTCCATACATTTCTAGCCTTCTGCTTCCATATAACCACACTGCAGTGAATATTTGCTTCCATGTAACCATACTGCAGTGAATATCCTGACAGGGTCAAGCATATAAATTCCTCAAATACTCAACTGTCCAGGGGAAGTTGAGGCATATACTTTGAATAGTGTTTCCTCATGGTGTTAATGGTTGGCACTGCTCCATTCAGGACCAAAAGCATGAAGCCTGGCTCAGTTTATAGAGACAGACGGAAGACATCTGCCTTATTACCACTTTGATCTTTAACCAAAAACCAATCCAATGCCTTTAAATGATTTTTAATCGTGTGCTCTACTTAGTCAAGAGAACATTTGCCAAATCCTTTATGATCCTTGACTACAAGTTCTTGAGATATGAGTCGGCAGATTAGGTCTGAGAACAAGGCAGGAAGAATAAAAAAGCAGCATTTTGCAAACAGAACTCAAAGCCTAGGACATTCATAAAGCTGGTCCACATTACTTTTTTAAATTTAAAAAGGCACAGAAGGAATAAGTGAAAAATAAACCTCCCTCTCACGCAGGGCCAGCTCCATCCATATAGAAAATTTTATCGTTGAACCTGTGTTTTGTAAATGAAGTCCTTCAGGACAGTGAAGCATGCAGGGAGCAGAGGAGACACATGATAAGTGTCTGCTGTTCCGTTCTCTGTTTGCATGTACTATATCCCGTGCCTCATGAGCATAGAATTCCAGTGGACCTGCGATGCATGGAGTTTGGTGACATTCAAAGGGAGCAGAAGGTCAGTGGATCATGTGTACAAGTGGGCATGGGGTGGGGGGAGTACCTGAGAGGCTGTGCTTTCTATTTGAACTAGAACTTGCTTTGGAACACGGAAAGAAGGTGTTATCAGTTTCTGGGGCTGCCATAACAAAGTACAACAATGGGATGGCTTGAAACAAGAGAACTTTCCTCTCTCACGATTCTGGGTACTAGAAGTCCCAAATCAAGGCATCAGTAGGGCCACACTCCCTCTGAAAACTCTAAGGAAAAATTCTTTTTTCCTCTTCCTGGTTTTTGGGGGTGGCCAGGTATTACAACTGGAGTCCCTTGTTCTTCCTTGGCTTGTAGCTACAGCACTCCAGACCCTGCCTGTGTCTTCACACGGGCTTCTTCTCTTTCTCTTCACGTAGTCTTCTTTTTCTTCTTCTTTTTTTGTTTTTTTTTTTTGAGATGGAGTCTCACTCTGTTGCCAGGCTGGAGTGCAGTAGCACAATCTCGGCTCACTGCAACCACTGCCTCCAGGGTTCAAGCAATTCTCCTGCCTCAGCCTCCCCAGTAGCTGGGATTACAGGCACGCACCACCATGCCTGGCTAATTTTTGTATTTTTAGTAGAGACAGGGTTTCACCATGTTGACCAGGCTGGTGTTGAACTCCTGACCTCAGGTGATCTACCCACCTTGGCCTCCCAAAGTGCTGGAATTACAGGCGTGAGCCACCACGCCGGGCCATGTCTTCTTACAAGGACACCGGTCATATTGGACTAAGGGCCCACCCTACTCAATATGATGTCATCTGAACTAATGACATCTGCAATGAACCTATTTCCTAATAAGGTCACATTGTGAGCTACTGAGGGTTAAGACTTCAACTTATCTTTTGTGGAGGTACACCATTCAATCCATAACAGAAGGCAATAGTATTCTAGGAAAGATGAATGACCGGGGAACCCTATCATATGCTTTCTTAGGGGTGTTGTGTCCCTGTGTTAGGCAACCATGTATTATGACATAAATAGAAAGGGAAAAATGGGGCAACCCATAGTTCCTCTTCCTTCAGCTCTTCCTTACTCATTAGTATTATGCCTAAGGTAGAGCGTGTTGATTGGATGTGCATGTATCGAGAGTGAAATAAAAATAGTTAACTTAATTTTGTGGAGTGTTTTCACCATTACGGAAAGAATGAAATATATATGCATGTTCAGGCTACAAAATAGAATTTGTGTAATTTCAGTGATTTTGCATGTGAGCTGTGTTCTTATTTTTGCATTTAAAACTGGCATGCATAATATAAATGATAAAAACTCTTGCTAATACTTTACATTTTGAATTTTTCTTTGCTGAAAATGACATTAAATAGCATATTTTAAAAATATCTCAATAAAAAATTTTTAGAAAGAACTCACAACAAGTTGAGAGAGGGCTCCGTAAACTGTCCAAAAACTATCTCACACTGCTCCCACTCTGTCCCACCTGACTGCCATCCCAGAAGAAATTCATTTATGTTTCCTTCCAAAGATATTCTCTCTTTCTCTTTTGTTTTAAGAGATGGAGTTTTGCTCTGTCATCCAGGCTGGAGTGCAGTGGTATGATCATAGCTCACTGTGGCCTAGAACTCCTGGGTTCAACAAGGGATCCTCCTGCCTCAGCCTTTTGAGTAGCTGGGACTACAAGCAAGGGTCACCTCGCCCAGCCCATGTTGTTTTTAACCTGAAGTCACCCATCTCCTTTGTGAGCAATCCTTGTGGCAAAGTTTTCCCCCTTGCTAGTGATGTATTTTTGTGGATAAATATGAGAAAATTTATCATTTGCGGCATGCTTAGCTTATGCCAGCACTGTGACACATGTCCAAGCAATCACTGAGAGCAGGCTTCCCTACTTCCCAAATAATTATCCATTGCCTTTCTTTCTGTTCTCCCACACCTGCATCTATCTACCCCACACACTTCAGGTTCCTCGAAGACAAGACCTGTATCTTTTCCGTATTTGTATCCCCAACATCTAGCCCAGTGCCTGCAGTAAAGGACGTCGTCAATATAGGTTTACTGAAATAATAAACAACAGGTCAGGCACAGTGACTCAAGTCTGGAATCCCAGTACGTTGGGAGGCTGAGGTGGGAGGATCACCTGAGTCCAGTAGCTTAAGACGAGCCTAGGAAACATAGTGAGACCGTTTCTACAATTTTTTTTGTTTTTTAATTTAGCCAGGTGTGGTGGTGTGCAAGCCTGTTAGTGCCAGCTACTTGGGAGGTTGAGGTGGGGAGATCGTGGCTGCAGTAAGCCCTGATCTCTCCACTGCAGTACAGCCTGAGCAACAGAGCAAGACCCTGTCTCAATAAATAAATAATAAATAAATAAATAAATAAATAAACGATGGATAACATGGATAGCGGAGCTAACGGGGACCTATGGGAATCACCTGGCCCAGACTTCAGACTGGTCAGGAGTTACTGTCCTCATTTTTCAAATGAGATCTAGAAAGTGTGTGACCCTCTATGGGCCACTTATGCTTTTTGGACCTCCTTGTTCATATTAGTAAAATGAGAAAACTACTCTTTCCTTAAAGGACTGTTGTATGACATGAAGAATCATGAGGTATAAATTGCTCTCTAATATTATTTTGTCATCCATAATAATAACAGAGCAGGCTAGAACCTTCCGATGACATTGCTCTTTGGAGCCTGAAGCAAGCTCTGTGAACCCATGGTGAGGCTTGAGTGAGTAGCCTTCCTTCCATGGGCCTCAGTTTCTCCTTCTGTGAAAGGAGGGGGTGGGATTCGATCCCAGAGGACACAATCTGGGGGGATAAGAGGGTCAGGAAGACAACATAACGAGAAGATGACTTACGGCCCTCCTGGTCTAACTTCCCCCACTCCCCAACCTTTGGAAGAAACTTGGAGGGAGAGAAGTATTCCTCTTTATGAGGAAAAAACCGCCTGAGTTTGACAGTCAATGTCCACACCAGCCACAGTGCCAGGAAGCAGTGTGGAGCGATGAGGACTGTGGTTGACCAGTGGGTGCGTGCTGCATCCAGGGTGGGGAGCCCCTTCTGCATCCCCTCAAATTGTGAAAGCTTGGGAATTGGTGCCCACTATTGCCAGATTGTTTGACTTCAAAAGAAAGAGGAAATTGAGATATCTCCTGATTTTAAAATACTGGCTTGACTTTGCCTCTTTCTTTTCTTTCTTTCTTTTCTTTCTTTCCTTTCTTTCTTTCTTTCTTTCTTTCTTTCTTTCTTTCTTTCTTTCTTTCTTTCTTTCTTTCCTTCTTTCTTTCTTTCTTTCTCTCTTTCTTTCTTTTTCTTTCTTTCTTCCCTCCCTCCCTCTGTCCCTTCCTTCCTTCCTTCTTTCCTTCCTTCCTTCCCTCCTTCTCTCCTCTCTGTCTCTCCCTCCCTCTCTCTCTTTCTTTCTTTCTCTCTCTCTCTCTCTCTTTCTTTCTTTCTTTCTTTCTTTCTTTCTTTCTTTCTTTCTTTCTTTCTTTCTTTCTTTCTTTCTTTCTTTCTTTCCTTCTCTCTTTCTCTCTCTCTCTTTTTTTTCCACCATGTGGGCGACACACCACATCAGCCCTGGCTTGGAAACCCTGGCGTAGGTGTGTGATAGGAGCCCTCCAGCCTGACAGGGATTCTGCAGGGAACAATGGGATAAGAGCTTTCCAGACTCCAGGAGGAGGAAATAAAAGGCACCATTAACTTCAACCCCCCTGAGCCTGCCAGCCCTGCTCCTCCAACAGACAATAAACAGGAAGGAGACTGAGACTGGACAGTGAAAGGTGACCAGACAAGCCTGCCGGGGGACCCTCATGCCTAGAAGTTCCTCACTGCCAGCAGCAGGGTGCTGCTTTCCTTGGGCCACCTGGATGCCACAAAGCCACCTTCTATGAGGGGCTTCCGTAGCTTCCAGGGCTGCAAAGACCCAAAGTTCAAGAGCCAAGGATTACGGTCGCAGCCGCTCAGCTGAGGGGACTCAGGCTTGGGGTGGAGAAGGGTTGGGAAATCTATGAAAAATTTCTTGATTACGCAAGTATCATTCTCCTTGTACCACTATTAAAGCACGATTAAAATATTATTAAGATCCTGGCCGGGCGCGGTGGCTCACGCCTGTAATCCCAGCACTTTGGGAGGCAGAGGCAGGTAGATCAGTAGTTCAAGACCAGCCTTGCCAACATGGTGAAACCCTGTCTCCACTAAAAAAATACAACAAAAAAATTAGTTGGGTGTGGAGCCGAGACGGTGCCACTGCACTCCAGCCTGGGCGACAGAGTGAGACTCCGTCTCAAAAAATATATATATTATTAAGATCCTGAACAACACCTCCCCCAACCCTGCCCCCTACCAGCAGGTAACCACTGTGATATTGATGGAATGGTCTTTGGCCAGGCACATAGGCAGTGGGGGTGAGGAAAGGCAGACCAGGTCAGAGCCTACTGTAATAATCCAGCTGAGAGATGGGGCTGGCTTGGGCAGGGGGAAGAGGTGAAGGGAGTGAGGAGGGGCCAGATCTTGAGCATAGTTAGAAACAGGAGCCTATAGGATCTGCTGATGGACTAGATGTGAGGTGTAAGAGAAAGAAATCAGATGACCCCAGGTTTTACCTCTGAACACCTAAAGGGTGAAGTTCCCATTTACTTAGATGTGGAACTTAATCACGTCTCTAAGGACATTTTTGATGTATTGCCCTCTTCCCTCTTTTCCCAACCCAGCCTGCTTCCACCAGCTCAGTATTACAGCTAAGGCTCTAAGACTGCCCCAGACTTCAATGTTGGCTTTGATTTTTTTCTAGTTAATGATCTCAAGCAAGTTAGCTAACCCCAGATTCCTTCTTTCCAAAATGGGGATAATAATAGTACTGCCTTTATGGGGTTATATGAAGGTCAAATGATATGATGCCTGGTATATAAAGGGTGTTGAATAAGTGCGAGCCAAAATTACTGTGTAATCATTAAGTTGTAATTGTATGCATACATAGTTTCCTAGCCTGCTACTTCTAAGCCCAAAATGATCTCACGAGCATTTTTCATGAGATACCTTTAAAAATGTCCCTCGGCTGGGCGCGGTGGCTCACGCCTGTAATCCCAGCACTTTGGGAGGCTGAGGCAGGTGGATCACAAGGTCAGGAGCTTGAGACCAGCCTGGCCAATATGGTGAAACCCCATCTCTACTAAAGCTACAAAAATTAGCTGGGCGTGGTTGCGCAGCGCACCTGTAGTCCCAGCTACTTGGGAGGCTGAGGCAGAGGAATCGCTTGAAACAGGCAGGCAGAGGGAGGACGCAGTGAGCCGAGATTGCGCTACTGCACTCCAGCCTGGGAGACAGAGCAACACTCCATCTCAAAAAAAATTAAAAAAAAAAATAATAAAAATGTCCCTCAAGGCCAGGCGCGGTGGCTCACGACTGTAATCCCAGCCCTTTGGGAGGCTGAGGCGGGTGGATCACAAGGTCAGGAGCTTGAGACCAGCCTGGCCAATATGGTGAAACCCCGTCTTTACTAAAAACATACAAAAATTAGCTGGGTGTGGTGGCAGGTGCCTGTAGTCCCAGGTACTCGGGAGGCCAAGGCAAGAGAATTGCTTGAACCCGGGAGGCGGAGGTTGCAGTGAGCTGAGATCGTGACACTGCACTCCAGCCTGGGCAACAGAGCGAGACTCCAACTCAAAAAAAAAAAAAAAAGTCCCTCAAAAATTTGTTTGTTTGTTTAGAAGCAGTGTCTCACTATGTTGCCCAAGCTGGTCTTGAACTCCTGGCCTCTAGCAAAGCTCCCACCTCAGCCTCTTAAGTAGCTGGAATTATGGGTGTGAGCCACCGTGCCTGGCTCAAAAATATTTTTACTAGCTACATAATATTCTATCGTATAGGCAATTCATTTATTTAACCAGTCTTTCATTTTAGGTATTTTAAATATGACTAAGAGCTATTGGCAACTCATGCTGTTTCTGGCTTTTCTCTGTGCATTGTAAACAACACTGAGATGAAAATCCTAAAAACATCCTTTCTTTA
This sequence comes from Homo sapiens, assembly GCF_000001405.40. Lineage (NCBI taxonomy): Eukaryota > Metazoa > Chordata > Mammalia > Primates > Hominidae > Homo > Homo sapiens. The sequence goes on from NC_000005.10 coordinate 160,323,578, forward strand.
TGCTTCTCCAATATCCTGAGGATACACTCCTAGAAGTGAAATTGTTGTGATGAAGGGTGTGACAGTTAATTTTGTGCCTCCACTTGACTGGGCCAGGGGGTGCCCACATAATTAGTTAAACGCTGATCTGGGTATATCTGTGGGGGTTTCTACAGTCACATTTGAATTGGTGGACTGAGGGAAGCTGACTGCCCTCCCCAGTGTGGTGGGCTTCATCTAGTCAGTTGAAGACCTGAATAAAATAAAAAGGCTGAGTAAAAGAGAATTTCTTTTTCTGTCTGTCTTTGAGTTGGGACATTGATTTTTCCCACCTTTGGACTCAGATTGAAACATTGGCTCTTTCTGGGTTTCAAGCTCACCTGCATTCCGACGGGGACTATCCCCAAGACTCTTCTGGTGCTCAGGCCTGTGGGCTTGGGCTGGAGCTACACCCTCAGACCTCATGGGTCTCCAGCTTGCCAACTACAGATCTTGGGACTTGTCAGCCTCCATGAACATATTAATCAATTCCTTATAATCCATCAGTCCATTCGTCTTCTATTGGTTCTGGTTCTCTAGAGAAACTTGACTTATACAAAGGGTATGAATAGTTTTAAGACTTCTGAAATAGATTATGAATTGACCTCCAGGAAGGCTATACTAAAACATCCTCATCAACAATGTTAAAAAGTGGATTCTCACTAAGACTAAGTCATTGTTAAATCTATCTATCTGGCCAGGCGTGGTGGCTCATGCCTGTAATCCCAGCACTTTGGGAGGCCGAGGCAGGCGGATCACCTGAGGTCAGGAGTTCTAGACCAGCCTGGCCAACACAGTGAAACCCTGTCTCTATTAAAAATACAAAAATTAGCCAGGCGTGGTGGCGGGCACCTGTAATCCCAGCTACTCATGAGGCTGAGGCAGGAGAATTGCTTGAACCCAGGAGGTGAAAGTTGCAGTGAGCTGAAATCGTGCCATTGTACTCCAGCCTGGGCAACAAGAGCAAAACTCGGTCTCCAAAAAACAAAAACAAAAAGCAAAAACACAAAAACACACACAAAAAACTGTCTGTCTATCTATCTATCTATAATAAATATATATTTAGAATCAGTGTTTCCTCAAATTGATTATGAAATTGAATATATCATTGTAGTTCACATTTCTTTGCTCTCCAGCAAGACTGGTGTTTTCTGAATGTGACTATCTGTCATATGTATTTCTTCTTCTACAAACTGTCCTTTACCAATCTTTCTGTTGATGTCTTAGAGTTTTGCTAAAGGAAGAATTAGTTACTGAATTTGTTACACACGTTTTTCCTGCTGTCTTTAAATTTTGTGTTGGGCTTTTATGATCTACACTATAGAATACGAGCAGCCAAACCTTTTCTCCCTTTGCAAGGGTATATGCTTCCAAGGTACTTGGTGTGTGTGCTCATGGGAACTGGGTTCCAGGCCTGCCTCTGCCCTAGCTTGCTCTGTGGCCGTGGGCAAGTGACATCTCTCAGATCACAGCTTCCCCATCTGTCAGTGGGGGCAGAGGTGGTTAGACCTCTGAGCTTCCTCCTAGCTCTGGCATCCTATGATTTTAGTTCTTGAGCTAGAAATTGGGCATGTTGGCTCTGAGTTAAGAGCTCATTTTAAGAAACAGTTACTGCCTAGTACAGCAGTCTGTTAACTAGTCTCTCCATTTTTGATTGCTCCATGCCCCAATTGTTAATGGGCATTGCTAACACCAGCTTCCCTACAGTGCAGTTTTGAGCAGTCCATAAACCAGACTCCAGCCCCCTCAGCAGTCATTGGTCTCCTTTCCTGCTTGCCCAATCTTATCGCCTGTTGCTCCCTGTCAAAATGAATATTTCTGGTTCCTCAGATATTTTTGCTAATACTATTGCTTTTGCTGGGAATGTTACCACATCCTAAATTTCGTATGGAAAAACTTTACCTAACTGTTAAATCCCAGCTGAGCACCGTCTCCTCCATTAAGCCATTAGTGACTATTGCCTGTTCCAGGGGAATTTGTCACTCTTTTGAACTACAGTATTTTCCACATGCCATGGGTATTATGGTTGTTGATATTTATGTCCTATTTACTAAACAAAAGTATACACATATTTGAGGCAATATAAGCAAGCAAACTGGCAGCCCACACTGTATTTTCAGAATTGGGATTTTTTTTTAACATAAAAATCCTGATTTTCATCTTCTCTTGAAAGGTCAGAAGATCTAGCTTACATCCTCAAAGACAGGTCAGCAAGCCACAGCCTGTGGGCCAAATCTGACCTGGACTCTGTTTTTAGAAATAAAGTTTGATTGGAACACAGCCCCACCCATTTGTTTATATATTCACAGTGGATGCTTTCCTTTTACTGTGGCAGAGGTGAGTAGTTGAGACAGAGACTCTATGGCCTAGAAAGCCTATTTGCTATCCAGCCCTTTACAAAAAAGTTTGCCAACTCCTGCTACAAGGCACCAACTGTGGAGCGTGCACGTACTCCAGGACCTCTTCCTACTCCATATCAGACCTGGCCAGTTGCAAGTATTTATCCTGTCTTCCAAGGCCTTTGAAATACTAGAGTTTTTCATTCTTCTTAATCCTCTTGATCATATCCTAACACAATATGAAAGCCATTATGCCGGGTGGGGTGTGGGTAGGACAAGCCTGTAATCCAAACACTTTAGGAGGCTGAGGCAGGCGGATCACCTGAGGTCAGGAGTTTGAGACCAGCCTGGCCAATATGGTGAAACCCTGTCTCTACTAAAAATACAAAAATTAGCCAGGCATGGTGGCACGCATCTGTAACCCTAGCTACTTGGGTGGCTGAGGCAGGACAATCGCTTGAACCCGGGAGGTGAAGTTTGCAGTGAGCAAAGATTGTACCACTGCATTCCAACTGCATTCCAGCCTGGGCGACAGAGCTAGACTCTGTCTCCAAAAAAAAAAAAAAAAAAAAAAAGCCATTATGCCATAAAGGCAAGGCAATCTCTAAAATAAATATTCAAAACGATTACACTGCCAATATAAATTAAATGATCAACTCTAATCATAGTCCTCAGTAACTATAGCTACTGATAAAGTAGGTTCTTAGAGTTAAAAGCTTGAAATCAGCGGGTGGGTGTGCTCTTTGTGAAATTCCACCATGGCATACCATGGCCAGGGCCAGAAAGTGCAGAAGGTTATGGTGCAGCCCATCAATCTCATCTTCAGATAAACTTACAAAATAGATCGCAGATTCAGGTGTGGCTCTATGAGCAAGTGAATATGCGGATAGAAGGCTGTATCATTAGTTTTGATGAGTATATGAACCTTGTATTAGATGATACAGAAGAGATTCATTCTAAAACAAAGTCATGAATACGACCGAGTCGGATCATGCTAAAAGGACATAATATTACTCTGCTACGAAGTTTCTCCAACTAGAAATGAACAATGAAGTGAGAAATTGTTGAGATGGATACAGTTTGTTTTTAGATGTTTTTTGTCCAATATGAACATTTATTCGTATTGTTTTGATTACCCTTATGTTATTACAAGATGGCAATAAATGCTATGGGATTGTTTGTATTTAAAAAAAAAAAAAGCTCAAAGTCTAAAGTCAGATTGCCTGGACTCATACTCCAGCTGTGCCACCTATGTGAGCTGGGTGAGTCTTTGTTTCCTCGTCTGAATATAATGAGGATAACAGCAGTGCCTACCCTTGGATTGATGAAAGGAGTCCATTCAACTAATATTTAGTGATAGCTACTTTGTGTCAGGCACTGTGCTAGGCTCTTGGGAGCATCAGTGAGCAAAACAGCCACATTTCCACTTAGGAAGAGCTTAACTTAGGAAGATGTTGGGGGAAATGGAGCAGGCAGCAGACACCACTGATACCTGTTGCACAGCCACTTGGGCCACCACTGAGTTCAGCCACAGCCATAGGGGAAAGCTTTGACTCTTCTCTGGCTGCCAAAGCCTTCTCCAATGCAGCGATGTAGCTGGAACCAGTTTGGCTCTCAGGCAAGCACAACCTGGAAGGGAGGAATTAATGCCCAGAGGCAGCCCCCAACAAGGTGGGCCAGGAGTTGGCGATAGAGGATATGGCCCCCGTCCTTCAGAAGAACAACTCTGGGAGGCATTCTGTATGACCCTTGTCAGAGGTCCTGGCAGGATAAAGCTCCAGAGTAAGGAGAGACGCTAGTAACACCCTCACATTGACTTTGCACTTTTCCTGTCTCACCTTCCCTGCTTTCTGGCAACATTATCCAAATAAACTATCTGTATCCAAACCTGTTTCAGTGTCGGCTTTGGAGGAAATCCAAAGAAGAACAAATTGTAAACAAACAAAAACAAAAAAACAATACAAAAAAGTAGTAAGTGCCATGCAGAGAATGAAAACAGGTGTGAACAAAGTGAGTGATCAGACACCCCCTGACACTGGGGCCATGGAATGCCTCCATTGAGAGCTGAGTGACAGGAGGAATCCAGCCATGCCCCGGCTAGAGGATGAATACTCTGCAGAGGGAACAGCTGGTACAGAGGCTCACGCAGGAGTGCGCGTGGCATGTTAAAGAAGAGAAAGGGCAGCGAACCTGGAATTTAGTGGCTGAGGAAATGAGGTGAAGAGGAAGGCCAGATTGTGAGGGACTTTCCTGTAACCCAGGTATACTGATTTGGGACTTTATTCTAAATGCCATGGATGAGAAGTCATGGGAAGATTTTAAACACAGGAGGAACAGGGATTAATCTTCAGTTTCAAAATGTCACCCTGGCTGCAGCATGAGAGTGAGTTAGAGTAGGCAGTGAGTAGAAACAGGACACCCGTTAAGGAGGCTACTGCAGAACTCCTGGCAAGTGATACCGGTGGCTTGGACTGGTGTTGGAATAACGCGGATGAAGAGAAATAGATGATTTGGGATATGTTTTGTAAAGAATAATGGCGGACTGGGCATGGTGGCTCAAGCCTGTAATCCCAGCACTTTGGGAGGTCAAGGCAGTAAGATCGTTTGAGCTCAGGAGTTCAAGACCAGCCTGGGCAACACAGCAAGATACTGTCTCTTAAAAAAAAAAAAAGACTGGGCTTATTGGCTTACTCCTGTAATCCCAGCTCTTTGGGATCACGAGGTCAGGAGTTCAAGACCAGCCTGACCAATATGGTGAAACCCCGTCTCTATTAAAAATACAAAAAAAAAAAAAAATTAGCCGTGCGTGGTGGTATGTGCCTGTAGTCCCAGCTACTCAGGAGGCTGAGGGAGAAGAATCTCTTGAACCCAGGAGGCGGAGGTTGCAGTGAGCCAAGAGCACGCCACTGCACTCCAGCCTGGGCAAGAGAGCGAGACTCTGTCTCAAAAAAAAAAAGAAAAAGAAAAAATGAATAATGGCAACACACTAGGCCCTACTATATGCACAGAAAGATTGAGTAACTTATCCAAGGTTACCCAGGGCAGAGATTTGAACCAAGACCATCTGGTTCCACAGTCTGTACTCTAACCACGAGGCTCCCCTGCCTCACTGGAACCCATGCCTTGGCTGAGGAATCCGACATGGAGGTAAAGGGAAGAGGAAGCTAGGAGCCAAGCCACAGTCCTGGAGGTCCAGGTGTTAAAAACAATTTATGAGACAAAAAAACATTGTTTTGGACTGAGCCCCTATACTAGGCCCCAGCAGACCAGATCAAACCAGAATGGAGTCCCTCATGCTAGGTGCTATGTAGTCAAACTAAACTTAGAAACAGGAGAGTTTCTTGAAAAACAAGAGATTCACAGCAACCAACCCAAAGGGGCTCATCAACCTGAGCCAGTATGATAAGGAAGTCTTCTTTTTTTTTTTTTTTTTTGAGACAGAGTCTCGCTCTGTTGCCCAAGCTGGAGTGCAGCGGCATGATCTCGGCTCACTGCAAGCTCCACCTCCCGGGTTCATGCCATTCTCCCGCCTCAGACTCCAGAGTAGCTGGCACTACAGGCGCCCACCACCACGCCGGCTAATTTTTTGTATTTTTAGTAGAGATGGGGTTTCACCGTGTTAGCCAGGATGATCTCGATCTCCTGACCTCATGACCCACCCACCTTGGCCTCCCAAAGTGCTGGGATTACAGGTGTGAGCCACTACGCCCGGCCTCTTCTTTAACCCTCTAAGGAAAGTAACTTGGAAATGACCCATCTGCTTTTTGATCCTTGTTTCTACTTTCTTCAGCCTTTTTCTGCCTATAAAGCCCACCACCTCTGCTCAGCTCATTGGAACACCTTTCTATTTTGCAGATGGGATCTGTCCAATTCATGAATTGCTAATAAAAGCCAATTAAATCTTTGAAACTCAATTTGTTGACATTTCATTCTTTGAGACAGGTATTGTTAGGACACCCGTCCGCTGTCCTCCACATCACCACTGTGGTTATGGAGAGACCACCACCCTCTCTTTGCTCCTGGCAAGACCCCCACCCCTGCCTCTTTCCAACACAGACTCATCACCATGACCTGCCTTGAGACCACAGTGAGGCACCTGAGCCTTCTTCATGTCTGTTACTATAGAAGCTCAGGTCTCCCCTTGCTCCTTCAGATTTGAATCCTCATGTCCCGCCTTGCCATTGTCCCCAATTCTGACCCTGTCTCCTGAAACCTGCCACTCTGTTCTGGACCCTGGTCCAAATCTCTCAGGGTCCCCTTGATCTTCTTACTCTCATTCCTGGGCTGCACATTCATATCACCTCAAGGGCTTAAAAACATCCTGAAGTCCAGGCTCCTCACCAGACCAATAAAATAAAATTTCAGATTGTGGCATCCAGGTATTGGCATGTTCTCAAAATTCCCCAGGTGTTTCTAATTTGTGGCTGGGTCAAGAACCACAGATGGAACAGACCCTGGCTCTCCCTGAGAGCTCAGCTGCCTTAAGTGGTGGCTGTGTTCACTTCCTGCCGCCTCCGCACCATGGGCCTAAAGGTGTCGTGGGCTCCTCTCTCCTCTCGGCTCCCCCTTGTCACTGCCATTCTCTTCTCCATCATTGTTCCTGTAAAACCTTCAGGCTTTAAACCTCATGTCTTCAAAGTGCACCTCCTGGCCACCAGGTCACCCCTGATTGCTTGAGGATTTTAGCTCCTGGCTCATGATCACTCTCTCTAACACTGCTCCTGTCTTTTCTTTTCTTTTTTTTTTTGAGACAGAGTCTCCCTCTGTTACCCAGGCTGGAGTGCAGTGGTGCGGTCTCGGCTAACTGCAACCTCCTCCTCCTGGGTTCAAGCAGTTCTCCTGCCTCAGCCTCCCAAGTAGCTGGGATTACAGGCATGCGCCATCATGCCTGGCTAATTTTTGTATTTTTAGTAGAAATGGGGTTTCACCATGTTGGCCGGGCTAGTCTCGAACTCTGATCTGCCCACCTTGGCCTCCCAAAGTGCTGGGATTATAGGCGTGAGCCACTGTGCCCGGCCCACTGCTCCTGTCTTAATTCTCAGTGTTTTCAATATCCAAACAGATAGATGGACCTTCTGAGACTCTGATCCCCTGTCCTCTAATCCCCTGTCTTCCATCTCACCTCAGCTGTTCCTTGTGATGGTCTTGCACCATCCATGGTCTCAGCGTCCAATAACTCCTCGACCACTCACCACTTATCACTTGCCATCTTTCCAGCTCACCCTCACTAGGACCCAGACCCCAGTTATCCTTGAAGCCCTGAATCTTTTCTTTTCTTTCTTTCTTTCTTTTTTTTTTTTTTTTTGTGAGATGGAGTCTTGCTCTGTCGCCCAGGCTGGAGTGCGGTGGCGTGATCTTGGCTCACTGCAAGCTCTGCCTCCCGGGTTCACACCATTCTCCTGCCTCAGCCTCCCAAGTAGCTGGGACTACAGGTGCCCACCACCACGCCCGGCTAATTTTTTTGTATTTTTAGTAGGGACAGGGTTTCACTGTGTTAGCCAGGATGGTCTTCATCTCCTGACCTCGTGATCCGCCTGCCTCAGCCTCCCAAAGTCCTGGGATTACAGGCGTGAGCCACCGTGCCCAGCCCGAAGCCCTGGATCTTATCTCCTCTCTGCTGTCTCACCTCCTCTCTTCTCACCTTTTCCAGATTCCATTCCAAAGTCAATCAGTGGAATCAATCATTTGCATCTACCCTTAACCCTCTTGACTTTCTCATAACTTGCAGCATCCACTTGGTCAACCTTCAACCCAGGTTCAATACAGCTGCCTGTTCTGCACCAGATCCTGTGCACTGACCGTGATGGGACAGAAACACAGCCATACTAATGGCCTTCCAGTAAAGTCACCATCATTAAGCACAAATGGGTTTTCCATTTGGCTGAGCAAGCCTACTATATTTCTCTTGTCTGGTGGGTCTCAAGGATGGTCCCTGAACCAGCAGCATCAGCATCATCTGGGAACTTGTTAGAAATGCAAATTCTCAGACCCCATGTCAGAGCTACTCAATCATAATACTCTGGGGGTGGGCCCAGCACTCTACTTTAACCAAGCCTCTGGTGAGTCTGATGCATGGGCCCCAGTATATACCATTGCTAGAATCTGTTTCCCCTCCCTCTCTCCAAGATGAATATTTCATGCCATCTCTTCTCCCTGCTGACGTCTAATACTTCCTCACCCCTCCTCACATTCAGCTAGCTTCCTTATACACTAAGAACATAGGAAAAATCAGAGGAACTTCCACAAGCTCCCACACCACACCTCTGCCTCCTCTTACTGCACCTGTACCCACACATGCTGCCTGCTTTCTTTTATTGAGGACACACTGGCCATCTGGCCTTAAAACCAGGCCCCACGACTTCCCTGGTCCAAGCTGCCACCAACTCTCCACTGGATAGTGGCAAAAGCTCCCTAACCAGTCGCCTTACATCTGCCCTTGCCCCTCTCCCCAACTTTGCCCAGCCAGAATGACTCCATCAAAATGCAATTCACATTCTTCCTTTGCCCAAAACCCCTCAGTGATTCTTCATCTCACTCAGAGTAAAGGCCTATACCTACAGGGCCCTGTGTGATCTGCCTACACCTTTGTTAACCTGTCTGACCTCATCTTCTCCCACGGTCCCCACCCTGTCCACCTGCTCCCACCACACTGGCCTCTTGCTTGTCCTCAGACATTCTGGGCATGCTCCCACCTCAGGGCCTCCACACTTGCCGTTCTTCCCAGCCCCACATATCTGTACAGCCAGCTCTCCAATATCCTTCAAGTTTTTACTCCATGTCATCTTAGCAGGGGGGCTTTTCCCAGCCACCTATTATAGTTTCAACTACTGACCCTTCCATATGTCTTCTCTGCTTTTTTTTTTCTCCTAGTCCTTAGCACTATCTAATAGACTACATATTTGGCTTTTAAAATCTTGTTTACTCTCTGTCTCCTGGGTGGAGCATAAAGTCCATGATGGCAGAAATATCTTACACTTTTCTTCTCCATCGCAGTGCCCAGCTGAGTGCCAGGCATAGAAGTGGATCAGTGAATTAAGACCATCAACCTCATCAACGATTCTCTTCCTCCGCTGGGCATGGTGGCTCACATCTGTAATCCCAGCACTTTGGGATGCCAAAACAGCAGGATTGCTTGAGCTCAGGAGTTTGAGACTGGCCTGGCCAACATATGACTACCCAGTCTCTACAAATTTTTTTTTTTTTTTTGAGATGGAGTCTCGCTCTGTCGCCCAGGCTGGAGTGCAGTGGCACGCTCTCGGCTCATTGCAAGCTCCGCCTCCCAGGTTCACGCCATTCTCCTGCCTCCGCCTCCCGAGTAGCTAGGACTACAGGCACCCGCCACCACGCCCGGCTAATTTTTTTGTATATTTTAGTAGAGATGGGGTTTCACCGTGTTAGCCTGGATGGTCTTGATCTCCTGACCTCGTTATCTGCCCACTTCAGCCTCCCAAAGTGCTGGGATTACAGGCATGAGCCACCGTGCCCAGCCCAAAAATTTTTTTAAAAAGTAGCCAGGCATGGCAGTGTGCACCTGTAGTCCCAGCTACTCAGAAGGCTGAGGTAGAAGGATTGTTTGAGCCTAGGAGGTCAAGGCTGCAGTCACCCATGATCACACCACTGCACTCCAGCCTGGGTAACAGAGTGAGACCCTGTCTCCAAAAAAAAAAAAAAATCCCTTTCTATTTTCCCTCTAGCTAAGAGAACAAGCTTCCACTATAATCCCCTTAGGTGGAGTTGTTTTCTGTCCCTCTCCCCTTGTACCAAGAGGACCAAGCGGAAGGTGGTGACCCCTGCTCCCCATCACCACACCCAAGCCACTCTCCTTCCCTTCTCTACGCCCCCTTGCTTAGCAATTCACATCATCAGACTAGTCCATCTTGCCCCTGTATCCTGTGGACCCCCAGGGTTTTCCCCTCACTCCTAGAAGAGCTGAGTTGGTGCCTTGCTGTTGCAATTCCAACATTGCTTCATCAGAATTCTTGGTGATTTTGCTGTCTTGGTAGATGATTCATCCAAGACCCAGGTTTTTCAGTTCCTTAAAGTCCTATCCAACAATCGTATTCTCCACCCTAACTCAGCCACTTACTCTGTGGCCAAAACTCAGACTCTGTTGTTACTGATAATTGCAAACCATCCATTTCAGGAATCGCATGCTGTGACCAACAACACTGTCTTGCCAGCTCACCCCTCAGGCACCCCAACTTCAGCAACCACCCTACTCCATTGGGTCCTCCATCCATTGATCCCTCCACCTTTTCACTGCCTCGCCCACCGCTGTCATGCCCGTGCTACACACAGTGCAGATTCCATGGCTCACCATTAAATCCTTTGGTTGTACACAATCTCCACTAGGCTGCCTACTCTCGATTCATGATTTTTACCCAGCAAAAACCCAGCCCTTATCAAAGGCAACATTCCACCTACTCAGCACCTGCGCAACCAGAGGGCACAATAAAATGATACAAATCCATGCCGATGGCCTCACTTTAAATCAATCACAATAGCTATTCTCATAGTGCTCTCCATGGGCAAGGTACCATTATAGGTGCCTGACATACAGTAAGTCATTTAATCCTCACGACAACCTTATGAGATACTACTATTATCATCCTCATTTCAAGATGAGAAAACTGAAGCACAGAAAGGTTAAGAGACTTGTCCAAGATCACACAGCTGGGTGGAGGAATTAGAACAGAACCGGCAATTCAGCCCCAGAATTGATACTCAGGACCACTACACTGGCCTCTCGGGATCCATGAACTTCACACACCGCTGTTGTCGAGCATTTCTCCCACAATTCCTTTGGCCAGCCTTCTCACATGAGACCTGGCATCAGATCCACCTGGAGGGTTTGTTAAGAACAGATGGCTGGACCCCATTCTCTGGGCTTCCAAATCCATGACAAGAAAATGTGGGCTGATGATGAGCCTTTCCAACAACTGCCCAGGCGGTGCTGCTGTACAGTTCAGTGACATTAATTACATTCACACTGTTGTGCAACCATCACGACTGTGTCCTAATGTTTTATATATAGATTATACATTTTGGCCGGGCACAGTGGCTCATGCCTCTAATCCCAGTACTTTGGGAGGCCAAGGTGGGCAGATCACTTGAGGTCAGAAGTTTGAGACCAGCCTGGCCAACATGGTGAAATCCCATCTCTACTAAAAATACAGCAATTAGTCAGGTGTGGTGGCATGCGCCTGTAATCCCAGCTACTGGGGAGGCTGAGGCAGGAGAATCACTTGAACCTGGCAGGCAGAGGTTGCAGTGAGCAGAGATCATGCCACTGTACTCCAGCCTGGGCAAGAGAGCGAGACTCCATCTAAAAGAAAAATTACATTTTAATATATCTGTTTATATATAATGTAGACTATATAGTTTATGATCTATTTATATATCTATATTTTTATGTACCTGGATATATAGAATTTATATATTTTTATATACAGAAAATCCCAAAGAATCCACAAGAAAGTTGCTAGAGTACAGCTTCCTATTGTCTCTTGCCTGGGCATGTTTTGCCTCCATTCCTCCACCCAAAATGCTCTTTCAAGGTCTCTGATCTCCATCTTGCTAAAGCCAATGGTCAACACTTAGTCTGCATCATCTGATATGGTTGATCATTCCTTCGTCTTTCTTTCTTTCTCTTTTTTTTGAGATGGGGTCTCTGTTGCCCAAGCTGGAGTGCAGTGGCGTGATCATAGCTCGCTGCAGCCTTTGAACTCCTGGGCTCAAGAGATCCTCCTGCCTCAGCCTCTCAGATAGCTGGGACTATAGACAAATGCCATCATGTCTAATTTTTTTTTTTGAAATTTTTTTTTTTTTTTGTAGAAACAATGTTTTGCTTTGTTGTCCAAGCCATTCTCAAATTCCTGGCTTCAAGTGATCCTCCCGCTTCAGCTTCCCAAAGTGCTAGAATTACAGGCATGAGACACTACACCCAGACCCCTTGCTCTTTTTAACAGTATCTTTGGTTTCCAGCATCACAGTCTCTTGATTCTCTTCTAGCTCTGTAGCAACCACTTACTTTTCAGTCCTCCTCATCGTCCACAATCCAAATACCAGAGTGTCCCAGGACTCAGTCTTCAGACTCTCCCCTTCTTTATTTGAATTCTTCCCCCTTGTGATCTCTCTAGAACCATGGCTTAAAAGCCATCTATAGACTGAGGACTTCTAAATTTATATCGTCAGTCCAGAACTCTTCTCTGAACTCCAGACTCATACATTCAACTACCCATTTGCCATCTCAACTTAGTTGTTGATGACAGTCCTCAAAAGAATATGTCTACATCAAATGTCTGGAACCTGTGAATGTGGCCTTATTTGGAAAAAGGGTCTTTGCAGATGTAATTAAGGGTCTTGAGGTGAGAAGATCTCTAAGAGGGTCCCTAAGTCAAATAGAAGTGTTCTTATAAGACACAAAGAGAGGAGAACCACTCAGAAGAGGAGAAGGCTGTGTGACCAAGGAGGCAGAGACTGCAGCAATGCAGCTGCAAGTCAAGGAATGCTGATGGCCACCAGAAGCTGGAAGAGGCAAGGAACAGAATCCAACCAAGATCCTTCAGAGTAAGCGCGGCCCTGCTGCTGACATGTAGATGTCAGACTCTGGGTTCCAGAACTGTGGGAGAATCCATTTCTGTTGTTTTAAGCCACAGTTTGTGGTAATCTGTTATGGCAGCTCTAGGAAACTTACACAGATGTTTTATAGACATCTCTGACACAATGTTTCTCAAAACAAACTCTATTTACTCACCTCCTGCTCCCATCCACAGAGCCTGCTCCTCCCACTCCTCCCAGGAGCAGTGTTTCCCATCCTGGTGAAGGGCAATTCCAGCCTTAAAGTTGCTCAGGCAAAAACCTTTATGTCAGTGTTGACCCTTCACTTTCCGTCACAGGCCACATCCAAATACTCAGTGAAACCTGTTGGCTCTATCTCCAAAGACGGCCAAAATTACATCGTTTCTTACCTCTTTCCTGCAACCACTTGGGGCCAAGCTCCCATCATCCCTTGCTGGGATTTTTTTTTTCCTCCCTCCCTCCCTTCCTTCCTTCTTTCTTTTTCTTTCTTTTTTTTTTTTTTTTTTTTGACAGGGTCTAGCTCTGTTGCCCAGCTTGGAGAGCAGTGGCACGATCATGGACTACTGCAGCCTCTGCCTCCTGGGCTCAAGCAATCCTCCCACCTCAGCCTTCTGAGTAGCTGGGGCTACAGGCACGTACCACCATGCCCGGCAAATTTTTGATTTTTTTTTTTTTTAGGGTGTAGAGACAGGTTTTCACCATGTTGCCCAGGCTGGTCTTGAACTCCTGGGCTGAAAAGATCCTTCTGTCTCGCCTCGCCTCCCAAAGTGCTGGGATTACAGGTGTAAGCCACCGAACTTGGCTGCTGGGATTATTAAACTAATCTCCTGTCTCCCTCTTTTGTCATTGCCCCTCACAGTCTATTCTCAAATAGTAGCTGGAGGAATGCTGTTATAATTGAAACCAGACTTCATCGCGCATCTGCTCAAAGCCCTCCAATTATTTCACGTCTCACTCAGCATAAAAGCCAAGTGGTTACCAGTTCTGCAGGGCCCTACATGATCTGGGTGCTTGTAACCTTTCTGAGGTCATCACCTGCCACTCTCTTCCTGTTACTCTGCTCCTTGAGCCAACCATGTTGACTCCCACCTTAGGGACGTTGCATTGAGAATGTCGGGGGTTGGGAAGGAGCTGGTAGAGCTCCTTCCAACAAAATGTTGCCAGGTTACATTTTGTGCCATTGGAGATTTGTAGGCATGAATTGAAAGTAGGCCCAATCAGCACAGTTACGTGTTCTTCTTAATATTTAGTTGGAAATGAGTGAATTGTGAACAAATGTGAACCTGAAAGAACCAATCCTTCAAGATAGATCCTGAGTGGCTAACTGGGCCTAAATTTAAAATAGAGCCAAATGACCATTTGCTGACTACAGATCACACACATACTCTGAGTTCTGCAAACACCCCTCACCTCCGTTTAATTTTGGGACTTTCAGGGCTCACCTCAACCAACCAGAGCTCACCTACTTCAGCCAATCAGGGCTCAGCTGTATCAATCAAGCAGAACTCAGCTGTATCAACAATTCAGAACTAAGCAAGTTTGAATCCTTCATTTGCATAAACATGTTTGATTGGAAACCTATGTGGGAACTTTTTCTATAAAAGCTAAACCTGGCTCACTCCTGTAGTCCCAGCACTTTGGGAGGCCAAGGCGGGTGGGTCATTTGAGCCCAGAAGTTGGAAGCCACCCTGGGTAACATGGTGAAACCCCGTCTCTACAAAAAAACACAAAAAAGCTAACTGGGTGTGGTGGCATGGGCCTGTAGTCTGAGCTATTTGGGAGGCTGAGGCGGGAGAATCTTGAGCCCAGAGAAGGTTGCAGTGAGCTGAGATCACGCCACTGCACTCCGACCTGGGTGACAGAGTGAGACCCTGTCCCCCTCAACTCCCCCACCCCCCAAAAAAAGCCAAACCTTCTCTTTGTCTCTGGAACGTATCTTCATTTTACACTAAAGGCTGTGTCCCCTTGGTTTGTAAACTGTTCACTGAAATAAAGCCTGTTTCCTCCAAATTCCTTTTTAGAGAACTTTTATTCACAGAATTAAGAAAGAGAAGGATTGGGTTTGGCTGGATTAAGGTTTTGCTAGGAAAGAATGATGAGAGAAAAGGGCAAGAATGTAAGGGCTATTTGTATAAGGGAATGATTATAATCTTGGCCCATGAGATCTCAGATGGGTAAGAAGGACTTAGGTAATGCGTATAAAGCACTTACCATAGGGCCTGGCACATTTTAAAAGCTCAGTAACTGTATTCATCCTAGGTATACTAAAACTACTCTTCTTCTTCTTTTTTTTTGAGACTAAGTCTGGCTCTGTCACCCAGACTGGAGTGCAGTGGCGCGATCTCAGCTCATTGCCACTTCTACCTCCGGGTCCAAGCGATTCTCCTGCCTCAGCCTCCTGAGCAGCTGGGATTATAGGCACCTGCCACCATGCCCGGCAAATTTTTGTATTTAGTAGAGATGGGGTTTCACCCTGTTGGCCAGGCCGGTCTCGAACTCCTGACCTTGTGATCCACCCACCTCGGACTCCCAAAGTGCTGGGATTCCAGGCATGAGCCACCGCACCCAGGCTAAAACTACTCTTAAACCTCAAAAAGACCTGGCAAAATTAACCACAGTGCCATGCTCTAGCCTAGCACTTGCAATTAAACCTCAATCTCTATAAACAAGAGATGGCTTTGAAGATAGAGCAATAAAATCCAAGACATGGATAATACTTAAGAAATGTGCATATATATATAATTTATATATATATATGTATGGTATAAACAAATCAAATGTATAATTGCCAGAGTGAAAGTGATTATCACTTTGTAACTCTATATAATGAGCAACATGCAAAACAAAAAAAAAAAACAAAAAAAAACGCCAAAACCCCAAAACACATCCAAACACGTTCTTCAATTTAAATACATTAAGATTTACTTACTCCTCCAAGTGTTTGTAATATTTCAGTACCATTTCAGCCTCATAATATTGTGGTTTTCTTTTAGACGTATGCCTCATTTTCCAAATCTTTGTCGACTTGCTTTCAGTTATCCATTAGTGCTGACACAGAAAGTGTTTTTTCATCTGTTACTCATATCTGCCAAGTTGCAAGCTGTGGTTGACTAATTGGAAACACACAACCAAATGGATCAACTTTATCAGCGTGTTCCAGGTACTCAAGGCCACGGCCCATTTTCCTCAAGCTTCAATATGATTCAAAGATTTGGCTGAGAAAAACATTTTATTTTTATGTTCATACAAATAGAGATGTTAATAAGGAGAATGTCAAAATCACATATATTCGAAAGATTAAAACACATCAGCAAAATTCACGAGCTGGGCCATGGATCAAGAAATCAACAGATGGGAGTTATAGTAGGAGGTGCCATCTGCCAATTCAAGGTCCCGCTAATTTAGGACTAAGACAA
The DNA here is from genome assembly GCF_000001405.40 of Homo sapiens. Lineage (NCBI taxonomy): Eukaryota > Metazoa > Chordata > Mammalia > Primates > Hominidae > Homo > Homo sapiens. The sequence continues at coordinate 160,339,932 of NC_000005.10, forward strand.
ACCCTCTGTGACAACGCTGTGGTGGAGGGAATTATTTCTACATTTTTGAGCCGAGCACCTGGGTGGATGGAGTTGCCAGTTATTAAAATGAGGGAGTTGGGGCTGGAACAGTTTCAGGTTCAAGCCCCTGATGGTTTAATTCCAACTGCAGGAGCCTCAATTTCATTATCTATGAAATGGATGCCCATTTGCAATTTCCTCAATCCTATTATTGATTTTTTGGCATTTCTGCTATTGAGAATGTGTCTTAATTAATAAATTAATCCATTTGAAGGGTCTTTTAACAGACAAATTTTAAAATTGAAAGCATTTCTTTTACATGGTGTTGATTTAAAATGTAACAAAGAAGACAGGACCTGGCTCATGAGGTTGCTGTGAGGATTCAATTTGTTAAAGTGTGGGGTTGTCTGTAAAGCATTTCGGAGTGTCTGGACCCTAGGGCCGATGAGGGCAAGTGAGAAGGGCTGCAGCCTGAGTGAGGATGTTCCACTTCCTACTCCTGTGTGTTGCTAAGATCTCCACCATCACCTCACCGAACCTGAGCAGAAAAAGCCCAGGAAAAGCATCCCCATCCTACTCTGGGGGATTATTTCTTATTTATAGTTTGTTCAGAGATATGCATTTCTCTTGAGCTGTTTCCTACCCTGCCCCCCTTTTCTTGTTACTCACTATGAAACCTACTTCAGGACAAGGTCAGATTCTGACCCACACAATCAGCATCTCTGCAGGGGGATCTTGAGTTCACATTTATTTCCTGTTTACATGTGAGTGTTTTATTGTACAAGACACTCCAGGGGGCTGGGCAAGGTGGCTCATGCCCTGTAATCCCAGCACTTTGGGAGGCTGAGGTGGGTGGATCACTTGAGGTCTGGAGTTTGAGACCAGCCTGGGCAACATGGCAAAACCCCTTCTCTACAAAAAGGACAAAAATTATCTGGACATGGTGGCAGGTGCCTGTAATCCCAGCTACTCAGGAGGCTGAGGCAGGAGAATTACTTGAACACGGGAGGTGGAGGTTGCGGGGAGCCAAGATCACTGCACTCCAGCCTGGGCGACAGAGCAAGACTCCATCTTAAAAAAAAAAAAAAAAAAAGACAACAGCAAAACTCCAGGGACCACCGTCAGGTCAATGGTCCATAAATGCCATCCATGATCTCTCTGACCAAGGACTCTAGCCATGGTGGCCTCTTGGCTATTCCTTCAACCCACCAGGCTTACTCTTGCTTCAGGTTCAGATATTTCCACTGCCTGAAATGCTCCCTGCTACCTTCCACCCCTACCCTCATATATTCTCATCTCACTTTCTAAAAGGACTGTACTCAAATGTTGCCTTTGCAGTAACAGCTTCCCTAACCACCCCCATAAAGCTGTAATCCACCCTTAACCAGCACCCCCATTTTCTCCCCTACTTTATTTTCTCTCCGTAGCACTTTGACCATCTAACCCCATTTTATTTTATGTTTACTTGGTTTATTGCCAGTCTCTGTATTAGAATGTAAGTTCCACGAAGGCAGGAATCCTTCTCTGTCTTGTTCACTGCTTTATCTCCAGGGCCCAGAACAGAGCCTGGCATATAAAGGTCCTCAGTAAGTGCTGTTAAATAAAATGTGTAGGAGGCCATTGGTTTAGACTGAACTCCTGCGTTAGGCCCAACTGAATAAACCAAAATGGGATCAGTCATGCTGAAGTTCCGTGTCACCCAGCCAAAACTAAGTTGTTTATCTGACCTTCCCAGAAATCAGGAGAGACAATAGCCAAATTTCTAAACAAGCTAGTTTTAGCTGGTATGATAAGGAAGTCCTCTCTTCTTTAACCTTCACAAGGAAAGTAACTTTGAAGCAACCCATCCGCTTTTTGCTTTCTGTTTCTGCTTTCCTCAGCCCTTTTAGGTCTATAAAACCAACATTCTCTGCTCCGATTCTAGGAACACTCATTCTGGTTTACGGAATATGAGGTATTGCCTGATTCTAGAATTGCAAATAAAAGCCAATTAAGATCTTTAAATTTGTCAAAATTTTGTCCTTTGACAGCATTTATTTCAATAACTCGTCTTTTACGTATTCAGCATTTCCCTTCTTCAAGTTGGGATTTGGGGCCAAAAGGGATGACTACTTTTTATAATTTTTCATCTAGGTTGTTTCAGTGTATCAATAGTTTGTTTCTTTTTATTGCTGAGTGGTATATCATGGTATGGATGCATCACAGTTTGGTCAACCAGCAAGTACAAAGGCCTGGAGTGGGGAATGAGCTTGCCACCCCTTCAAGTGACAGGAGACCAGGTGGCTAAAGAGAAAGAGGTTATTTATCACACTAGGCTCTGAGCAGCAGAACCTCAAGAAGCTAAGGAGCCATAGAGGGCAGGTGAAGGATGTTCCTTGAGGTTTTTTTCATAACTCAGTTCTCAAGCTCAGTCTCATCTGACCTCCACAGGAACTTTGCCTTGGGAGGAACCCCGCCCCCCACCCCATACCTTCCACAGCTCCTGACACTCTCAAAGGAGTGGATCAGATCCTGGCCAACAGCCAGCAGCATCCAGTCCTGGCAGTGCCAACTGTGGGTCAGCTGACTTCATTTCTTCTCCTCTCACTGGTCTGCAGGCTTGGTCTGCGTCAGAGGGAAGATGGTGGGCAGGGTGCGGAGATACAGCCCTGAAGACTCTGCTCTCCCTGACTGGCCACGGGAGCTGACACAGTATTACCAAGGTCCCTCAGGCTCCATCTGTCAGTTCCAGAAATTCAGTCACCTTGGAGAAAGCCTTCTGGCAGCAGAACTGGTGAATCATAAAGTCAAAAAAAAATCCAAGCTAGAAGGGAACTCAGAGATCACTGAGTCCAGCCAGAGAGATGGCTATTCCCTGCAACAGCTCTCTCAAGTGTTTTACGAGCTATCTGCCTATGAGTCTCAATGTGGCTGCACCACAGACTCAGCTGGGGAGTTTCCAAAAATTCCCAATGTCCAGGCTGTACTCCAGACTAATTGCATTAGAGTCACTTGGTGGGTGGGAGACAGGATTAGAAGTCTTACCACTCCACCCAGGTGCAACCACGGTTAGAACCAGAGTTGTGGTCCCTGGCAGCCTGGATGTCAGAGGGCTGTAGTCATTATGACCATGACCTCTGAGGTCTGAAGGACTTGGATTTGAGCTCCTGCTGTGCAACTTCTCCAACTGGGTAACCTCAGTCAACTTTCTGAACCTCTTCTAGCCTCTATTTCTTCATCTGTGGAAAGTGGATCATCGTAATACACCTACCTTACATGTTGTTCTCAAGGCCAAACGTATTAATCCATGAAAAGCACACAGTGTTTCATTCCTAGTAAGAACTCAGTAAATGTTAGTTTTTATTGTTATTACTTTCCCAAGGTCTAGCATTCTATTAGAAAGCTCTTCTGGGCCGAGCGACGTGGATCATACCTGTAATCCCAGCACTGTGGGAGGCCCAGGTGGGTGGATTACCTGAGGTCAGGAGTTCGAGACCAGCCTGGCCAACATGGTGAAACCCCATCTCTACTAAAAATACAAAAATTCACCAGGTGTAGTGGCGGGTGCCTGTAATTCCAGCTACTCAGGAGGCTAAGGCAGAAGAATCGCTTGAACCCTGGAGGCAGAGGTTGCAGTGAGCCAAGATGGCACCACTGCACTCCAGCCTGGGCGACAGAACAAGACTCTATCTCAAAACAAACAAACCAACCAACAAACAAAATGAAAGCTCTTCTATAGGGTAAGTTGAAATGTTTCTCCTATAGCTGCAAGAGTGGTCTTCTCAAAACCCAAGTCTGCTTATGTCACTTGCCCCCTTAAAATCATTCTGTGGTTTCCTGTTATTCTCATGGTCAAGATAGCCATCTTTAGTTTGACCTATCAGCCTTCAAGGTCTGGGCTCTGCCCCCTCATCTTCTCCCCTTGCACACTTTGCCCCCATGACCTGGGGAGGGGCTTCTTTGATTCCTCTCCTGTGTCATGCCCTGCCCCACCACGGGGCCTTTGCCTGCCATGCCCCTCCCTGGAAAGCCCTCTCCATCCAGCTTCCCTTGCCAACTCCCACTTGCCCTTCAGCTCTGCTGTTACTCCACCAGTGCTACTCCCTGACAGTCTCACCAGGACTCCCAGTCTTCTCTCCTCAAGGTTGAACAGCCAACACTCCTACGGCAGGTGGCACTTCTAGACCCTCCACACCCTCCTCGGTTTCAGGTTGTAGGATGCCTAGAACCAGACTCAACATCAGGGAATGAGGAGCTTTTCAAAAGTGATTTGCCCATCTAGTTCTGCCAAGTGACAGGAAACTGAGGAGGTTGAGGATTAATGCCCCGTTAGCCTTTCACCTCTGAGGCCCTTGATCTCCATGTCTTGAAGCTCACACATTAAGTGTGTTTTATGGGATAAGAGAGCCCCAAATAGAATATGGACATTTCACACGAGGAAGCCATTTCGGACCGCTGTCAGCATCAGCTTGAAACCCACTTGGGGTGGAGATAAATGACTGTCGGAAGTTTGCAACGGCATCAGCAAAAATAAACACCTGTGATGAGGTTGAACTCTTCATTATTGTTTTTAAGTCAGGGCCAATCTGAGGCAAAAGTATAAAGTAGATGGAGAATGTTTAAAAAATAAAAAATAAAAAAACAAACCCCACCATTTTCCAGAGCCATCTTTGGGCTCTTTCTGAGAAATTCTTTTTTTTTTTTTTGAAACGGAGTCTCACTCTGTTGCCTAGGCTGGAGTGCAGTGGCACAATCTTGGTTCACCATAACCTCCGCCTCCTGGGTTCAAACAATTTTAGTGCCTCAGCCTCCCGAGTAGCTGGGATTACAGGCACCCGTCACCATGCCCGGCTAATTTTTTTTTTTTTTTTTTGTATTTTTAGTAGAGACAGGGTTTCATCATGTTGGCCAGGCTGGTCTCGAACTCCTGACCTCAAATGATCCACTCACCTCGGCCTCCCAAAGTGCTGGGATTACAGGCGTGAGACACCGTGCCCGGCCTCTTTCGGAGAAATTCTTTTTGGGTCTCCGTCTCTGGAGCAGGGAGAGAAAAGTGTTGGGAAGCCACAGAGGTCTTCGGGAGCACCCTCAGATGCTGTGGTTGAGGAGCTGGGCCTGCGAGGTGACCTTCAAACCCACACTGTGCTCCATTCTCAGTGCCACCCCGGCCTGAGGACAGCTGTGGAAATGACACCGGGACAAGGGAGGCACACAAAATGTCCTCCCTTGAAGGGCAGAACTCGAGTCTTTCCTGTGTTAGTTTTCCCCTCAGCCCGGCCCAGAGCTTGGCAAAGCCGGCTGTGGGTTAGAATCGGCTGAGGAGCTTTTATGAAAGCGCATGGAAGCTGTCCCCGCAGGAGGTTCGGCTGCTGAATGAGGTTGTGGTGCCAGATAGATCTGACTCCTCACCTGGTTTGGGGACCCCGGGTGCATTCTTCAGCCTTGCCTCAGTGAGTGCTCAGGACACGTCTGCTGAATTGAAAGAGACCTTCAATGGACTGAACAACAACCTGCTTTCTGGCAGGCAATCTAGAAAATAGCCTGAGACCAGGGTGTATCTCCCAGCCTCCATGCCGCAGGCCGGGAGGTTTGTGTAGTCGACGTTCTCCCCCTAGTGGCCTGAGTGAAGATGACAGGCAGGAGGGAAAAAAAGCCTTTTCACCTGCGAGGCCTGGCTGCCAAGGGCTCCCGAGCTGCGGATGGACACCAGGATCCAGCTGCTCTTCCATGACTCGCCCTCCCTTACCTCGCCCTGATCCCGGCCCTGTCAGATCTCATCTTTACTTAACATTCTGATATTTTGTTTATCATAGAGTTTTTGGGTTATTTTTGATTTATTAAAATATTGTATTAAAATATTTCTGGCCGGGGGTGGTGGCTCACTCCTATAATCCCAAAACTTTGGAAGGCTGAGGCGGGTGGATCATTTGAGGTCAGGAGTTCGAGACCAGCCTGGCCAACATGGTGAAACCCCCGTCTCTACTAAAAATAAAAAAATAAAAAAATAAACTAGCCAGCCGTGTTGGTAGGGCGCCTGTAATCTCAGCTACTCGGGAGGCTGAGGCACAAGAATCGTTTGAACCAGGGAGGCACGGGTTGCAGTAAATTGAGATTGCGCCACTGCACTCTAGCCTGGGCGACAGAGCAAGATTCCATCTTAAAAAAAATTATTTCTGCCAGGTGCGCTAGCTCATACCTGTAATCCCAGCACTTTGCGGAGGCTGAGGTGGGAGGATCATTTGAGGCCAGGAGTTTGAGACCAGCCTGGGCAACATAGCAAGACCTCCGTCTCTACAAATAATTTAAAAATTAGCCGTGTGTGGTGGCACAGGTCTATAGTTCCAGCTTCTCAGGAGGCTGAGGTGGGAGGATCACTTGAGCCCAGGAGGTCGAGGCTGCAGTGAGCTGTGATCGTGCCACTGCACTCCAGCCTCGGTGACAGAACAAGACTCTGTCTCAAAAATATATATATTTCTATTGATTACTGTGGTTTTTGTCACCCTCTTACATTTTGTGCATGACGTGAGTGCCTCAATTTCGCTCCCCCACCCTCATCATAGTCCTGATGCAGAAGTCAGCCCACGAAGCCCCCCTAGACATAGGGAGTAAGACCCTCATCATTTGTCAGCTGAACCCTGAGGCTCCACCCAGGGTTGCGCTGGCCTGTGAGGGCCTTGTGTGTCTAGTGCTCTTTGCACTGTAATTAAGGGCACTGTAGATTCTCCAGGCTTTCTCCAGAAGGGGAATGGCCGCCTTTCAAAGTGTGTTCTGAATGAGAAAATACCCCTGGATCAAGGGCGATTTGAGTGCACAAAGATGCACTGGGTTCTGTGGTGCTTACAAATGTGGAGACCTACAGGTAGGCCCTGGTTGCTGAAGCCCACAGTAATCAGCCGAAGCTAGGAAGAAGGGCTGGGGCCCAGTGCATCTGGGAAGGCCACCGCCTTGGATCCCCTTCCTCATCTGGGCCACCATCCCGCATGATCAGCCTGAGACCTCCAAGTGGCTCACCAAGGAGGCAGCCATCCTCAGAAGAGTCAGGGGATAAAAGGAGTGCTCATCTTTGACATCACTCTCTACCAGAGACCCGCCTCAACTGCATCATCTGCTTCTGCCCCACCTGCCACAAACCCACCATCTGGAGCAACGCTAGACCACATCCAAGGAAGACAAGACCCCAGCCCTGGGCCCTGGAAGGTCTCTGCTATCATCTGCCCCACGCTCTACAAAAGAGTGACGAGTCTTCCCCCATCATTCCCACACTCTCCCTGAGGAGTCCCTGGTAGATGCCAAGGGGACATCGGTTCAATATGGGCCAAAAAGTGGCAACCACAGAGCTCTGGGGTCCAGCCCATCTTGCTGAGTTTGGATTTATTACCTGGGCTACAAAGGGTTAAGTCAAATGCCTTCAAATGCCTATATCCCTGAGGGAAGGAAGAGGAAGAAGCGAAAGGCTCTCCTAAAATTTATTTTTGTAAGAAAAAGAAAAGGTAAAAAGAACTGTTCACTGACCAAAGCTGACCCCTTCCCACAGGGGTGCTGCAGGGGACCCCAACCCACACGTCAATCTGATTGGGCCAGAAAGCCTTTCCTGAATGTTTCAGACCCACCCCAATCCCAAACCATTTATGGCCCAGAGACAATGGAGTTATTTTAAATAAACCCGATTTTATTTATGGAGATGGCCACTCCTTCTGGAACTATCCCGTGCAGCTATCCTTGTCCCTGAGGATCTCACTAGGCGGGCAGCCAGAGAAAGCTGCTAGGGAGCTGCAGCTCCAACTGAAAATTATCTCCAGCAAATCGTTTCATGGGTCTCTCAGTACCTGCGTTTTTGTTTTTGTTTTTTTTTTTTTTTTGTTTTTTTTTGAGATAGTCTCACTCTGTTGCCCAGGCTGGAGTGCAGTGGCAGGATCTCAGCTAACTGCAACCTCCACCTCCTGGGTTCAAGCGATTCTCCCGCCTCAGCCTCCCCAGTAGCTGGGATTACAGGCACCCAACACCACGCCTGTCTAATTTTTGTATTTTTTTAGACGATGTTTTGCCATGTTGGTCAGGCTGGTCTTGAACTCCTGACCTCAAATGATCCGTCCACCTCAGCTTCCCAAAGTCCTGGGATTATAGGCATGAGCTACCACATCCCGCCAGCACCTGGCACTTTTACTGCAGCTTCTTAAGCCCCCAGATCCCTGCATACTGGCAACACCTGTGCTTGGGGTGCGATTCATTTGCGTGGGATCCATTCCTGCCATCTCAGAGCAGCGGTTCTCAGATGCACGTGCATATCCTGGTGTATCTCATTCATTGAGAAGCGGGCCTGCAAAAGATTAACTAATAATAAAGCGCTCAAGTCTGTGGCCGACTTGACTCATGCAATGAGCAGATTCAAGATGATCCGCCTATCAGTGTCACTTTGTATTCTGATAAGCCTTCGTGAATGGAACGAGCTCTGCCATGGCCTGGGACATTCTGTATTATCTTCCAGCCTCACGCCTCATGCCTCCCTTCTCAGTTCTTACCTTGGCCCCTCCCTCTTTCCTGTCAAGGTCTTTGCACTTGCAGAGCCTTTTGCTGGAGACCTCTTTTCGAGGCCTTTGTGTTGCTCTATTTCCTTCTTTGGAACTCAGCTCAAAAATGGAAATTTTCCAGGTACTGACTTAGAGGGGTCTTAAGAGAGCTTTTGGGGAAGGGAGGTGAGAAGTTGGAAATAGCTTGTTCTTTGATCTACATGGAGGTTTCAGAGTGTGCACATAAGCAAAAATTATTCACTGAGTTGTCAACTTAAAATCTGGAGAGTCACTGTATGTAAGTAAACCTAAAAACGCAAACTTAAAAAAAGAAACAAATTTCCACCTCTTCCCTGTCTCCTGTTATTCCTATTACTGTCAACCATGGCATGTTCATTTCTATCCTGGCATAATATTATATTATTTGCTTGTATATTTGTAAATTGTATCTCCTGCTAGAATGTAAGCTGCATGAGGACAGATACTCTGTCTTGTCCACTGCTGCATCTTTCAGAGAATAGCATAGTGCCTGTTACACAGTAGATACTTTAAAAAGAAGTGAATAAATAGATGGTTGGATGAATAAAAAGGTTTGGATTTAATGAAGGGGAAAAAAAGAGGCAGAGGAGGTGAGCCTGAGGCTAGAACCGCTCACTCGACCCCCCACCCCCAGCCTACAGTTGTGGGGTCTTGCTCTGTAAGCCCAAGTCCAGAAGCTTGTTCCCTGCCTGGAGGACCGCCGTGGCATGTCTATACCTCGTTGGGGTCATCCTGGTCGGCATAGATTAGGAAGCCCGTAAAGAGGCTGTCTGTCCAGTAAGGGTCATAGAAGAGCCCGTTCTGCTCTGAGTAGAAGATCTGCAGCCAAACTTCGTCACCCTGCTTGAGAGCCAGGATGGTGGAGCCTGAGGCCACATCGTGGTTGCCGGTGTTGGCATCAAAGGTCCGGATGCGGTACTGGCCGTTGTGCACCAGGCCGATGGCCAGGTGCTTGTTGGCCAGCGTGATGTCGTAGGTGAAGTAGTAGATCCCAGGCACGCCGCAGACGAACTTGCCGCTGGAAGCATTGTAGTGGCCACCCTCGTTCATCAGAATCTTGTCAAACTTGATGGGCAGCCGCTCCCGTGGGTAGCTCTTGGTCACTGCCACCGAGAAAGCTGACTTGGTATGGCCACTGCCACAGCTGCAGGGGCCTGGGAGGCCTGGCTCCCCCTTCTTGCCCTTGGGCCCCTTCTTGCCTGGTGTGCCATGCTTCCCGGGGGTACCGTTGACCCCCTTGGGGCCACGGGGGCCAGCCCGCCCAATGGCCCCGGCTTTGCCCTTTGGTCCTGGCTTTCCCCGGTTACCTGTCCGGCCAGGTGGACCTGGAAGACAGAGCAGCTGGTGTTATGGAGGGTCCTCACAGACCTAGGCAGAGGGGTGCGGTGCGGCTTGGTCTTCCAATCTTGGAGAAGGAGTGCTTGGGTAATAGAAAGAACAAGAAGGCTTTGCAGACATATAGAAGTGGGTGTAAATCCTAATGCTAGCTCTCTGGAAAATGGAAATGATGATACTTACCTTCAAGAATCACTGTGGATCAGGGCAAAAAGAATAACTTGTAACAGTTCACACCCTTTCCTTTTCCTGCCTTCTAAGGAAGGGTCTGGTCTGTCTGCCAGCTCAATCCTTCCATGGGCTGCGCTGGTAATGGGTTGAGAAGAGAACTGGAAAAAGCCTCTTGATTTCAACACGTTGATCTTAGTAAAATCCCTGCCTAGTGCATATAAGCCCTGCCCACGTGTACAAGGATTTTATTGCAGCATTGCTTATAATAGCAAAAAATAGGAACAACTAAATGCCCATCCAAAGGCAAATGATAAAAAACATTACGGTCCATCTATACTGTGGATTTCTATGCAGGAGTTAAAAAAAAAAGTAGAGTTACGTGTGCTCTATGAAACCTTCTCTAACATACACTAAGAGGAAAGAGCAGGTGGCCAGACCCTTTGTGTTAAAAGGAAGGCAGGCCGGGCAAGGTGGCTCGCGTCTATAATCCCAGCACTTTGGGAAGCTGGGACTGGAGGATTGCTTGAGGCCAGGAGTTTGAGACCAGCCTGGGCAATGTAGCCAGACAGTCTCTACAAAAAATACAAAAATTAGTCAGGCATGGTGGCATATGCCTTTAGCCCCATCTACTTGGGAGGCTGAGGTGACAGGATCCCTTGAGCCCACGAGTTCCAGGTTACAGTGAGCTATGATTGTGTCACTGCATTCCAGCCTGGGCAACAGAGTAAGACCTTGTCTCTAAAAAATAAAAATTAGAAAAACAAAAGGAATGGAATCCACAATGCCAATTTTTTTTTTTTTTTTTTGAGACGGAATCTTGCTCTGTCGCCCAGGCTGGAGCACAGTGGCGCGATCTCCGCTCACTGCAAGCTCCGCCTCCCAGGTTCACACCATTCTTCTGCCTCAGCCTCCTGAGTAGCTGGGACTACAGGCACCTGCCACCACGCCCGGCTAATTTTTTGTATATTTAGTAGAGATGGGGTTTCACCGTGTTAGCCAGGATGGTCTTAAACTCCTGACCTCGTGATCTGCCCACCTCGGCCTCCCAAAGTGCTGGGATTACAGGCGTGAGCCACCACACCTGGCCCACAGTGCTAAATATTTCTACACCCATTTAAACGCATAGAAGAGTGCTTGGCCTATAGCAAACATTCCTAAATACTAGCTGGCATTCCCTGCAGAACAATTCCCCCAGTTGTGTTTTCCTTTAGAAGGCTTTTTGATGTTTCATACTCCAATGTTTCATAAAATGCACATTTCTCTCAATCCAACATTTTTGGCTACTGATTGCATAAAATCAATTTAGTTTATGTCCCCTCAACTCAATACAACATTTTAAGCAAAACCTATATGGATAATGACTTGAGTTCACTCGACACAAGGTTGTTAGAACCATATGAACTGGGTCAAGGAAGTAAAGTTTTAGGCATTTTACATCCTAACAAGTTACTTTGTTTCTTATACATTTGTATGTAGGCATTTCACTGTGTTTTAGAGTTTTGAGTTAATCTGTAATGCATCTGAATTTTTCCTATTTTACATAATTCGGAAATAGGTTTCCAAATTGCATTTTGTTACTGAACACTTGATTTTCAGGAACAGAGTGCTTATGTTAAGTGCCTGACAATGCCTGGTATTATTAAATACATATGTAAATATATAGAAAAAGGCCAGGAAAGATACATACCTAACCAATTAATAGTGGTTACCTCTGGAGGGTGAGGGAAGGATGAGAAGGGGTAGTAAGTAAGGAGGACTTTTGCTTTATGTGTATTGTTTGAATATATTACAATGAGACTGTATTTGTATATTACTCATATAATTAAAAATAAACAAAAAGAATGGGAAAAAATAAAACTCAGAAAAGTCACAAAGCTATTTCTTGAAAAAATGAAAATAAACAAAAGGTGGGAAAAGGGGCCAAGAGAAGAGGAATAGAGACAGAATCTTTTTTTTTTTTTTTTTAAAGATAGAGTCTCACGCTGTTACGCAGGCTGGAGTGCAGTGGCGCGATCATAGCTCACTGTAACCTCAAACTCTTGGGCTTGAGTAATCTTCCTGCCTCAGCCTCCTGAGTAGCTGGGACTTCAGGCACACACCACCACACTTAGTTAATTTTAAAATTTTTTGTAGAAATGGTGTCTCCCTATGTTGCCCAGTCTGGTCTCAAACTCCTGGCCTCCCAGTACTCTTGCCTTGGCCTCCCAAACTGCTGAAATTACAGGCATGAGCCACCACGCAGCCTCCAAGTCATTTTGACTTGGGGTTTTTGGCGGGAGACAAATAGATAAAAAAGCTTACCAGGAGGTCCTACCATGTATTATATAATGTGCTTTCCTCTTCTTTACCTTTTTTGAGAGACTTTGGGAAAAGCTGACTTTACTCTTGAAAGACTTTTCTGGAGGTGAATTTGTATGTGTGGTGATGGCGGGTGGTTGGATGTTATCCTGAATTGGCCCCAGGGTGACAAGCTTTGTTTGAGTTACATGCGCTGGGACTCTCCCAACACTGCCTTCCTTGGTGTGGTGGCTTCCTTCTCTGCAGAGACTCAACACACAGCAGAACAGATGGCCAAAGGCAGCCCCAGTACATGGTAGAACTTCCTGGTAAGCTTTATCTATTTGGGGAAGTCAACAGCAGAGACTCTGTCCCTCAGGATCCATAGGCAAATCTCAGGGAAAACTCTAGCTGGCCTGCTTGGAGCACATGTCCAGACCTGAGTCTGCCGCCGTGGTCAGGAAATTGGATATCATGATACCAGTGCCCAGCACGCTGGAAGACCCACCCCAGTTAAAGCTATGATAGTTACTTTTATACTAATCTCCTGGGGAGGAGGTACCTTTGAAGGAATTAGTTTGGTGTGGTAGGAAAAGACCTGGATTTGGAGTCAGCTATCTGCATGCTATGTGAGCTCAATAAGTCAATTACAGGGTGCCTAACATTTATTGTATGTCTATGCTGAGACTGGTCCTTCATACATTGTTTTATTTCATCTTTACCACAACCTTGTGAGACAGGTGCTATTATTATCCATATTTTAGAGATGAGGAAACCATGGTTTGGAGAGAAGTTAAGTAGTTTGTCAAAATCAGTGTCCAGGTTTGTTTCCAAAGTTCACGTTCTTGCGAGGATGACATTTTGCTATCAACTGAATCACTCTGACTCTCAGTATCCTCATCTGTAACATGGGGAAAATAAGAATCCCTCCGGCACACGATATGGATGGTCAGATGGGCAACATGTTCAAAAGTGCTTTGTCAATATTAAAATGCCATACAAATAAAAATTATTATATTTCTCTACTGCTTAAAATGTAGGCTTAGGGATGCTGCTGACACTGAAAAGTGCTTGGTTGCTGGGGTGAAAGTTTGGAGATATAAGGAATGTCACAACGGAAAGGTCTGTAGAGTATATCCATTCTGCTCGCCGTCTGCCTGGCATCCCTTCCTTTGGGGAGTTGCCCTTCACCATTTCATTTCATACGGTCCTAGCGGGGCTGTCAGTCACAATGACTGACTGCCCCCACCACCCACTCACACACACGCAGGGGTGGGTCCATGAGCCTGCCCTGCAAATGGAGGCACCTCACCTCCTTGGTCAAGGGAATTGGTCCAGGATACGCATGTGGCCAAGGAGAATTGGCTGTTCTGAGATTTGCTCTGTGGATGAAGCCAGGAAGATGTGGGCCGGAGCCCAGCAGTGCTATTTCAGAACTTCTAGCCTTTGTGAGGATACAACAAACACAGAGAGAAGCAGAGCCGTGACAATGATATTTGAGCTCCTGGACTCAGCTATTCCTGGAGCTTGGCTCTTGGACTTCTCAGGCTTTTTTTTTTTTTTTTTTTTTTTTTTTTTTTTTGAGACACTGTCCTGCTCTGTTTCCCAGGCTGGAGTGCAGTGGCACGATCTCAACTCACTCCAACCTCTGCCTCCTGGGTTCAAGCAATTCTCCTACCTCAGCCTCCAGAGTAGCTGGGATTACAGGCATACACCACCAGACCTGGCTAATTTTTTGTATTTTTAGTAGAGATGGGGTTTTGCCATGTTGGCCTGGCTAGTCTTGAACTCCTGGCCTCAAGTGATCTGTCCACCTCGGCCTCCCAAGTGCTGAGATTACAGGTGTGAGCCACCGCGCCTGGCCTGATGTCTCAGTTTTATGGGCTAATACATTCCATTTGGGACTATAAATTGAGTTTCTGTCACTTGCAATTATCAAGAGTTCTCAGTAATATTTTGGGAGACTTTTCCAAAGTCACTTAGCAACCCAAAGGTGCACCGGGGGCAGGAACACAAAATTCAATACCCATGTTCCTTTCAGAATAAACTGCTCTGAGGCCGGGCACAGTGGCCCATGCCTGTAATCCCAGCACTTTGGAAGGGCGAGGTAGATGGATCACTTGAGGTCAGGAGTTTGAGACCAGCCTGGCCAACATGGTGAAACCCCCTCTCTACTAAAAAATACAAAAATTAGCCAGGAATGGTGGCATGCATCTGTAATTCCAGCTACTCAGGAGGCTGAGGCAGGAGAATTGCTTGATCCCAGGAGGCAGAGGTTGCAGTGAGCTGAGATCATGTCACTGCACACCAGCCTGGGCGACAGAGCAAGCCTCTGTCTCAAGGGGAAAAAAAAAAAAAGTATATATATATATATATATATATATATATATATATAGATTTATAAGTAAATAGTAATTTGATTTATAATGAAGAGGATTAATACTAGTTTTATTAACTTCATGATGCCCCCCACATGCCGGATGCTGTCAGCCAGGTGGGAACGAGAGTGGCACGTATAGGCCTCTTACCTTCCTCTCCGCTGTCCCCCCGGTCGCCGTCGTGTCCATCTTGGCCGTCTTTGCCAGGAAAGCCCATTCGTCCCATCATTCCTGAGGGCCCTGGGGCTCCTGGGGGGCCGGGTGGGCCCTGGGGGCCAGGCAGGCTGCAGACCAGTTGAGGGGAGCCTTTCCGGAAGTCCCTGCGAGCAAAGGCGCCAAGCAGTGGGTCAGCAGCACAGGGGAGGGCACAGGCCAGGAGCACCCAGGGGATCATGGTGGTTACCTGTGGGAGGCAAGAGAGCTGTGACAGGTGAGTGTGGCCACCAAGCTGACCTGGGGCTGGTCAGAGGGGATGCACAGGAGGAGGCAGCTGGGATACACTCAGTTGGATTTCTGTCTCTTGCTCTTTCCTGCATCACATACAAGTAGATGTGATGTGGACAGAGTCGTCATATCTTGAGGACATATTTGGGTGAGTGGAGTCATTACCCAGAATACACTTCGAAGGGGTCTCGGGGGTGAGGCATTCATCATCAGACCATCATCTTCCAGAGTGGCTGAAATGGATGCAGAACTTATGACCCAGAGACTGATGACTGGGAGGAGCTGTGAATGGAGAGAAATGATCCATGGTTTCATCCAAATCTGTGGCATGAATAGAAAGTTACAGTTCTACAAGGGTAATGTTTGAATTGTAGGTGACTTTGCAACTAGTCTGCTTCTCATGGGAGACTCAGGGTTGCACATGAGGAGGGCTGAGGATTCAGTTACTGAGTGGAGGTCAACCATCACCTGAGTGACCCTGGCAGGCCGTGGTAGCAGCTCCTCCCCCAAGCGCTTCCTGTGCGCCAGGCATGTGCTAAGAGCTTTCCATTCATTACTTGATCTTCACAATACCCTTATAGAATAGATACAGGAGAAGAAGCGGAGGCTCAGAGAAGTTGAGCAATGTGTCTACATCACGCTTTTCCAACCCGGGGCCTGTGGGCCGCATGCACCCCAGGATGGCTTTGAATGCAGCCCAACACAAGTTTTGTAAACTTTCTTAAAACATCATGAGATATTTCTTGCGATTTTTTTTTAAGCTCATCACCTATCGTTAGTGTATTTTATGTGTGGCCCAAGACAATTCTTCTTCCAATGTGGCACAGGGAAGCCAAAAGATTGGACACTCCTGGTCTACATCATGCGATGAGTAGATGGCAGGGCTAAGGTTTGAACCAGGCTGTCCAGATCCAGAGCCTGTGCCCTCCTGTCCCAGGCTAGACCGTGTCCTTAAGGCTGATGGCAGCAATAGCACGATCCCACTGGAGATCAGTGTGCTATGCACCTGGAGGTATCTACTCCCTGCCCTCACTATGCATACGCAGAAACTGAGACCCAGAGCAGAAATAAGCAACTTGCCCAAGATCTCTCAACAAATCAGTTCCTTTGCTTTGTAATTAACAGCCTCTCTCTCAAGAATGAAACCAGGAGGGGGAACATCCCAGGCATGACTTCCTGCCATGGCGATTAACTATAAAATGGCAACTTGCTTTGTGACCTTAGGCAAACCCTTTTCCCTCTCTGGGCCTCAGTTTCCTCACCTGAACAACAGGGGCTGGGCTAGAGCAGTGGTTCCTAAACTTCAGTGCGCATCACACTCACCTCGAGGGCTTGTTAGCACACAGGTTGTTGGGCCTTATCCCCAAAGTTTCTGATTCATTAGTTCTGGGGTGAAGCTGGACCATTTGCATTTCTAATAAGTTTCCAAGGGATGCTGCTGATGGTGGTCCAGAGACCTTGTTTTGGGAACCACTAGAGTAGATGGTCTCTAGGGTCTCTTCTAGCTCCAATGCTGAGCCTTTCAGACTTCAATCTGTTCTCTTTCCAGATACAAAGCACTGTGGGCTTTGTAGTCCTCACTCAGCCTGTGGCTATCCAATCAGAGCGTTTAAGTATTAGGGGGATCCTCGGCAGCTGTGGTCCTGGTTGCACAGCAGGGGCATTACTCAGGCATTGACCTTTGGAACTCATTTTTCCTTCTGGGCTTTCAATCCCCTTTCCCTTCAGACTCTGCTTGGCCCCTGGCTCTTGGAGCCTGTCCAGGCTTTTCGGCTGCCTCTGGCTGTTCCCCTCAGAAACAGGCTGACCATACCTCTCCTCCTGCCCCCTCCAGGATCTTTAACCCTGGAAACAGATGCTGAGGGGAAGGCCTAGACTTGCAGAGAAAGGAAAATGTTCATTGCCCACATCCCAGCAGTGTGACAATCACAGGGCCCAAAATGGTTACTCCCAAAGAGCCTGCAAAAGGCCCCCATGGAAAAGACAGCTTTAAATGTCTGCCAGGCACAGAGACACAGAGCAGTCTAGGCCCGCCCCAGTCGTGAAACATCTAGAAATCCTCCTCCTGTCCCTGTACCTCCCCTCCCTTCAACTTGGAAACAGGTGAGCTGACAAGGGGAGCAGATGGCCTTGCCCGTTTCACACCTTCACTGGGGGAGCAGGAAGAAATCTCACCTTCGAATGGAAATTGAGGTGTGGGTTGCCTGGGAGTGGAGACTTCAACCAGGGGGAGGAGGAGCTCCCCTCACTGACTAAATTATAAGTAGGGAGGGGTAGGCAAAAATAAGGATGCAGTTTGATTGTATTTCTGATGTCACACTTGCTCAACCTAGGTTGGATAAATAATAGTAGAGATGGTAGGCAGGTACGGCAAACATCATGGAAATGTTACATGAATGACAGGTGCTTTTGGAAAACTATGGCCTAGACACTCCCCAGGCCCTGTGAATCACCATTTCTTTCCCTGTCTACGTTAGGAGAGTCTTGGAAAACTGGTTGGCCTTATTTGTGAGCTGCAGCACATCTGGGACCCCCAGAATAGAAACTGAATTTTTAAAGCAGGTTCGAAATGATTTGGAAAGTTGCAGTCTACAACCATTTTGCAGTAGGGAGAGAAGGAGGGAGTAAGTGGAAGCGAGTCTTCGAGGCAGATGAGAATCCTGCAAACAGCTAGCTGAAGACAGGCAGAAAAGAGAGCCAGCCGGACGAGAGAGAGGGAGAGAGACTGGCAGAAAAGAGAGCCAGCCGGACGAGAGAGAGGGAGAGAGACTGGCAGAAAAGAGAGCCAGCCGGACGAGAGAGAGGGAGAGAGACAGGCAGAAAAGAGAGCCAGCCGGACGAGAGAGAGGGAGAGAAAGGGAACCATCTGTCACAGCTGACAACTCCCCTCTCTCTTCTGACCTCCATGCCCAGCCACACAGGCTCCACAAGAGGAAGGCGGATTTGCTCTCTTGCCCACAATGGCCTTGCACCAGCTTCTCTGGACAAAGAGGGAATGCCTGTCTGCGAAAGCTGGTTTGGGGCAGGCCCCAGTGCCTGGGTGGAAGGGTGTGTGTCTGAGACACACAGGGAGGAAGCGTTTTCTGAACTGGAGCCTGAAGCTCCTGGAGTCCCAGAGGAGTCTTGGGAGCTAGAGCCAGGAACTGTTTTGGAAATAAAGGCGGGGAGACTAGATTCTAGTTCCAAACCTAGAGGAAGGGAGGGAGAGGAGAGTCTCCTTGCCTCCACAACACCTCCAAGAAAAACAAGGCTACAAATAGCCCTGCTCCCAGCTTGTGCCCTGCCCCACCCTCACCCCACTCTCTACACAAGGGTGTCGAGAAAGCCTGGGGGGCAGGGTGCTTAGAGGGGCACTAAAGCCCCAAGGAATCCAGGCAGATTAACTCTTCCAGGGCCTTTCTTTAATTTTTTTTTTTCTTTTTAGGGATGGGGGTCTTGCTCTGTTGCCCAGGCTGGAGTGCGTGGTGCAAGAGCTTACTACAGCCTTGAACTCTTGGGCTCAAGTGATCCTCCTGCCTCAGCCTTCTGTCCCAAGTAGGTGGACCTACAGGAGTGTGCCACCACTCTCAGCTAGCACCTTTTAAATACATTTAGAATCAAGAACTTGGGGAGGGCCTCAAGGAACCATCTAATCCAACCTCTTCAGTTACAGATGGGGAAACCAAGGCAGAAGCAAACTGACCTTATTACGCACCTACAATGTTCCAGGCACTGTGTGAAGCCCTGTATCTACATTGCTTTTTTTATCTCACTTTGTCGCCCAGGCTGGAGTGCAGTGGCGTGATCTCGGCTCACTGCAACCTCCACCTCTCGGACTCAAGTGTTTCTCCCTCCTCAGCCTCCCGAGAAGCTGGGACTATAGGAGCGTGCCACCATGCCCAGCTAATTTTTGTATTTTTTGTAGAGATGGGGTCTTGCCATGTCATCCGCTGGTCTCAAACTCCAGTCCAGCGATCTACCCGTTTCAGCCTCCCAAAGTGCTGAGATTACAGGCGTGAGCCACCGCATCCAGCCTGCTGCATTGTTTTATACAAAGCTTACTAGAGCCCTATGAAGCTTACCTGAGCCCTTATTGTCCCATTTTTTTTTTCAGAGGAAAAAACAGATACTCCAAGAAGTGAAGTTATTTACCCAGAGTCACACAATCAGGGATTAATGGAGATGGCATCCAAACCCATGTCTGTGTGCCTCTGAAAACTATGCTTAATCCATGCCACCTTGCTTCCTGCCCCTGCTATTTTCCCCCCATTTTATAAAAGACATTGAAACTTGGAGAGGCTAATTTACTTATGTTTACACAAGTAGTTAGTGGCAGAAGTTATATTTGAACTTGGGTTTGGCTGATCCTAGTACCCAAATGCTTTCCATTATGTCAGCATTTCTTATATTTTTCCCCCTAAATATTCCACATTACAGAAAAGACCTTGAAGCATATGCCAAAACCACACACAGCCATAGAGAAATCTCTCTGATGCCCTGTATTTTATTTTACAATTTTTACACACACAGTACATGACTTTGAAAACGTACAAGTGATGCTTTTTCTCTCTCTTGGGGTGCTGGAGTAAATCAATGCTTGAGCAAAACCTCCTGTCCTTTGAGAGGCCCACACTTGGATTAGACAAGGTGATGAGAGGCGTGGAGGGGACAGCCTCCTGGGCCCTGGGTCCCCACCATAAGCCCCTCTGGTGTGTTAATGGGGGAGTTTCCAAGGCCTGAACCAAAAGATCAGGGTGTCACTCCCCAAGACCCTCCAATAGGTGCTGGCTTAAAATAGCAAACATCAGAACCCAGGCCATGGCTTACAATGCCCCAGTTGAGCTGGCTCTAGCCCCTGCCCCAGCCTCAGCTCCTCCCTGGCTCCCTCGGCTCCTCTGGCCCAGCACCCACCCCCCCTACCTTTTCTAGGCCAAGCTCCATTCAGCCCCAAGGCACCAGCCACTCCACCAGTAACCTCACGGCTCCACCCTCTTGGTTTGCTGGCTCTTTATCTGCTGTATTTCAGTTTAAATGTCACTTCCTCCAGGCATTCCCTGATGTGCCCTCTCAGCCAGCGCCCGCTTTCTGCAAGCTCCCTTTTCCCAGCTCTTTGTTTCTTTTCCAGCACTTGAAACCACTCACCCATATTCACTTTACTTGGTTGCCTCCCCCATGTGTCTCCACTAAAATGTAAGCTCCATGAGTACAGGACCCCAGCTGGCCACCTGGCTTCAAACTTCCTCACACACAGTGAATGTTCAAGAAATATTTGCTTAATTAGTAAGTGTTGGAGACGCAGACTCTGCCCTCAAGAAAATCCACAGCGAAGAGAAAACCAGACAGTGGCTGAAATCCAGAAGAGAGAGCACTGACACCCCTTGATACAAATCTGTTCTTTTTTCCTCTGCTTTTCTAACCCGAATCAGATCAAATCCCTCCTTGCTTTTGACCCCTTACAGTATAGGGGCTAGGTTGTTCCCTCTCTGGCCCCTAGGGTGGGGCCAGCCTTGCAGAATGCCTTAGATAGAGTAGGTGCTCCATAGAGAGCTGTCCAATTAACCAGAAGAGAGGTAAGTATTAGTCCTTTCTCACCTGTAAAAAAACAATCTGAGTTCCTAAATTGTCCTTTCTGGGGGTGGGAAGGTGTTAGTTTAATATGGAAGCCTTCATTAGAGCCTTCCTACTAAAGGGATAAAAAATATTAGTTGGTTAAACCCCAGAAATGGAATTGTGGGTTGATAAACTTGGATGAGTTCTTTTTTTTTTTTTTTTTGAGATGGAGTCTCGCTCTGCTGCCAGGCTGGAGTGCAGTGGCGCAATCTCAGCTCACTGCAACCTCCATCTGCTGGGTTCAAGCAATTCTCCTGCCTCAGCCCCCTGAGTAGCTGGGACTACAGGTGCGCACCACCATGCCCGGCTAATTTTTTGTATTTTTAGTAGAGACGGGGTTTCATCATGCTGGCCAGGCTGGTCTCGAACTCCTGACCTCGTTATCCACCTGCCTCGCCTCAAAGTGCTGGGATTACAGGTGTGAGCCACTGTAGCTGGCTGAACTTGGATGAGTTCTTAAGTCTGGCTTTCAGCTGCCCAGTCCCTGGGCTTCTCATCTCTCTGTTAAGTAGCTAATGATTCATCAATACACATGTTCTAGAAAAGCGCTAGGAGCTAAAGTGCCACAGGCTGGGTCTACTGTCAGGGAAGTCTTCCTCCTGGCCCACAGGACATGGCCCTCTGGTTTATTCCCAAGGGCCCTCTGCCCAGACTGTGATGTGAGAGGTGCCAAAAGTGGGGACGTGGGCCTCTCATTGATCCTTCCTGAATGTGTCTGCTAGTAGTAGAAGCTCCAGGAATACTTGTCTTGAGCAAGCCTACTAGGCCTGGGTGCTGAACAGTCTCCCGTTGCAGATTGGAAGATGTAAATTATGCTCAAATAAATCTGGCCTGTTGGTTATCAGGTTTTGACACACTGACAGATAGGAGTGGCATTTAACTCCGTGGTTAAGAGCCATGGAACACCCAGCACTTGATTCCCTCAACTATGCAATGAAAATAATAGTATACCTACCTCAGGGAGTTTGTGTGAGAAATGAGTGAAGGAATGCATTCAAAGATTCTATTTAGCCCAGTGTTTGACACTGTAAACGCTCCACGGTTGGAAAGAACTGTGCCTAAAATGCCCCCAGTCCTTAACCTCCTCTGGGAAGCCCTCAGGTAGCTGCCAGCCTCATCCTTCAAGTCTCAGGTCTCATATCATCTCCTCAGAGAGACCTGCCCTGATCACGTGATCCAAAGCATTGCACCCATCCTGCATATGCTCTTATCCCATCCTGTTCTTTCAAGGCACCTGGCCCAATTTGTGATTATGTATTTGTTTGTTTCTTGACTTGTTAACTCTCTGGCTCTTTCCCTGGAATGGAAGGTCCAGGAACGTATGGGCCCTGCATGTTGCTCTCAGCTGGGCTGCTGGAGCCTAGCGCAGCACTGCATAGAGTAAGTGCTCAACACGCAGCTGTTGAATAACCTTGAATGAACTGGCCGCCCTTACGGAGACTGGAATAATCCAGGGTGGTCATAGGAGAAAAATCCCAGGCAGCAATTTGACATGATTAGAGGCTATATAGACCGATAAGACCCTGAAAAACAGGGTGTGGACCAAGCTGGCTAAGACCCACTGGACCCAACATGTTGATGGATTTGATCTAGGTTTCACCTAGGACCTCTTTATACGCTGATTCATGTACTCAATCACACACCCACCAGTGCCACGACAGCTCCGAGAACACCCATATTTGGTGTAGAAATGAGTGGCACCACAGTTCCGGGAAATCTCCACCTTTTTCCAGGAATTTTCATGAATATTCCACCTCTTGGTTAAAGAAACCCATAAAGATAGAAACCCCAAACACTTCTGCCCAACTCTCTCTTGAGAATGCCCACAGCCCCCTCTCCTGAGTGTGTACTGTTTTCCCTTGCAAAAAATCACCATACTTTCACAATTTTCTGACTCATCCTTGAATTCCTTCTTGAGATGGTGTCAAGCGCCTGGACACTGGCTGGGGTCGAGGTCCCACTGGCGTTTGAGGACCTCCCCAGCCCACCGGTATTATTATAATTTATAAAACAAGGGGATCTCAAGGGTCTCAATAAACGTGCGGATGACAAAGCCTCACTTGGCTACTGAGGAAAACCCAGTGCAATGACTGGGCTTGGATTCTGAAGACTGGGGTCCCAGTCCTAGTTTTGTAACTTACTGATCGCGTGACTGTGAAAGTCAGTTCATCTTATCTGGGCCTTCATTTCCTCACCTGTAAAATGGAGATATTAACATTTGCCCAGTCTGCCTTACAGGGTTATTCAGAGAATCAAATAAGATAGTGGATTTGAAAACAAAACGTGATACAAAATTAGAGTCGTATTTAAAATTGTAATTGTTACTAGTTGCAATTGAACTAAGGGATCACAGTCCTGAACTCCCACTGGGAGCCCCAGGAGTGTTTCAGGGGAGGCCTCATCCTTGGTGGAGGAGGACACCCAAATCTCACCCAGCAGGGCAATTCTCCCTGTGTTTGGTGTTAAAAGGGACAAGGTTTGCTTGCAGATGAAGCTTGCTGAAAATCCACTTTGATGGGAGAATAGAATACTATAATAAAAAACACTCCACGCCCTCCCTGAATTCCAGGAAGTAAATTGGAAACAGTCCTCTCCAGCTTCTCTGAAAAGCTAAAGAGATCCTTTGGAGGAAAAAGCGGCTGGCTGCCGCTCCTCACAGTACTCACGAAATGTCCCCTCTCTCCAGATCTCAAGATCAGTGTCCTTTTGGAAACTGTCCAGAATCCAGAGTCTAAATACAGAGGCTTAAAAGTCCTGGGGCCCACTTGACAGGATGCCTCAGAAAATATTTGATCTGCTATTTTCTCTCTCCTCATTTCTGGTTCAGCCTAGAAAATGAGATCCAAGGACACATCATGATCTAACAAGGTCTCAGAAGCCAGGGGTTTGTCTCAGCAAGAATTCCTGAAAGCACACAGGAAATCAGCCTGTATGTTAAAGCTGAAGAATTATACCTTCTAATATATACAAGCCCAGCCTTTACAAAATGACAAATGTGGTGTATAACGTGGTGGGCAGTGGAGCCCACCCCCTGGGCCCTGGCCTGCTGCACGTCTGAGCCTCAGCTGCCTCCTCTGCACAATAAGGGCAAGAGTCAGGCTCTGGAGCGGCTGAAGACAAAGCCATCAAGCTTTGGCATTGTCTGCAGCTGTTTTCTGCCACGTGGAGACCAAGGACTGCCATGGGAGAGAAGAATGCAGCAGCTGTGCGAGATGTGAGGGGTAGAGAAGGCGGCTGAGGGTGTTCATATCCCCATATCGCATCCTCAGGGCCAGTCTCCACGTGCCTGACCACAGCGGTGGGGGAGTGGGTGTGAGCAGCTCAGCCCAATAGGAAAATGACGCAAGTCACATGTGTCAGTTTGTCTTGTAGTCACATTAAAAAAGTAAAAAAGAAACAGGTGAAATTAATTTCAATGCTATTTAGCCCTTGATTTCCCAAATATCATCATTTCAACATGTAATCACCATAAAAATTATTAATGAGACATTTTACATTCTTAAGTTAGTACTAAGTCTTTGAAGCCCAGTGATGTATTTCACACTTGCAGCGGATCTCAATTCAGACTGGAGCATTCCAAGTCTCCAATAGCCGCATGGTGGCTTCCATAATAGCTCCAGCATAGCTGTGTGAGTTCAGATGCCATGAACTAGCTGTAGTACCTTTACACGTTACTTAATCTCTCCCCTTCAGTCTCCTCCTCTCCAACATGAACACGATAATAATAGAACCTACCTTAGACAGTTGTTACGAGGATTTAATGTTTCTAGAATAAGGCCTGGCATATGGCAAGAGGTATAAAAGCATTAGCTTCTATTATTTTATTATTTCTTGCCCTTCCGAAAATCAAACAAGATAATGGATGTTGAATGTAATGATACGAGTTTTAAGACCTTGTTTAAAATTGTAATTGCCACTAACTGCAGTTGAACTAACAAAAACCAGTCCTGATCTGCCACCCTGAGTCCTGCATGCATTTCAGGTAGAGACTCCTGTAGCTTCTCATAAATTCCCATTTTCACTTATCACTTTGAGTGATGGCTCTGTCAGGTGCTACCAAAAAAAAGTCCTAGGGAGGCTGGGCCTTTTTTCCTGCCTTGCTGTTTCTGCTCTGAGGGAAGGATGGGGTGTTGCCTTGGCTCCACAACTTTGAGCCACCTGGCGTGTCTGTGCTCCATAATACAAAGACCAGGGAAGAAGCGGGATGGTGCTCATCTCATCAAGCGACAGGGCCAAATGGGATATGAGGTGTGCATGTGTGCATGATACTGTAGCCTGGCACATGGATACCCAATAAATAGTATGGTTTATTATTACTGCCTTTGAGGCCAGACACTGGGGAATTAGAGGTGAAAAGATGTAGTTGCTGCTCCTGTAGGGCCCACTCTGATCCCTAGAACTACCTGGGCAGGTTATAACTGTCTGCTTACCTGAGCATCCAGCTGGCACACCTGTGTAACCGGGAAAGAAAAGCCTCACTCTCCTTTTCCTTTGTAATAGGCACCTAACAGCATCTAGACATAACAGCATTCAAGACCAGGCAGGCGGCAGGGGAAGGAAATTTTGGGATTAGGCAACAATCCCTGGGAATGACATAAAAGGGACTACACTTGAAGATCTAAGAACTGAGGGAGAGAAACAGAATCTGAACTTTGAAGGGGACAGGGAGAAAAGGCTAAGTTTTCCTTGACTTTTCTGGGTGAACCCAAGAACTTCCATGGAGTCATTTCTGGTCAGGCCTTGATGGGCGTTCGGAGTAACCCTAAACTTCTGATACAGGGCCGGGCACAATGTCTCACATCTATAATCCTAGCACTTTGGGAGGCTGAGGTGGGGGGATCACCTGAAGACAGGAGTTCGAGACCAGTCTGGCCAACAAAGTGAGACCCTCTGGGCAACAAAGTGAGACCTCCCCCCACCTCACCCCGCCATCTCTACAAAGAAAAAAAAATCAGATACAGGTCTACCCCTAGAGAAGCACGAGCTGGTCTGGTGGTTAAGTTGTTTTCCAGCTGTTTGACCTTGGGCCAAGTTATTTAATCTCTCTAGGCCTCAGTTTCTTTGTCTGTAAAATGAGAAAAATAATACTGTATGGTCTTATTTGAATTTGAATATTCATTGTTTCACTTGATGTGTGAAATCTGAAATAACCCCAATTTTCCCAAGTTAAAAGTTGTCAAAAATCTTGTAAGGCAGTGTGAATTGTAAATTGTAAACTGTATTTATGCTATAGCCACATAACAGCACTGTCCTAACAGGTAATCAGAAATATCTACCATTCTTCAGCAGGTGAGCTTTTTTAAAAAATTTTTTAATTTCCATAGATTATTGGGGAACAGGTGGTGTTTGGTTACATGAGTGAGTTCTTTAGTGGTGATTTGTGAGATTTTGGTGCACCCATCACCCGAGCGGTACACACTGTGCCCTATTTGTAGTCTTTCATCCATTGCTCCCTTTCACCCTTTCCCCTTGAGTCCCCAAAGTCCATTGTGTCATTCTTATGCCTTTGCATCCTCATAGCTTAGCTCTCACTTATGAGTGAGAACATACAATGTTTGGTTTTCCATTCGGCCCGTGAGCTTTTAATGATACCAGTTTTGAATTATTTGAGGTCTTTAGGAATGCCTCCCTTGAGTAATTTGACTGCTCACACCTCCCTTACAGAGTAATTGTGAATATTTAATGAGATAATGCAGCAACCAGCCCACAGTAAGCACTCAGTAACAGTAGTGATTTTTGATACAATAATCATTCCTGAGAACAAAGAGAAAGATGATGTCATGGGAGAAGGTTGCCACACTCATGAGAATAAACAAGCAGACCTGGGTAAACCTGGATAGACCTGGGTCTGCTGTTTCCCCATCTGTAAAGTGGCCGTAACAGTGACCCCGTGAGGAGCTGAACATTTGCAAACTTTGGCATCAATGGCAATGAAAGCAGTTATAATGGCTGATGCAATTGTATAGCTGGGCATAAATGCAAAGAGGTACAGGATTTCTACAGGTGTGCCCTACTTTACACAAGATTGTAAAATTCAAATTTAGTCATTCAGTGATTAGCTTTTAACTTTTTGTTAATATTACAATGTGCAGGCTGAGTGCGGCGGCTCACACCTATAATCCCAGCACTTTTGGAGGCCAAAGCAGGTGGAGTGCCTGAGCCTAGGAGTTCGAGACCAGCCTGGACAATATGGCAAAACCTCATCTCTACAAAAACTACAAAAATTAGCCGGGCGTGGTGGTGCATGCCTGTAGTCCCAATTACTTGGGGGGCTGAGTGGGGAGAATTGCTTGAGTCCAGGAGGCAGAGGCTGCAGTGAACAGAGATTGTGCCGCTGCACTTCAATCTGGGCAACAGAGCAAGACATTGTCAAAAAAAAAAAAAAAAAAGAAAAAGAATAAACAACGTGCAGAGACTGGCTGAGGAGGATTAAAAAGCTATGGAACATGCCCCTGCCACTGAGGAAATTATAGCCTAGACAAGCAGGGATCAGTTGGCTTATCAGTGGCCTCACACAGATCACAGACTACTCTGTACTTTTTGTTTTGGGTTTTTAATTTGAAATTGTTGCCAATGTAAAACTTGGGAGATTTTCTGTTAACATCGACGTTTGCAGCTTTTCTTGGGCAGCAGAAGGATCTGGGCAGCACTGAGCCTGCATTTGGGCAGGTCAACAGGTAGCTGCCCCTTGAGACAAGGTATTACAGGCTGACTTGTGTCTCCCCAGAATTCACACATTGAAGTCCTAACTCTTAGATTATCAGAATGGGACTGTATTTAGAGATAGGACCTTAAAAACGGTAACCAAGGTAATATGAGTCATATGGGTAGGCCCTAATCCAGTATGAGTGGTGTCGTTACATTAAGAGGAGATCAGGACACAGACACATACAGAGTGACAACCATGTGAAGACACAGCAGATGATGGCCACCTGCAAGCCACAGAGAGAGGACTCAGAAGAAACCAACACTGCAGATACCTTGATGATGGGCTTCCAGCCTCTAGGGATCGTGAGAAATAAATGTCTATTGTTGCAGCTCCCCAGTCTGTGGTGTTGTCACGGTGCCCCACGCTGACTAGGACAGAGAGCCTGTGTTCTACAGTGTCCACAGTCCTCACCACTCCCAAATGTCATGCATCCCATTCCTATATACATTGTGCACAGTCTCTGTCAGTATCTGGGTTTGCAACCCCTAATCTAGAGGAAAAGAGTAATGATTCTCCATGTATGTTGTGTGTTCTTATTTCAAAGTTTTGATGTTCATATCTCCTTTAAATCTCCCCACACTTCTAAGAGGCTGATACTGTCATCTCCACTTGGCAGAAGAGAAAACAGAGCTCAGAAAAGGGAAAAATTACTTTTCCTAGGTCAATGTTTGGGTGGAACTCAGGCCTGCTGGCTCAGGGCCCAGAGCTCATGTTCCTCCACCATGGCCCCTCAGCTAACAGGGGAGTTACTAACAGGGCAGTGATGTGTATGCGCATGTGTATGTGTGTTATAGGAGTAAGCCACTTAACAGAAGTGAACAAATCCAGGGGAAGGTTATTTGCTTGAAAAAATATTTGGCACATAATTCCTTTCAAAAGAAAAGCTAGAATGGGCTGGGCGCGGTGGCTCATGCCTGTAATCCCAGCGCTTTGGGAGGCCGAGGCGGGCGGATCACAAGATCAGGAGTTTGAGACCAGCCCGGCCAATATGGTGAAACCCCGTCTCTACTAAAAATACAAAAATTAGCTGGGTGAGGTGGTGTGCGCCTGTAGTCCCAGCTACTGGGGAGGCTGAGGCAGAAGAATTGCTTGAACCCAGGAGGCGGAGATTGCAGTGAGCCGAGATTGTGCCACTGTACTCCAGCCTGGGCAACAGAGCGAGACTCCTTCTCAAAAAAAAAGAAAAAAGAAAAAAAAGAGAAGCTAAAATGGAATATAACTAACAGAAGTTTGATTTATGCAAGAGTTCATCTCACAGAGGTAAATTAAGGTTGGCAGGCCTTTGACCAGGAAGAAGGAGTGGGTGAAGCTGTGGGTGTGGAGAGAGACTCTGTTACCCCACAGTGAACATTTAGGAGTAGGAAGCATCAGTGATTGAGACAGCAGGAGAGACTGTCTGATCAGCAGGGTCAGCATAAGAGAAGGAATAGCGAGACAGGGGGGAGGAATAGGGAGATTTGCAGAGGAAAAAAGTGACACCTTGGAGAACTTGCTGAACATTCAATGGAGACAGAGTGGCTTCAAACGTGACTCCAGCCTTGTGAAAAATAATCTCAGTTCATCCATACAATGACACACTATGCCCATTAGAAGAACAAAGTAAGCCTGTATATGCAGATATGAAAACATGGCGAAGACACACTGTTAAGTGAAAAAAGCAAGTTGTACCATGGAATGTAAAGTATGCTTCTCTTTGAGTTTAAAAAAAAAAAAAACAGCACAAATACAGAGTATATATATGTACAGAAGGGTTGGGGAAATACTTTCCGAAAAGACACAATCTTGTTAAGGGGTTACCTTTCAGAATTGGGAGGGGGTGTGTGGGCTTTTACTTTTCTCTTTCTACCTTTTTGAACTGTTCGAATTTCTTGTGATGAGCGTCGTTACTTTTATAACATTTAAAACAAAAGGTAAACCTAAGGTTTAAGGATTGGAAGACTGGTAAGTGTGGTATCCCTGCTAGGAGATGGGGAGAAGTCAGACATTTGGGAGGAAACAAATTCTGCAGTGAATCTGATGTGTTACAATGAAGGGCTGTAGTGATGCTTGGAAATGTGTGGAGAGTTTGAGGATCGGGCAGTTGAAAGCAGGAGTAATTGATATAATTACTCCAGATGACAGAATAAATTAGAGAATGGTGCAGAGGGAGGGCAAAAATAAGGATGTGAGAGGACAGATTTTTAACAGTGCTAACTGAGCACCAGCCTTGGATTGACCTATGTAAGACATTGTCTTTCTATTACTGCTACTTCAGCATGGTGGAAACACAGGGTCTCTGAGAGATGGCCAGTCTAAGGAAGGGACCTCTGCAGGCTTCCAAGCAGGGCAATTTTGTGGTCAAGGAGCAGAGGAGGATCACAATGAGGTAATGCAAGGGACTCATGGTGTCAGAGGAGAGACCTGGGCTGGGAGACTATTAGGGCCCACTGCAATTATTTAGCTGAAAAGCGAGGTCCTAGAATGGGGCAGCAGCAGTGGGGATGGAGAAATAAGGACAAAGCATATTAAGACAAGTAGTTTAGGTGGGGAAGGAGAGTGAAGAGAGTCATGAGGCATTGAGTACAAATCTCTGCCTGCCGTTCAATACCTTTTGAGCTCAGTTTGCCAGTCTGTATCATATATTTAAATAAATGTGAAGGTTAAGTGAAATAATGCATTCAGTAAATGTTAACTGTGATTGTTAGCTCGGGTATTGGACTCAGATTTACCAGACTTCAAGTCCCTTTTTTATCAATTACTAGCTGTGCAACCCTGTCCAAGTCATTAATGTCTCTGAGCCCAGTTCCTCTTTTGTAGACGGGGATAATCTGTTGTCATGAAAATGAAAGAGCACAAGTAAAGTGCTAGCAGGACTTGGCACAAAGTAGGCGCTCAATAAATGGCAGAGCTACGGGTGTTACTATTGTAACGGGTAAACCACTGGGCACAGAGCCTGGCACACAGTAAGGACTCAAAACATGTTAATTTGTATTATAATACGAAGGTAGAAGTCGAGAGGCAGGAATGCAGGAGCTGCCCAGCCCGCAATAAAGGCGCGCTGGCAGCTCTCCCACCTTCCGCATCCCGCCCCGCCCGCAGCAGTGCGAGTCCTCCTCCTCCTCCTCCCCGCGCGCACTTGCCGCCCCCGCCCGACCGCGGTGCGGGACACTCACCCTCGCGGCTGCCCGCCACGTCCAGGGGCGTCCGGAGCAAAGAAGCTCTCGGCGGGGCTCCGCGTCCCGGCTTTCCTCAGCGGCAGCAGCCGGGCAGAGCGTCGGCCCCAGGCATAGTTTTCCCATCCCGTCATGGGCGGGAGAGCCTTCCTCCCGGTCACGTGGGCTGGCCCGCAGCGCAGCATTCTCTTTTTAGCAGCTGTTTGGAAAAAACTTGCAGTGCTGATGACAACTCGGGTGTGTCGATGCATCTCTGCGTTTGTAGAGCTTGTTAGCGTATTTGGAGGTTTTGTGCGCCAGAGTGATCAGAGTGATTGTTTCCCACGCGTTTGCAAAGGTGTGCATGTACTTGAGTGTGATGATAAATCATAGGGATGTGTTTAGTTGTGTGTGTGCGTACGTGCGTTTATCCAAATTTTCATCAGGGCTGTTCGGTGTATGTACACATGCATGCACATGTCCAAGATGGCAGCTTGGTGTAAAACTGGAGGGCACATCAGTGGTTGGATGTACACGATAGTGGCTAGACATCTGTATGTGGGGTGCATGTTTAAATGTGTGTGTGACTGTGCAGGGGCTCATTCTGTGTGTTGGTTTGACATCTGTATGTGGGGTGTATGTTTAAATGTGTGTATGACTGTGCAGTGGCTCATTCTATGTGTTGATTTCTATGCATGCCTTGGTGTGGATTTTGTCCGGATGTGAGTGTGCACATACACACTAGTGTGGGTGAGTTCCCCTGTGTACCAGCTCTCATTTCTCTTCTCCCCAGAAGGTGAGGATTCACTGGTCTCACTCACTCTGGCCCAGCCTCAAGTCATTGAGAGACTTATGGAGGGTCTCAGCTCCCAGGATAGGCAAAGCAATCCTATTTGGGAATCAAGCAGGCACTGGAGGAAAGGAAATCCTCCAAGGCCTGGCTTTTGCTTCTCCCTGTTCCTTCCACTGCTCTCTTCCACTAGCTACCCATATTTCACTCTGCACAGCCAGAGCATCTGGTTAACAGCTGGTAAGTGACACAAAATTTACAGTCAGAATTTTAATACAGATATGCATTTGAATTCTAATGTTGTATCCACCACCTTAATCAAGTCAGATAATCTCACAGATGGTGTTTTATTTTCTAAAAAAAATGGGAGAATAATATTACCTGCACTGCCTTTACCCCAAAGTTGGGACACTAACTCATAAAGATGTTTGGTAAGCCATTGAACTATGTAGGGAATTATTACTAATATCACATAAATACTATTTGAGAAAGAAAGTTTGTAGGCTTAACAAACATTCATTCAACAAATATTTAATAAGCATCCATTGTGTGTCAGTCCCCAAGCAAGGTGCTGGGGACATAGAGGGAAACAAATAGGCTTGATGCCTACCCTCATGAAACTTAGAGTCCTCCAGCTGGGGATGACACAAGTGGTTACAAGTGAAATGAGTGTTATAGAAAAGAAAAGCTTAAAGTATAAACTGGGCAGTCAGGGGAAGGCCTGGGAAACTGATGTTTCAGGTGAACCCTGAGAGATGACTGAGACTTGTCTGAATGTAGGGGAAGTGTGAGCTCAAAAAATGAAGGAATGATAACATGTGGAGTGGAGTTTAGGGTGTTGATACACAGATGGCTGGAAAGGAAACTTCCATCCACCGCCTCTTGGGTCAGATGTGTCAGCAATTGGAAAGGTGAGGAAACTGCTTAGAATGCCTGGAGGCCATTCAGAATCTAAAGGGCTCAGGAAAGCCCCTCTCCTAGAGTAGAGTGGTAATATCTGTGTGTTATCCATGTGGCTCCATCATGACAGAGGTTGAAATCACTGGCATGCTCTCATTGGTTAAAAAAAAAAGGTTAATGAAAAGTTAAGAAAGGCAGTGCTGCTATACCTGGTAGTGTGAAACATTTAATAAACACTACTGATTGAATGAATGGGGGCACATGTTTTTCCAACTTTTGAAGGATACCTGGAACCTAGGTTTCCTGAAGCCTAGCAGAGTTCCTGGGTCCCTGTCCTATGGTTCCTTGCAGTGGTGATGGCTTCATGTAGCATGCAATCCAAAATACTTGTCCGGTGGCAGTTCCACGAGCTGCAGGAACTGTGTCAAGCTAGAATGGGGCTTAGAACTTCCTCTCCCTAGCCTCTCTCTGTCTTTACTCTCTGCTTGAATTCAGTCTACGAACATTTGTTTGTTTGTTTGTTTAAGATGGAGTCTTGCTCTGTTGCCTAGGCTGGAGTGCAGTGGCACAATCTCAGCTCACTGCAATCTCCACCTCCCGGGTTCAAACGATTCTCCCGTCTCAGCCTGCCAAGTAGCTGGGACCACAGGCGCGCAACACCACACTAGGCTAATTTTTGTACTTTTAGTAGAGATGGGGCTTCACTATTTTGCTCAGGCTGGTTTTGAAATCCTGGCCTCATGTCATCCAACTGCCTCGGCCTCCCAAAGTGCTGGGATTACAGGCGTGAGCCATTGCACCCGGCCACAGTCTATAAACATTTATTACCTATTATGAGTATGGGGACAAAGAGATGAACTTCTGAATGAGAACACAAATTACACCAGGAGGCAAAATACAATTAAGTGCCATAGGAAAGGTGCAAAGTGTGAACATGAAAGAGGAGGATTTTCCCCTTCGATTTCATTCAATTCATTTCACATCCATTCACATCTAGAGAACATGCTAGTATCCACCTAGAGAAGACGAATGATATTATGACATTGATGGCCACAGAGCGGGGCAGCCATGAGGCAGATGTGGCAGATTGGCTTGTTCCACAATTGTCCAAACTTTTCTTGGTGTGCTTTCCTATACAACAGAGACTAGAAAGCTAAAAATCCATTTCCTAGACTCCTTGCTGTTGGGGCTCCCATTATAATTTAGGTTTAGCCAGTCCTGTGCACCTGGGAAAGACCTGAATTCAAAATTGTGTTCAGAAAAACAAAAAACAAAAACAGTTATGTGAAGAGGAGGTAGCAGCCTGGGAGGAATCCACTTTGCTGGTGGTGACCTGGAAGATGCAGTGTGACTCTAGAGTTCTGCCAGTTCCTGATCCCCAGATTACACCTAAGATGTTGTGTTCTTGTAGTCAGACTAGGCCAGTCGCCGGCCTCCTGATTGTGGCAGAAGGCCACATCCCTTGGGGTGGTGGGGTTAGTACGACGGCAGGTTTTGGGACTCATTCCTGCAAGCCCAAGCCAGAACTTGTTCTGCAATGGTTCTGAGTCTATTTGATTCTTTTTATTAAATTCATGTCTGCTTAAAATCCTAACTGACATGTCATGTTATGAACTATAGGTGCTGT
Organism: Homo sapiens; assembly: GCF_000001405.40. Classification (NCBI taxonomy): domain Eukaryota; kingdom Metazoa; phylum Chordata; class Mammalia; order Primates; family Hominidae; genus Homo; species Homo sapiens. Next base: position 160,373,808 of record NC_000005.10, read on the forward strand.
GAAAGTCAGGGAAAGGAGATGAGTGTGGATCAGAACAAGCAGAGAAGAAATCTAGAGGACTGCCTTCTTTCCTCTTTCTATCCACCTCCTATGCTCAACCCCATTTCAATCCTCCCATCAACCTTCAGATTAATCATTGATTAAATATCAGCAACTACAATGCACCAGGCACTCTGCTTGATGTTGAGCTCACAGTGATGAATGAATAAGGAAGGTCTCTCCTTATGAGACAGATGTGAAACCAGCAACCAAATAAACATATAATTCAAAATTGTGGTGAAAATAAGAGGGAAACATGGGAAAGAATAACGGTATGAAGTCTGTGAGATAACCTACTTTGATTGAAAAGTCTAGATGATCTCTTCAGTAGGTGATATTTAAGCTGAGTCCCAAAGGATAAAAAAGGGCTAGTCATACAAAGGTAGCCAAGGTGAGGAGTGGTGCCAGGCAGAAGGAGCAGGGTATGTACAAGCTACCTTAGTCCTTCTAAATATCTTTCTAATGCTTCCCTGTGTAACAGAGGATAAAGCCTAAACTCAGCCTTTTTTTGTTGAGGGGACTGTCCTATGCATTGTAGGATTAGCAGGATCTCTGGCCTCTACCCACTAGATACTACCTACTAGTAGCAGCCCTCCTCGACCCCAGCTGGGACAACAAAAATGTCTTCAGACTTTGCCAAATCTTTCCAGAGGGGCAAAATTGCCCTCTGTTGCAAACCACTGTCTTATAGGTAAGCTCTGCTTTGCTCAGGGTGGTTTTCTCACTGACTCCCAAATGCACCATCAATGTTTACATTTCTGCACCTACATATGCCATTCCCTCTAATTACTATATCTTCTTCTACCTCTCCACAAAGCCTTACCATTATTTCTACCAGAAATTCATGGCTTTTTCCATTGGTGAACTCTGTTTGGATGACTCTCATGTGTTTTGGGTGGTAGGGGAAGAGAGGTCTATCTTAGTGCTCTGTCTGCTCTCTGGCTACAGTGCCAGGGGCATGTGAATTACATACCCTTTCCCTTTCTGCCCAGTTAGGAGTTGAATTGGTGGGCATGAGATCCAAGTGAGCCAATCAGTCTTTCCACGTGATCTCCATAAGAGTGCATTGCTTTTCTTTTGAATTGTTGACTGCAAAGAGGTAGCCCCTGGGCTGCCACTAGCCATGTTTTTCCTGCCACTTGGAGACAGCCTGCTTATGGCAGGAGACAATGACATGAATACACAAATAGAAGTAGATTCAAGAAGAACTGAAAGGTGGAGCAAGTGCCATGACTACATTATTAAAGCCCTTTTTTCAGATACTTGTGCTAAAACAGGTTCATTCTCATATTCTTTTTCTTTCTTTAAGCTAGTTTGAATTGTTTCTGTCAGTTACCATGGAAAGTCCTAATCAATATCCTTCAATGCCTAGTCCAAATCTTTCCTCTTTTATGAAGTCCTCTCAGCATAGAACAGTATGAAGAAAATCCCTTCTTTGCATTCTTAACTTGTGGTTTGGTGGATCCCAGCAGCCAATTCCATGCATCTCTTCCCAACTCTGAGTTTAGTGATGTCATGTTGGTAATGTGAAAGTAATCACACCATGAAATCAGCAAATTCTACAAATCAGAGCACTGTTTCCTCTACCCCAGCCCCCAGCCTGTTCACCAGCACATCACTGTCTAAATCCCTTCACAACTATATCACCCATTTGGATAGTAATCATGTAGTGATTTGTGACACTTCTTGCATTTTGAAAATGGTCAGATTGGGAGGACAAGTACCACTTATGCTGCATCTGAATCTTCAGAATATCAAAGGAGGAAAGGTCCTGAGAAATAATTTGGTCCAAGGTCTTCATTTTATACCCGAAGACAAAGAGGTCCAGAGACCTTCAATGATTTAATGGTTGTGGAGCCAAGAAGAAAGTCTTCTGACTTACACTCATTATTTAAATGTAGGCTTTTTTTTGTTGCCATTTTCAGCCTTTTATTTTCTCCAATTTTGGTATAAAATAATATTTTAAAACTATTGTTGAATCATTCCAAACAGCTGATGGCCAAGACCCAAGTTCTCAGATGCTTACTTTTAATAAGGGTCTGTGAGTTTCTCCAGAATGAGATAATTCCAGATGGTGCTCACCAATGTGGCAGTACCGGGGAGATAGCTGTTCATAGAGAGGACTTGCTGCCATTCCACAGACTTCTAAGCCCTCCAGCCTGGAGAACTGTATTCATTGTTCTAATGCCATATGAGGGAAAAGATCAAAACAGCCCAGGTTTAAAAGACCATGATGTCGAAGTGAATGTTGGCTGCTCTGTGTATTATGTCACTTAGAATGAAACCAGATCAACCCAAATGAAAGCTTGCTGATTTATTAAAAAAACTAAAAATACACAATTTATTTTTTGATATAGCCATTCTGTTTCCAGGAACTTATTCTGGGAATGTGCATATGGATATTCACTGCAACCTTGTTTAATAAAGGATTGGAAACAATCTAAATGCCCAATAACAGGGAGCTGATTAAATAAATCACTATACATATCTACACAGAGGCAGAATTCTATGTCTTATATGGAATGATCTCTGAGATATACTGTTTAGTGAGAAAAATAAGGAGCAGAACAATGTATATAGTTTGCTACTATACACATTAATAAAAGAAAGGCAAGGAAAACACACAAACACACATGGGTATAAAAACAATTATTTCTGGAAGGATACAGAAATTGTAACCCATGAAGTTGTCTCTGGAGAGGGGAACTGGAAAACAGTTGTGAGAGGGAGGCTTATTCACTGCTTGTCTTTTGGAATGATTTGATTTTTAAAACCATGGGAATATGTTACTTATTCAACATCCCTCCCTCCAAGAAAATAAAAAATAAAGTCTATGCTGTGTTGTAGTTTTTGGAAATTCTTCTTTTGCTCTTATGGATGAGCTGGATCTGGGGATGTGCCAGAGTTTGGATAGTTAATAATAGTAATCCCTCTACAATGATATGCTTTCTTAAAAAAATTTTTTAAATAGCTTTTTGTTCCATCTTTCAAATTTGGGACAAGTATTTCCCTCATTATACACCTGAAGGAACTGAGGCACAGAGGCAGGTCATCTTCCCAAGGTTACACATTGAATGAGGGTCAGAGTTGGGATAACCAAAATATTGCACCCAGCCATAAGTTCCTTCTACTAGACTATATTTAGCTGGGCAGAGGGCGTCAACAAGCGAGTAGTTTTCATGGGAAGGAAAAGAAGAACCAGAGTTCTCAGAGGCTCTTCTTGCTTTAGGTTTTTTTTGTTTTTTGTTTTGTTTTGTTTTGAGATGGAGTTTCGCTCTTGTTGCCCAGGCTGGAGTGCAATGGCGTGATCTCGGCTCACCACAATTTCTGCCTCCCGGGTTCAAGCAATTCTCCTGCCTCAGCCTCCGAGTAGCTGAGATTACAGGCATGTGCCATCATGCCCGGCTAATTTTTGTATTTTTAGTAGAGACGGGGTTTCACCATGTTGGTCAGGCTGGTCTCGAACTTCTGACTTCAGGTGATCCACCTGCCTTGGCCTCCCAAAGTGTTGAGATCACAGGCATGAGCCATCACGCCTGGCCCCATTTCAGATTTTAAGAAAGTTAAAGCTCTGACCGGACGCGGTGGCTCACGCCTGTAATCCCAGCACTTTGGGAGGCCGAGGCAGGTGGATCATCTGAGGTCAGGAGTTCGAGACCAGCCTGACCAACATGGAGAAACCCTATCTCTACTAAAAAAATACAAAAAAATTAGCTGGGCGTGGTGGTGCATGCCTGTAATCCCAGCTGCTCGGGAGGCTGAGGCAGGAGAATCGCTTGAACCTGGGAGGCAGATGTTGTGGTGAGCTGAGATCGCGCCATTGCACTCCAGTAGCCGGGGCAACAAGAGTGAAACTCCATCTCCAAAAAAAAAAAAAAAAAAAAAAAAAGTTAAAGCTCTGAGACAGAGTCCTAGTGTAGAAGAAATCAGACTAAAATAGCTATCGTTTACATTCAACAAGAATTGACCCAGAAAAGCTCCAATCAGTTTCCAGATGTAACTCAAAGGGCCTCAGCTGGAAAGACTTCATTTTGGAATCTGATGCAAAAAGCTCTTGATGAGGTTTCTCCACTCAGTGTGTGGATCAGAAATGAACTAACATTTGATTTGAGAAAATGCCCTGCTAAGTTCTAGAGGCTTCTGCTTTGTAGAATCAGGTTCTGAGGAAAGTAGCCTACGAATGAGTCCAGAAACAGGCTTTGCCACATTTTGCCCGCGTGATTTTAGGAGGGAATATGAGAAATAAAGGATCCATCTTTGCCTTTTGGCTGGGAAGAAAAGTAGGAGTCCCACATTAAGGAAATGAGACATGATTAAACTGCATAAATGAGATATTGCTAGTGGCTGGAAAGGGGTATTTTAACTGTTAGCTGTTCTGAAGTAGAAGGTGACTAATTTCTCTAAATCTTGTATTTCAAAAGACTTCTACAGATGTCCTTTAAATAACACTCAGAAGACTATGCCTCATCCACTTAATTTACATCCAGTAAATTTATTTTATTGACAGTAAATTAAAAATCTTGAAGTATTCAAGAATGTGTAATGTGCTACTACTTGTGAAGAAAAAAAGGTTACACACACACACACACAGACACACACACACACAATGTACCCAGGCACCCATGCACATACTCGTTTATTAATAACTATCTCTTTAAAAATCCATAATCTGGTAACAGTAGCTGCTTCTGGGGAGAATTCTGGAGCTGGGAGATAAGGACGGGAGTCACAGCTTTCTCTGTACTGTTGCAATTTACCATATGCATGTATTACATATTAAAAATAAGACATTCTAAAAAAAGCTCAAAGGGAAAAACATAGATTTGGTGGCTACTCTGTAACCAATTAAGTAAATTTAGCATTACCAAGGATGTAACAATTTGGCATTTTATACCTACTAAACTGAATCAAATGATACTAACCTGAATTGAATAAAGCCTTTCAACCTAACCTCTGATTAGCAGAAAACCTAGAATAATTCGTTAAATGGCATACAAGAAGATACTCCAATCAAGTAAGTGGGATATTCTTCAAAATTTTAATGTCATGAAAAAATAAAAAGGTGGTTCAGAAATAAAAGATAATAAAATCAGAAATAAAAGATATTGGGGAGGACTTTCAATATGGTCTGAGTATTAGGTAATATTAAAGAATTATTACTTTTTATCAGGTGTGAAGAATGGTTTTGTACTTAGAAAGGATAATGTCAGCTGGTCATGGTGGCTCACACCTGTAATCCCAGCACTTTGGGAGGCCGAGGTGGGTGGATTGCCTGAGGTCAGAAGTTCGAGACCAGCCTGGCCAACATGGTGAAACCCCATCTCTACTAAAAATACAAAAATTAGCCGGGGATGGTGGTGTGTGCCTGTAATCCCAGCTACTGGGGAGGCTGAGGCATGAGAATCACTTGAACCCAGGAGGTGGAGGTTGCAGTGAGCTGAGATCGCGCCATTGCACTCCAGCTTGAGCAAAAAGAGTGAAACTGTTTAAAAAAAAAAAAAAGGATGTCCTTATTTTTAGGAGATGCATGCTGAAGTATGTAGGGGTAAAGGCACACGATGAACTCACTTTAAAATGGTTCGGAAAACACACATGAACACACATGCAAGTGTACGCATGCACAGACAGACACACACAGTATTGGTTATTAAGCTATAGTCTCAGTTCCAAACTCAGCTACGTGATGCCAGGGCTGGTACTTTGCAAATCCCATTTCTTCTTTACCAGCCGGCCTTCTGTCAGCCTGCAAATAGGGAATACTAGAAGAAGATTGGAAGTCAAGAACAGTGGCAAGGAACTTGGTCCTTTCTGTTTTGTTCCTGTTACTGTCATTGTCACTAAGCAACAGTTCCTTACCCTGGCAATGACAGTTATTTCCCGTAGAAGCAGCTGGTTCAAGTTTGCATTTTTTTCCACAATCTCAGTCTCATTATATTTCTTCAGACAACCAGTATCAGATGGCAGATGCCCTCTCAGTCCCAGCTCCGTGGGGCCCTCCATCAAAGTTTCTGCATTTTAATAGTCCCAAATTACTCTCCATGTTCTCCCAGCTGTAGGGCTGGTAGCTGCTTTGTGCATTTACTATAGTATTCTTTTTGCCCCTCCAGTTCTCCAATACCTGGTTAACACTTCTTTATGTTAAATTCTCCCTGTGAAAGTAACTGGTATAGCTTATGTATCCTGACTGAACCCTGATTGATTCAGAAATTGGGATCAGGAGTCCCAGGAAACAGACTCTCAAAGATGGAATTTTTGAGGTGTTTGGGTTTGTCTTTAGACTTGAATGAAATGTTGAGCTCTTTGTCATGAAATGGGATGCTGGTAATCCATGGGATGGAATGACACTGATATTCAAATTATTTATTGTAATAAAGAACCCCCTGAGGCAGGTGCCTTGGGGGCCCACGTGGCTGCTTGGAATGAAGATGACTATAAACATTGTGAGGTGGGATGCCCGCTTCTGAGTGCATGGAGTGCTTACAGGAAGAAAATGTCACACTCAGCTCTTTCAAATCTCAGCTCAAGTCTTTGTCAGAGAACTAGAGAGCATCTGTGGCAGTCCTAAAAGTATCTAAATGAGATTTAGATACATTTCATAGCCCACATTTCCCAGCAAAAGTTAGGGTGAGAATTTGGAAAGTGTCCCCAAGAATTGGAATGAGGACACCTTCATGGACTTGGATGAAGCTGAAAATCTTCCATGTCTGAGATTAGCTATCTTTTGCTTGAAGACCTTGTAATAACCTCACCTGAGGCAAGAGCCTTTCAAGGAGGTGCCTATATTCTCTAAGACACGGCCTAACTACTCCTTGTTGCCACCAGGACGTAACTAGGGTCAAACCCAGCATATTCCAAGGGAACAAATACAAAGTCTGATTCCGAAGGAAATACTTTATAATCCAAAAGAACTGCAAGATTTTTCTAATTTCTATAGGCTGAAACCTGGTCAATATATATTGGAATGGGATTCTAAGAGTGTTAGACCAAAGAAGGTGGAATATAACAGGCCAAATTTACTGGTATGAGAGTACGTATCAGAGATTCTGGGTGTTAGATTGTATTAAGAATTTACTTACTTAGATGACAGAAACTTGGACTAAACAGTAACCTATATATAATCAGTTTGAGGTCTCAGAACTTTCTGGCATAATGTAGAGAAAAGAATCCAAAGTCTTAAGAGGTTCTTAGTGATAAGGCAAATGACTTTTTTTCTCTATACCAATTTGCAATGAACACCAGAAACAGTTTGTCTTTACCTGACAGAGCCAAGAGATCACCTTCACAGACTTGCCTTAGAGATATATTAACTTACTGACTGCTATAATATAGTCTGCAGAGATTTCGATCATCTTGACATTCCACAGAGTAACTGATCTGATAAGAAGGTAGTAGCAAGTACTTCAGATGTCTTAGCAAAATGCATGTGGGTCAGAGAATGGGAGATAACCACCACAAAAATAGAGGGACTCATGACCTTAGCAAAGTTTCTGATGTGCTAATAGTCTGGAGCATATTGCAATATCCCCTTCAAGGTGAACAAGAAGTTGCTGTGCCTTGCATGACCTACCACTATACAGCAGAGGAACAGTGCTTGATGAGCTTCTTTTTAAATCTGGATGCAACATATACCACAAATGAGTGATGCTGCTCTGACCCATTTACCAAGTAATCCATAAGACTGCCAGTTTGGAGTGGAGACCAGAGCCCGAAAAGGCTCTGCAGCAAGTCCATGCTGTAGTGCTAGCTACTCTGCCACTTGGAGCTTAAGAGGCAGCAGATCCAATGACACCTGAATGTGGCAAATAGGAATTCTTAATGGAGGCTTTGGCAAATGCCAATAGGAGAACTGAAGCATTGACCTCTGGGGTGGTAGAGAAAATCCACACCCTCTTCTGTAGATAACTATTTTTCTCCTGAGAAATAGTCACTGATTTGATACTAGGCATCTAACCATGGGATAGGGTGCTATTTGATCCAGCAAGCCATAAATTGGAGTGAGCATAGCAGCAATCTATCCTCAAGTGGAAAGAAGTACAGAAGAAACAAAGATTAAGCAGATTTGGAAGGCACAAGCAAGTTGCCTGAGTAAGTGGCTTAACACCATTGACACCTACTTGTGTTGCAAGCCTTCTTTTTTCTCAATCCATAATTTAGGCTACATGGGGAGTTCTTTATGACCAGCTGACTAGCAGGAAGAAATTTAGAACTGGTTTATAATTTATTCTGACCAATATGCTGGTACAAGCTGGTTGCTGCAAAATCTATTGCAGCATTACAACCCGGATCAGGTATGTCTTGGAAAGATCCTAATGAAGGGAAAATTTCCTAGAGAAAATTTTGAGCAGTACATTTGGTTCTCTACTATGTCTGAATTGAACAATATCCAAAAGTATGGATCTAAACTGCAGTAGTCAAGGGAAGTTACTAATGGTTTGATGGACGATCAGGGACTTGGAAAAAACAGATTGAGAAGATAAGTGACAAAAAGGTGTGGGGGACAGGTATATGAATGGACCTCTTAGAATAGGCAGAGAATTAAAGATAATTGTGCTCCAGATGGATACTTACCAAACGATGTTGTGTGCCCATGAGAATGCACTTTGCAGCTGTCAACTACAGGCAACATAATTAACCAGGGTCCCCAGAGGCTGAAATTAATGCACTCTGAATTTCATCACTGTACTTGTGCCAGTTCACACTTCCTGGGAGCTCTCCCCAGCAAATGTCTGAGCGTGGCAGGAATACTTAGCCACGCCTATTGCTGGAATATATGGGTCTCTTGTGACAGCTGACTTTGGCTTGAGGTCTTCTGGACTGCCTTGCTGAACCTAAACTAACACAGACATCCATCCACTGCAGAGGAGGCTCTCAATAAACAGTAAGACAAGATGACACTCTTTCACATAGACCAATGGAAAAGATAAAAGAACCCAGAAATAAATCTACACATTTATAGCCAACTCATTTTTGACAAAGGCACCAAGAAAATAAACTTAGGAAAGGGTGGTCTCTTTAATTAGTGGTGCTGGGAAAACTGGATATCCACATACAGAAGAATGAAACGAGATCTCTTTTACAACATACAAAAATCAACTAAAAATGGATTAAAGACTTAAACCTAAGTCCAAGAACTATTAAATTACTAGACAAAAACATAGAGAAAACCCTACAGGATACTGGTCTGGGAAAAAATTTTTGAATAAGACCTCAAAAGCACAGGCAACAAAAGAAAAATAGACAAAGGGATTACCTTAAATGAATAAGCATCTGCACAGTAAAGGAAACAATCAACAGAATGAAAAGACAACCTACAGAATGGGAGAAAATACTTGCAAACTATCCATTTGACAAGAGATTAATATAATAATAAAAGAACAATATATAAAGAACTCAAGCAACTCAATAGCAAAAACTAAATAATCCAAATTAAAAATGGGCAAAAGTCCTGAATAGATAATTCTCAAAAGAAGACATAAAAATAGCCAACAGGTGTATGACAAAATGTTCAACATCACTAATCATCAGGGAGATGCAAATCAAAACCACAATGAGATATCATCTACCCCAGTTAAAATGTCTATTGCCAAAAAGACAAAAAATAATAAATGCTAGTGAGGATGCAGAGAAGGAGAATGCTCATATGTTGTTGGTAGGGATGTAAAGTGGTACAGTGAATATGGAGAACAATGTGGAGGTTCCTCAAAAAAACTAAAAATAGAACCACTATATGATCCAGTAATCCCACTGCTAAGTATGTATCCACAAGAAAGGAAATCAGTGTATCTGCACTTCTGTGTTTACTGCAGCACTATTCACAACAGTAAACATATGGAACCAACCTAAGTCTCCTTCAATGGATGAATGGATAAAGACGTGGTATATATACACAATGGAATATTATTTGGCCTTTAAAAAAGAATGAAATCCTGTCATTTGCAGCAACATGAATGAGACTGGAGGTCATTATGTTCAGTGAAATAAGTCAGGCCTAGAAAGACAAATATCACATGTTCTCAGTCATATGTGGGAGCTAAAAACATGGATCTCATGGAGATAGAGAGTAAAATGGTAGTTAGCAGAGGCTGCAAAGAGTAGGGTGGTGGTGGTGGTGGTGGGCAGGGGAGAATGCAGAGAAGTTGGTAATTAAGTAAAAAAAATTACAGTTATAAAGAAGGAATATGGGGCTGGGCATGGTGGCTCACACCTGTAATCCCAGCACTTTGGGAGGCCGAGGTAGATGGATCACTTGAGGTCAGGAGTTCGAGACCAGCCTGGCCAACATGGTGAAACCCCATCTCTACTAAAAATACAAAAATTACCCAGGCGTGGTGGCAGGTACCTGTAATCCCAGCTACTCGGGAGGCTGAGGCAGGAGAATTGCTTGGACCCGGGAGGTGGAGGTTGCAGTGAGCTGAGATCTCACCATTGCACCCTAGCCTAGACAACAAGAGCAAAACTATGTCTCAAAAAAAAAAAAAAAAAGGAATATGTTATAGCATTCAATAATACAGTAGGGAACCTATAGTTAACAGTAATTTATTGTATACTTCAAAATAGCTAGAAAAATTGTAATGCTCCCAACACAAAGAAAAATGTTTGAGGTGACAGATATTACAATACCCCGATTTGATCACGACATATTGTACACATGTGTAAAACTGTCACATGTACACCCCAAATATGTATAACTCTCAAATATCAGTTTAAAAAAAGAAAAAAAGATGACATACTCTGCGGATATCAGATGGCCTCTTTCCCCAAAATTCCCAATGACTGCCCAATAGGTCCATGTACAAGAGAGGCCATGCTGGCAAGGATGGAGACTTACATTTAGGCTCAACAACATGGACTTCCTCTCACCAAGTTTGATATGCTGAGTGCCTGACCTGCCAACAGCAGGGACCAACACTGAGCGCCTAACATAGGTACTTGGTGGCAGGTTGATTACAGTGGGCACTTTCTATTTACTGTCACTAGAAAAGATACATATTCTGGATATGACTTTGCCTTTATTATCTCTGCCAGCCTTATTAACTGTCATGGTATCATGCATCACATTACTTCTTATCAAAGATTAGCAAAGGGGTATGTATTAGTCTGCTTGGGCTGCCACAATAAAATGCCACAGACTAGGTGAATTAAACAACAGAAATTTATTCCTTACAGTGGAGGGTGTGAAGTCCAAGATCAAGGTACTGGCAAGGTAGGTTTCATTCTAAGGCCTCTTCTCTTGGCCTTGTAGGCAGCTGCCATCTTGCACAAATCTCTTGGTATCTCTTCTTCTTATAAGGGCACTAATCTCACGGGACCAGGGTCCTGCCCTCATGACCTCACCTAACCCTAACACCCTCCCAAAGGTCCCATCTCCAAGTACTGTCATATTGATGGGGGGTTAGGCCTTCAACATATGAATTTGGGGGGGAAACATTCAGTCCATAACAGAGTGTGGCAATAGACTGATGCCCATGGAATTTATTGGTTTTGTCATGTACTTCATCACCCAGAAGCATCTGCTTTGTTAGAATGATAGAATGATTTACTTAAGACTCAGTTACTTGCAACTGAGAGAAAATAACCTAAGAGGATTAGGTTCTATTTCACAGGATGCAGTATGTGCTTTGAATTGATAACCAAAGATATGTAACCCTAACTTCCAAGGTCAAAATATGAGCCCAGAAATCAAGGAGTGAAAGTGGGAGTGGCTCATTTTACTATTGCACCTAATAATCCACTCACAGAATTTGTGCTTCCCTTTGCTGCATCTGTGAACTGTTATTTTGGCAGTCTTGTTTCCCAAGAGAGGAATGCTTCCACCAGGGGATATAACAGTGGTTCTAGTGAATTGTAAGTTGAGACTGTCACTGATCATTTTGGGGTTGTGCTATGAGGATGAATTCCAGTGGGCCTGAAATTGGCCTCAGCTGTTTGCATAACACCAAATCCTGGTCAAGGCATAATATATCCTGATTAATAATATTGTTTTGTAACCTTATGTATGAGGAGTTTCAGGGTAGTTTGTACCAGTTTGTCAACACTGTTTATTGTAATAGTCAGATGAATGATTTATACCTGGAGACCTCTGTCCCTCCCGCTGTTCTCCTTCCTCCAGGGACACAAAAACTTGGTTGCTGGGGCTGGTTATGTGCCAAAAATACGCCTGTGTGAACAGCAGGGTGTAAGAAACCCCAGCTGAGGCTCCATTTTGAGCCCTCTGGTTCTGAGGTGTTCCATGCTCATACTGTTGGTCCCTGATCCAAGAGAGTGTGTCCCTACTGCCCTGTGTTAGTTTCCTATTGCCGCTCTAACACTTTACCACAAAATCAGTAGCTTAAAATGACATAAATTTATTATCTTACATTCTGTAGGTCAAAAGTCCAAAATCAGTCTTATGAATTAAGGTAAAGTTGTCAGTCAACAGGCTGATTCCTTCTGGAAATTCAAGTGGAGAATCTGTTCTTACCTTTTCCAAATTCTAGAGGCTGCCTGTATTCCTAGGCTGGTGGCCTCTTCTTTCATCTTCAAAGCTGGCAGAGTAGCATCTTCAAAACTGACTCCCTGACCTTTGCTTTTATCCTCACATCTTCTTTGATTCTCCTGTCTCCTTAAGAGAGGGACCCTTGTGACCACAATGGGCCCATTGGATAATCCAGGATAATCTTCCTATCTCAAGATATTTCACTTAATCACATTTTCGAAGTCTTTTTTTGCCATGTAAAGTAACATATGCACAGGTTTCAGGGATAAATATGCAGACACCTTTGAAGGACCATTTTTCTGCCTACCACAAGCCCTGACAGTTAGTGCTCAAAATTGTCCTCTCCAGACCTCTTCTTATGAGGCAGCCTTTGGGTATGATGCATATCTGTACTTTAATGCTGATACTATCCTATTTTCTTTTCCTGTAATAAATTATAGATTTGTCATTTTGGGTCCTATTATCTGGCAAATGAATTCTGTCCATCACCATTAGTACTGGGCTCATGTCACTGAACCAATACGCAAAGAGGGGGAATATTTTACTGGCTAGGGCAATCAATAATGATTACTAAGGAGAAATTGGGTTGCTGCTACACAATGGCAGCAAGAAAGACTATGTCTGGGACACCAGGGGATGCTCTGAATACACCTCTTAAAGCTTCCACGTCCAATAACAAATGTTAATAAAAAGTAATTCTTTTTATTTCTTTTTATTGCCTAATTGCCCTGGTTAGAATCTCCAAGTACAATGTTAAATAAAAGTGGTGGCTGGGAGCAGTGGCTCACATCTGTAATACTAGCACTCTGGGAGGCCAAGGCAGGCAGAATGCTCAAGCTCAGGAGTTTGAGACCAGCCTGGGCAACATGGCAAAATCCCATCTCTACAAACAATATAAACAATTAGCCTGCCATGGTGGTGTGTGCTTGTGGTTACAGCTACTCAGGAGGCTGAGGCAGGAGGATCGTTTGAGCCTGGGAGGTGGAGGCTGTAGTGAGCCATGATTGTGCCACTGCACTCTAGCCTGAACAACAGAGATAGGCCTTGTCTCAAAAAAACCAAACAAACAAGTGGTGAGAGTAGACAGTCTTGACTTTTCCTGATCTTATAGGGAAGGCTTTTTTTTTTAACCACTAAGTATGTTAGCTGTGGGTTTTTCATATTTTCATAAATGCTCATCAAGTTGAGGACATTTCCTTCTATTTCTAGTTTTTTTTTTTTTAATTAAAGGATATTGGATTTGTCAAGTGTTTTTTTTCCCGTCTGTTGAAATGATCATGTGGTTTCTTTTATTCTGTTAGTTTGATGTATCCTACTGGTTGACTTTCACATTGAACCAACCTTGCATTCTTGGAATAAATCTCACTTGGTCACAATGTATAATTTTTGTCACATGTTGCTGGATTGAGTTTGCCAGTATTTTATGGAGGATTTTTATAAGCATATTCATAAGGAATACTGGTCTGCAGTTTTCTTGTGATGTTATTTGTTTGGTTTGATATCATGGAATGAGGTAAGTGTTCCTCCCTTTTCATTTTTTTGGAAGAATTTGTGAAGGATTGGTGTTCTTTTAATATTTGTTAGAATTCATCAGATGACAGTGAATCCATCTGGCCCTGAGCCTTTCTCTGGTTCCTTGGATTTTTTTTGGATTACTGACTCAATCTTTTTACTTGTTATGGGTCTATTCAGGTTTCCTATTTTTTCTTGAGTCAGTTTTGGGAGTTTGTGCCTTTCTATTAATTTTTCTGTTTCATCTAGGTTATCTAATTTGTTGGTATGCAATTGTTCATAATATTTCCTTCTTTGATTCTGTAAGGTTGGTAGTAATGTCCCCTTTCATTCCTGTTTTTTCTAGGTCTAACTTAAGGTTTGTCAATTTTGTTAATATTTTCAAAGGACTAACTGTTGATTTCTATGATTTTCTCTATTGTTGGTGAGTTTCATTTATTTCCACTTTAATCTTTATTATTTCCTTCCTTCTGCTTGCTTTGGGTTTAGTTTGCTCTTATTTCTCTAGTTTCTTTAGGTGGAAGTTTAGGTTATTGACTTTTCTTTTTTTTTTTTGAGACAGAGTCTTGCCCTGTCACCTAGGCTGGAGTGCAATGGTGCGATCTCTGCTCACTGCAACCTCTGCCTCCTGGGTTCAAATGATTCTCCTGCCTCAGTCTCCCAAGTAGCTGGGATTACAGGTGCCTGCCACCACACCCAGCTAATTTTTTTATTTTTAGTAGAGATGGGTTTTCACCATGTTGGCCAGGCCGGTCTCAAACTCCTGACCTCGTGATCTGCCTGTCTCGGCCTCCCAAAGTGTTGGGATTACAGGCGTGAGCCACCATGCCCGGCTGACTTTTCTTTTTAATGTAAGCATTTACAGCTTACATTTGTTCTCCGCTAGAACAGAGGGAGAAGGTGGAATAGCTTTTGCTTGCTGGGTCTCCTGGCTTCCTTCTTTTTCCCATGCTGGATGCTTCTTCCTGCTCCTGCCGCCCTTGGACATCAGACTCCAGGTTCTTCAGCCTCTGGACTCTTGGATTTACACCAGTGGATTGCCAGGGGCTCTAGGGCCTTCAGCCACAGACTGAAGGCTGTATTGTTGGCTTCCCTAGTTTTGAGGCTTTCAGACTGAATCCCTACTGGCTTCTCTCATCCACACCTTGCAGATGGCCTATCGTGGGACTTCGCCTTGTGCATCATGTGAGCCAATTCTTTCTAATAAAATCCCTTTCACATATACATACATCCTATTCATTCTGTTCCTCTGGAGAACCCTAATACAGGTAGCAAAACCGACCACTGGAAGTCCAGACACATCCTATTAGTTTAGAATGTATAGCATCTTTCCTATTAATTCCAGCAAAAGTACTACAGCTAACTAATTAGCCAGTAGGGGGTAATATGGACTGATAGTGGGGGGAAAATAGTTCCTCAAGAAAAATCAGGGTGTTATTATTAAAAGAAGCAAGTGAATGAATGAATGCTAAGCAGGTCAAAACAAGATGATCAGACTGTCAGATCTCTTGATTCCTATACGCCAAGAACTACAAAGTTTATACAACTAATCAGTAGCTGAGACAGGACTCAATCCATTGCTGAAGTATGATAAGATTTACAGCAAATTTGTAAAACAAAAGTAAAATAATCTAAGGTCTCTCTTTATTCATAGAAGCACAAATCACAACACACAATAACCTTATACTGCCCTTCAAATTAACGTAGACTTTGAAAGCTTCATATTCGATGTTTCTAAATGCCTGGTAGATATTAAAGCCATGCTCATAGTATTTGATATAATTTGGTGCTAAAAAAAAAAACCTGTATACTATCCAGAGCTTTTTTTTTTTTTTTTTATATGGGTCTCTATTGCCCAGGCTGGAGTGCAGTGGCATAATCACAGCTCACTGTAGCCTCCACCTCCAGGGCTCAAGCGATCCTCCCAATTCAACCTCCCAAGTAGCTAGGACTATGAGGGCATGCCACCACACTGGGCTAATTTTTGTAAAGAAAGGGTGTCACTTTGTTGGCCAGGCTGGTCTTGAGCTCCTGGGCTCAAGTGATCCTCCTGCCATGGCCTCCCAAAGTGCCAGGATTACAGCTGTGAGCCACTGTGCCCAGCCTTTTTTTTTTTTTCAGACAAGGTCTCACTCTGTCACCCAGGCTGGAGTGCAGTGGCACCATCATGGCCTACTTCAGCCTCAACCTTTTGGGCTCAAGGAAACTTCCTGTCTCAGTCTCTTGAGTAGCTGGGACTACAGGCATGTGCTACCATGCCCAGCTAATTTTATTTTTTGTAGAGACGGGGTCTTGATATGTTGCTCACGCTAGTCTTGAACTCCTGGCCTCAACAGCCCTCCTGCCTCAGCTTCCCAAAGTGCTGGGATTACAGGTGTGAGCGACTGCACCCGGCCGCAGAGTCTATTTTTAAAAATTGAGGCTGGGCGCAGTGGCTCATGCTTGTAATCCCAGCACTTTGGGAGGCCAAGGCAGGTGGATCACTTGAGGTTAGGAGTTTGAGACCAGCCTGGCCAATATGGTGAAACCCTATCTCTACTAAAAATACAAAAATTAGCTGGACGCAGTGGTGGGCATCTGTAATCCCAGCTACTTGGGAGGCTGAGACAGGAGAATCTCTTGAACCCGGGAGTGGAGGTTGCAGTGAGCCGAGATCACGATCACACCACTGCACTCCAGCCTGGGTG
Source organism: Homo sapiens (assembly GCF_000001405.40). Lineage (NCBI taxonomy): Eukaryota > Metazoa > Chordata > Mammalia > Primates > Hominidae > Homo > Homo sapiens. The sequence continues at coordinate 160,390,521 of NC_000005.10, forward strand.
ACAGAATGAAACTCCGTCTCAAAAAAAAAAAAAAAAAAAAAATTGAGATATAATTCAAGTATCATCAAGTTCACTCTTTAAAAGTATAAGTTAGCCGGGTGCGGGGGCACATGCCTGTAACCCCAGCACTTTGGGAGGTCGAGGCGGGTGGATCACGAGGTCAGATCGAGACCATCCTGGCTAACATGGTGAAACCCCCTCTCTACTAAAAATACAAAAAAATTAGCTGGGCGTGGTGGCGGGTGCCTGTAGTCCCAGCTACTCAGGAGGCTGAGGCAGGAGAATGGCATGAACCCAGGAGGCGGAGCTTGCAGCGAGCCAAGACGGCGCCACTGAACTCCGGCCTGGGCGACAGAGCAAGACTCTGCTTCAAAAAAAAAAAAAAAAAAAAAAAAAGTGTAAGTCTATTTGGTTTTGCTTCCCATTGGCTCATGCCTGAAAATGCTGACCTATTATTTACTAACTTTCAGCAGTTTTTGGTGGCTTAGACAAACAGTGAGGATGTCAAAAATGCACACGCTTGTATTACAGAAAAAGTCATTGATATTTTCTTTCCCACCTGGGTTTCCCAGTGATTTCTTGCAGTCTCATGGTTACCGGCTCCAACAGAGTTCTGCCTGCCAGTTTTCAGTCCACAGAGGCTCAGGTAAGGAATTTTAAATTTGAGCCACTAGTACCTTTTCTAGAGATGTTTAAAATCAGCTATTTGGCAAAATCTGTAATGTGAGTAAAGTTGCTTTCTCATTCAAACCTATACAGAGAGTGACATCTGCTGGTCATGAAGATTATGTTTTTATTCTATTTTACTCCTTTTCAAAATTTATCAATGACTCTAAAATAAAACATAAGAAAAGTAATTATCTCTTCTTTGGGAAAAAAGAAACCAACACATGACTAAAAATTCCAATATATGTACCACTGTGGGACATTTTTAAACTAAAAAAAATTGAAATTCCTTCATTTTAGCAAACACTGCAGCTCTTTCATTTGATCAGGAGAAAATAAAATTGTTGTAGAATTTGAAAATGAATAAAAATCCTAGTTAGCCATTTCCTTAAAAATGTCCTTTGAGTTTTTGTTTCAGAGCAGCAATAACTAATTTAGTCTAAGACCTAATGAAAGACTGGCTATCAAAGGTCATTTAATCCTGGTCCTTCTATCATACTATTAAATCCTAGGTTTCATACATGCCCATGTCCCTATTCCTACCTCCTTCCTAACTTTAGAATTGCATACAGATTAAACTTTATATACACACATCTAGATTTTTTTTTTTTTTTTGAGATGGAGTCTCACTCTGTCACCTAGGCTGGGGTGCAGTGGCACAATCTCAGCTCACTGCAACCTGTGTCTCCTGGGTTCAAGCAATTCTTCCGTCTCAGCCTCCTGAGTAGCTGGGATTATAGGCGCATGTCACCATGCCTGGCTAATTTTTGTATTTTTAGTAGAGGTGGGGTTTCACCATTTTAGCCAGGCTGATTTCGAACTCCTGACCTAGTGATCCGCCCACCTTGGCCTCCCAAAGTGCTGGGATTACAGGCATGAGCCACCGCACCTGGCCTACACATCTAGATTTCCATATTAGCTTTGGAAATTTTTCTGTCTTTGATGTTAGATTGTAATAGGAAAATTAGGACCTATATTCTGTTACTACATTTTTCAGTGAAAAAAGGTGTGTATTTATACTTACTGATAAAATATAAACTTTGATTTGCGTACTAATGTGGCATCTAAATTTGGTAGTCAGGTTCCATTTCCCTTCAGGTTTATTTTTTATTTTTCAGTATTATAAAAGTGTTCTGATTAGCCACCTTATAAGTAAAACTTTTGGACATTCCTGATTCTTTCCACATGATAAATTTATAGAGGAAAAATTCTTAATCAAAGGGCTATAAATAACCAACAAAGAGACTAACATTAGTGTAATAATAATAAAAAATTGAGAGTAGTAGGAGATGGATATTTTATAAATTCAATCCTTACATATTATCTAGGGGAGTCAATATATAACTTTTAAAGCTGATTCAACTGCTATATGTCATGGTATGAACATACTACTTAAGAGATGTGGGTGGAACCACAAGAAATTACAGAAGAAATGGGTAATTGGGCAGGAAGGGGATTGTGGCTTTTCCTTATAGGACTCTCTATATCATTTTTTCCCAGCCTTGAGCATGTAGTACTTTGATAAAATATTAATGTTTAAAAATAGAAATGAAAATTTATTTAAATTAAAAAATATTTTGCCAAATTATCATCCAGAAAAAGTGTGCTAAGTTAGATTCCCATGGGGAATTTTTTGATGGTCTTGAATTACTCCATTGATTTCATGTCAATTTATTTATGATTTATACTCTGACATTTTGAACTTAGAAAAATACATATAAGATGTAATATAAGTGACAAAATTAGGGTAAAGGAAAAATAAGTATAGGAAAAATTGAACCCAGAGGACCCAAGAATCCAAGAATCCATCAGAACAGTCTGGAAAGCTGGTTATGAATGAGGATCCTTGACCTTATCACAGGCCTACTAATCACAATCTCTAGGGTAAGGCTCAGGAATCTCCTTTTCAGCAGCCTTGATAACTTGGAGTTCTGAAGTAATTTAAAGATGACAAACAGTGATTAATATATTAGGCTATTTATTAATATGATATTCATAGCACAGGAGCTAGGGGAATGGACATTGTGAGACTAACTCCAAAGAGTATATTTAAAAGTAAGTCTTACATAAGCCAGATCATTCCTTTTCCCATTATATTTCATAATCCTCTTCTGATTTCATTAACCTCTCCATAACAAAGACGGGCGAACTCAATCTTTCATTTTGCCTTTTTGACTTCTGGGATATCTTCTCTTTTCTCCTGGCTCAATTCCTAGCCTATTGCACCATTTAGCTGGATATTCTAGTGCTTAGGTATCTTTTTCATATACCACACGAACAGGTTAAACAGATACTTAGAATTGGGAAAATCTCATGATAGCAACTAGGCAGTAGTACTTAATCTTTTCTGCTGTGTTTTTATTCTCAAAACATATTTTCACATGCCTCATTCAAAATTAAAGTTCTTAAGTTTTTTAGACATAGAATTCAGTATATCATAAATATGAAAGAGACAGAATTACAGCTTAATTTTACAATGATATTAAGATTGAAATTATTCATTAAAAAAGTATATCAGCTTACAGTGACTTCTGCTGTAGCTGTAGCTTTTGTTCAATGATGTCCGAGAAACGAGGAACTTTTTTTGAAATAGCCACACGGATATCATCACTCAGATTAAAGCAGCTTCTGGACTTTGTTTTGAAATGTAAAAGTGATGAAAATCCCAACTCACAAAGGTATGTAGTTGCAAATGGCATAAGGATTTCTAGAGCTGTCTTTGCCAGGTTTGGAAATGCTGTGAATTGGGCACACCAGAAATCCTCAAGCTTCATTGTCTCAAATTCCATTAGGATTTGGCCACTAGCTCGTAATTCAGCAAGATCATTTTTCATTAAATAACTATCATCAACAAAATCGATATTAAAAAGAAATGGATCCAATATCCATTTACTTGCCTCATTAAGATCTCCAATGGAAAAATATCCATGGAAGAAGTTGCTCAATTGTTGCAGATGCAGTGTTATTTCAGCTGCAATGAATATGCCTTCATTATCTGAAACAATTATTTCTTCAAGAAAAGGAAAATTGGTAAAATTTCTTTTCTCAATTCGTTTTTGCCAAAATGGAAACTTCCTAACAAAAGCAGATAACTTCTCTCTAGCTGATACTGTGTTCATCCCAGTCCTCTGCATAGATGCACTGAGTTCATTTAAGTGTTTGAATAAATCTGCAAGGTATGCTAGGTGAATTTTAAACTCTTTATTTTCAAAGCCATCAACTAAATTACTGCTCTTGTGGTGAAGAAACTGATTTATTTCTTCATACATTTCAAAAATGTGAGTAAGTATTTGGCCTCGGGAAAGCCACCTCATTTCAGTATGGAAAAGGAGGACACTATATTCTATGCCAATTTCTTCAAAGAAAGCCTGAAATAGGCGATGATTTGGAGCTCTCCCTTTGATGAAATTTATTACCCTCACCACAGTAAACAGAGCATCCCTCAGTTTTGTAGGCAATGTCTTTATGACAAGTGCATGAGGATTCAATAAACAATGTGTAACTACGATATGAGGTATCTCTTTTTTCACGTAGGCAACAAACTCGGAATTTTCTCCTAGCATAGAGGAGGCACCATCAGTACAAACAGAGCCACATACATCAAGTGCTATCTTATGCTTCAGAAAGAAGTCTCTGAAGAGATTGAACACATCTATTCCTTTCATGGATAGCTGCAATGGTTCACAGAAGAGAAATTCTTCTACGATCTCTCTTTCTTTTATATAGCGCACAAATGCCATTAGCTGACTGCAGTCATCCATGTCAGTTGTCTCAGCAAGCTGAATACCCACTTTAAGAGGACTGGCTTTGATATCTTCTAGAACTTGCTGTAAGATATCCTGGCTCATTTCATCAATTCTAGAATGGATCACATCATCTGATAAGGGTACCTGCTGAAGCTTTTTTTGTGCATCTGGTCCCAAAACTATTTGTGCTATTTCCAGTGCACAAGGTTTCACTAACTTTTCAGCTACTGTATGAGGATTCTTCTCCTTGGCACATAAATACGCAAATTGATACGATGCTTGTAATAAAGTATCCTCATGAGATGCAACTCCAAATGCTTTCAAGGTTTCACTCTGATCAGATGGTGCTGGCATATGCTTCAGGCTATTGAGATCATGCCCAGCTACACCACCATGCTGTCTGTTAAAATGGTCTGACAGTTTTGATGGTCTGAGGTCAGCATTTGAAAATACTGAGTTACACAACACACACTGTGGACGCTGAGTTCCATCTACTTCCGTTGTACAGGTGAACCAGTAGCGAACATAGTCATCATCCCATTTGCGTTTCTTCGACATGGCACACAAAAATTCTCAGGTAGTATTCCAGAGATGCCACAGAATTTTGCTTTGGGAGTAAAATATAACCCACACATTAAAAACCAGTGGCTAACTGAATTAAAACAAAGCCACATCACATGCTATCTTGTATATGTCAAGATACAGCCTGCAGCATGTCAATTCGAAGTAAGCCATGACAGGATATAGTTCAACTTAAAGCTAGCAACTCATAGCTAATGCCCTGGAATAAATGATTTGCCAGCAAGTTATATATGGGAGATTTGAGCTTAGACAAGTTATGAACACCTGTAAGTCCTTTATTGGTGAATTATAGTTATGGCTTAACTTGTTTTCAATAATGTATGTTACAAACAAATCTAGCACATTTTGTATCCCTAGAAAGGGCATCTCACTACCACCACCTTCTTCCACTCAGCCCCAAAGATGTATGCATACCCTCAGTTAAGAATCACTGAATAAAGGAGCAATTCACTAAATAAGGAAGGGTGGATTCTGACATGGAGGTTAAAATAATTGTATACATTTATGGGGTACAAGCACAATTTTGTTATATGCATAGACCACATAGTGGCAAAGTGAGGGTTTTTAGGGTATCCGTCACCCAAATAACATACATTGTACTCATTATTTCTCATCTACTCCCTCCCACCCCACTCTTCCACCCCACCCTTCCAAGTCTCCTTTACCCATCACTCCATTATCCACGTCCATGTGTACACATTATTTAGCTACCATTTATGAGTGAGAACATGGTAGTTCTTTTTAATAGTTAAAGACTAAACAGGTCTGTAATACTATTTGAACCTTGAGCAGTTTTGACTCCAACTTAGGCAGAGAATTTCAAATAGGTCTTTAAGTCTGATTAAGCCACCCCTGATGCAAAGGTAGGCTACAAATTGGCTCAGAGCTTCCTTGCTGCTAAGTGTAACACACTATCAGTCCATGATTCATAGTGTCCATATAAAAAAGCAAAATGGTCGGGCGTGGTAGCTCATGCCTGTAATCCCAGCACTTTAGGAGGCTGAGGTGGGTGGACTGCCTGAGCTCAGGAGTTCGAGACCAGCCTGGGCAATATGGTGAAACCCCATCTCTACTAAAAATACAAAAAATTAGCTGGGCATGGTGGCATACGCCTGTAGTCCCAGCTACTAAGCCAAGATCATGCCACTGCACTCCAGCCTGGGCGACAGAGCAAGTCTCTGTGGAAAAAAAAAAAAAAAAAAAAAAGCAAAACAACTTGCTCAGGGGAAACACAACTATTCTTGTTACCGAGACTTCAGAAAAATCCCTCTCATAGGAGAACACTCTTAAGTAAAATAACGAATTTCATGATGCTTTTCCACCTAAATACCTCTAAGGGAAAGCAGTCAAGAACACACACATGCACATACACAAAATAAGCAGCATTCCTAAGGTTTGGTTTAACCCAAAGACAGGATGTAGAAGGCCCTACCCATAGAGATTCTGATTCTCCAGCTATGGAGTGGGGGCCTAGAATCTGTATTGTAAGTATTTTAGATAATTCTTATAAATAGTAACTAGAACAGTGATCTGTGACAAGAGACACCATATCATCACAATCACTGGGAAACCCTTTCAAAATATACACGTCCCTGCACTACCTTAGAACTAATACATATCTTCTCCAGAAGCAGAACAAAAGAATATGAAATAATGTTGTTCAGGCAGTCCTGAAACACAACCTGGTTAAGTAGTCAGGCTTAGGGGAATAAAAACGTATCCTTCAAACCAATCCTTAGCTAACAAATATTCTAGGTTTCTAAGTGAATGGTCCCAATGCTTTAATAGATATTTAAATTTTCTACATTTTCTGAGTTGATGACAGCCTCCTATGAAAGTTGAAACCTAAAATGAAAGCCATATCTTTTCTCTTTCTCTCCCTTTAGCAACGAGTAAAGGCATAATCCACAGGTAGGCTCAAATATACCTTAGAAAACATTCTATCTCCAAGATAAGTAAGTGATCCCCAAAGTTTCCAAAGTTCTGTGCCAGAGAATGTGGCTGAAATAAAGTAACAGGTACACATTTAAATCTGAATGCCCACTTTGGACATTAAAAGAAAAATCACAAGCCAAGAATATCCACTTAAAGCATTAGCTTTCAAGTGGATCTACCAAGATGAACTAGTTGTAAAGTGTACTCCAATAAAATAAGCTGAGCTGTTACAAGGTTGTTATGAGCCTGTTAAATTGGAGGATGTCTGCCAATCAAAAAAGACAACCTGAAGTTTAAAGAGCTGATCTTAAGACTTCTTTTGTCAAGTAATGAGACTACATGACCACTTTTGCTTAGAACCACTTCTAATTAATGACGATAAAATTATGACATTACCATAAATGCTTATTTTTCTGTATTCTATTAATGTATATTTATCATGTAATATTTGGGGAGGAAGAGGGAATAAAGGAAAATGTTTTTAGTCACATTAGAAATCATTACAAGAGGGGCCCTGCACGGTGGCTCACGCCTGCTACCCCAGCACTTTGGGAAGCCAAGGCGGGCAGATCACTTGAGGTCAGGAGTTCCAGACCAGCCAGGCCAACATAGTGAAACTCTGTCTCTACTAAAAATACAAAAATTAGCTGGGTGTGGTGGCGCATGCCTGTAGTCCCATCTACTCGGGAGGCTGAGGCAGGAGAATCGCTTGAACCCAGGGGGCAGAGGTTGCTGTGAGCTGAGATCATTGCAGTGAGCTGAGATCACGCCACTGCACTCCAGCCTGGGTGACACAGCCAGACTCTGTCTCAAAAAAAGGCTGGGTACGGTGGCTCATGTCCATAATCCCAGCACTTTGGGAGGCCGAGGAAGGCGGATCACCTGAGGTCAGGAGTTTGAGACTGGCCCTGCCAACTTGGCGAAACCTCGTCTCTACTAAAAATACAAAAATTAGCTGTGCATGGTGATCCCAGCTACTGGAGAGGCTGATGCAGGAGAATCGCTTGATCTGGGAGGCAGAGGTTGCAGTGAGCCGAGATGATGCCACTGCGCTCTCCAGACTGGGTGACGGAGTGAGACTCTGTCTCAAAAACAAAACAAACTGGAAATCATTACAAGATCTGTTAAGAGTCCATTCCTATCCACCTTGACTATGTCTCTCAAGTATATTTTAATTTAAAATTTATCTGTTTTGAACAGTTTTAGGAAAATCAATTTAAAGTATTCTTCTCCATAACCCTCAAAAAGGGAGAACAGGTGGCAAGAATTTTCAAGGGCCTCAAAGATGAACTTACTGCCCAAGAGGCTTGTGTTTTAGAACCTCACAATTTGCACTTGCGCTTTTGTGGTATTTAGGAATTACAATATCCTAAAAAACGTAAACATTAAAAAGCATCATGATAAGGAGATATTGTTAAACAGGCATGATAATGGTATTGTGGTTGTGTTTTTAAAAAGTCCTCATTTGTTAGATACAGACAATTATTTACAAGTGAAATAAGATGTCTGGGATTCCTTTGAAATACGTACTTCAGCACACTCACAAACATGCACAAAGCGGGGTGGAGATAAAAGAAATGACTGGCCTTAAGTTGGTAACTCTTGAAGCTGGATGATGGGTATACATCATTACACCGTTCTATTTTAATGTATTTTGGAAACTTTCCATAATAAAAAGATAAAAAGCATTATCTTAAGATAGATATCACTCATTTTAAGCATGATTCTTTTGAGAGATTATCTTCAGATGCTTAATGAAAGATCTGATATAACAAAGTAAAATGTTTTTGCAAGTTTATGAAGGGTAGATATGAAAAAGTATTACAAATGAGAAAAATCAGTTAAAAGTGAACACTCACAAAACAAATATTTAGGGAATGCTAATATATATATATTCCAGCAGTGAAAACACCAAAGTGCAGCTGTAAACCTAAAACTCCAAACCAAATACAATTCAACTTCTTTCTAGCCACTGCGTATGCAAGATCATGATAGGCGCAGGTGTCTGGGGAGGCAGAGCATTTAACCATTACATTTTACAGTTAAAATCAATAGCCAGGAGAATGGGGGCAGGAACTTGGTGGCTGGGCAGACGCTCCAGGGGCAAACGCCTGGGATCGTGGCTTTGTCACTTACAGGATGGGACCTTTCCAAGCCTCAGTTCCTCCAGAGGGGATAACAGTACCTACCTTACAGGGTTGTTAGGAGATTTAATTATAAGAATGCATGCAAATAACAAGCAGCTCTTAACTGATAGGACCTGATGGTGTTACTGTTAAGGACGGAGATTTTTACAGCCTCCCGGGTGAGATAAGAACGCCAGCTGCTAGGAAAAAAAAAAAAAAGACTCAGCGCGGTCTCCGCCCGCCCGTCTCCAAGCCTGAGGCGCAGGCCTATGGGATGCACGGGCTTCTTTTAGGCGCCCGTTTCAGGCTCCAGTCCCACTCTCCGCTCAGCCTAGGGCCCAGCCTCTGGCCGTCGGAACCAGTAGAGACGGCGGTTCCTCGGGTCCAACCCCCGGGCAGGAATCTGCGGTGCGCCTGGAGAGAGAAGCATCCGCAACAACCTCCGCCTCAGCCAGGCCCGGGTTCCATCCGGGTTCTCCAGGGTGCTTCCCGCCCGCAAACTGGGAGAGGCGTCTCCCACACGCAGGCGCAGTAGCAAAGGGCTGTGGGATGGGCTGGCTGGCTTGAGTATTGAGCATGCGCGCTAGCCCTTCCCAATTTTTTTTTTAAGATTGTGTACGTGGAACAAGAAATCGTTTGTTTATTGTGTCTGCCAGAGAGGATGAACTGTACAATTTCAGGAATGGAAGGGGCTGTAAACTCCACATAGTTCTTTTTAACATGCAGAGCACTTAAACTTTTATATTGTGTCGGGCTTTGAGCTTGGAGATAAAACGCCTGATAATTGCCATGTTCCATGTGGAATAAATGAGAGAAAAAGAGAAGGAAGCTCATTGTAATTTCAGATTAGACATTTCAGCAGTGGAGGATGAGCTTCCATAGCTTGTGTACTGTTGCCTATGCAAGCTGATCCCACTTTCCGTAAGTGGGAGCATAGGGATGAATTTCCATGTCATCATCATATATCTGAAATATTTTTATTTTAAATTCTTTCAACAACATGATTTCAAAGAAATAAACCCATATTAGAGAGGTTTTAGAGAAAAATCCCAAGTAGAAACTAGGAAACGTTGTTGAAAGAAACCGGAATATAGCCCTTTCCTGTTTGGGGGTCTTTCCAGAATTCTTATAAACTTAATGAGTTTACTCATTTTTGTACAATCTTGTTAGAAGCATTCCATAAGACTAGTGTGTGTGAGGAGTGGTGGGGCGTCAACGAATGTGGGCCAGATACATCATTTTCAGGTGTTAAGGGTGAGCCTGGTAAATATTGACGGGCTGCTGAAGTTTTTTGTGGATGGAAGAAACTGCTAAAGACCAGCCTTGTTGGTCAAGAAATTAGGGCCTTCAATACTAGAGAAAGGGGTAGGCTTCAGAATCCCACAGCTAGCTTCATGTCCTGACTCCAACGGTTAGGATTTGTGCAGGTTACTTGGAGTTAATTCCATGTGCTTTTTGTAAAACTTACATATCATCCATTACCCCATGAAATTCTTTTGAGGAAGGAGATAACATTATGACAATTACAGTACATAATTCTCGCACTCAAAAGGCAGCTATTATTGAGATAATAAAATCAAAGCTCAATCTGAGTAATGTCCTAGGCATTATGTTTTTTTCTTTTTTTTTTTTTTTTTTTTTTGAGACAGGGTCTCATTCTGTTGCCCAGGCTGGAGAGCAGTGGCGCAATCTCAGCTCACTGTAACTTCTTGAACCGGGTTCAAGCAATTCTCATGCCTCAGCCTCCTGAGTAGCTGGGATTATAGGCGTGTGCCACCATGCCCAGCTAATTTTCGTATTTTTCATAGAGACAGGGCTCTGCTATGTTGGCCAGGCTGGCTAGGCATTACTTTTCCAAAATAAAACAGAAGACATGATTCTGGATATTACAGAATTCTTCCTAAATCTAAGTAAACCAGGCCTCATAGAAGAGGGAAAGAGGTCCAGAAAGGTTAGGTGACAAGATGCTGAAATTTTCTTAAACTCACAGAAGCTAATCCAGGTTCCCCTCCCTGTCCCATAAACAACTTTTCTGCCAAATATTAGAAATAATGCTACAAACCACTCACAGTTAAGTATTGTCATTTATGTATCTTTAACAAAAGATAAAATACAAAACGGACACAACATCAGCCTTTATGTTGAACCACCCTGTTTAGGTAGGAAAATGAACATTGTTTTTCATTCTTAAAGTAAATAGGAATTAAATCTATTTGCATTGCTGTTTAATTTCATACCAATCTAAAGCTCGACACTATGTATATCCAAAGTACTTGACAATTTGACTCAGTTACTCACACCACTGTTTCTGAGATGCTGACTTAATGCAGTATCCTACAGGTGGTTTTTGGTAGTTTAGAAAAGCCAGTGAGTGGGCTGTTAAAAGTTGATATACTGATGTCAGAGGTTTTGTTAGGCTGTTTTCACTGATTCTACTGTCAGTATTATCTTCACAGTGTTCTGAGAAGAGGCTTCAGGATCATGGCAATCTATTACTAATATCCCTAGAAGCTATCCTTATAATTCTTTCAATAAACCAACTTCAGGTTTTGTTTTTTTGCAAATTTTACAAACAAAGTAACAGCTGCTGGCTATAAATATTAGGATATTCTACAATTTAAAAAATCTAATATTCATGATTGTTACATAGGGGCAATCACAATGAAAACAAACGGTAATGTAAACCATATCCTCTATGATAAAGGAAAGGATTTCTACACCTAGACTTATGTCCAGAATGGTAAAAGACCTACTACTGATCAGTCAATATTGACCCAATGATGAGAAAATAGTTGTTTTCCATTCAAAGACTAACACATTTAGTCTACTCCAGAGGCCAAGGAAGAGAGAATCGCTTGAGCCCAAGACTGCAGGGCATTATGACTTTGTCTGTGAAAAGCCACTGCTCTCTAGCCTGGGCAACATAGCAAGATCCTGTCTCTAAAAAAAATAAAAATAAATGTAGTCACAGAGTTGCTAGTAATTATTTAAAAAAACAAAGCCCTGTTTTTTTCTCAAAACCAAGGTGTGCTAATACTAAATATAGGGCCACAAAAATCGAAGCAATAAAGTTTGAAGCTTAATAAATACAGAGAAAGAGACATTCTTAATAGGTAGAGAGCCAAGGCTTTTTTACATGACTCACATAAAACTGGAAATAGGCCAGGCGCGGTGGCTCACGCCTGTAATCTCAGCACTTTGGGAGGCTGAGGCGGGTGGATCACAAGGTCAGGAGATCGAGACCATCCTGGCTAACACGATGAAACCGTCTCTACTAAAAATACAAAAAATTAGCTGAGCATGGTGGCGGGCGCCTGTAGTCCCAACTACTAGGGAGGCTGAGGCAGGAGAATGGCGTGAACCTGGGAGGTGGAGCTTGCAGTGAGCCGAGATCGCGCCACCGCACTTCAGCCTGGGCGACAGAGCAAGACTCCGTCTCAAAAAAAAAAATAAATAAATAAAAAAAACTGGAAATAAAATCTTAATCCAATTTTAAATTCTATTCCCAAAAGCACACTTCATGTGCCTCTTCTTCTTTTCTTGTTTCCTCAGTATGGAAAGGAGTGAACTTACTGTGAGGCATCTGAAATATTTATTAAAGCCAGGCAGCAAGAAGAATAAACAAGGATTTTTCTATCTACAATCATCAATAAGAAGCTGAAAAGAATGTATCAGCTGCATCTATCTTGGATGGTCTTCTGACTAGTTGCTACTGTCCAAGGAAAGAGGCCATGGGGTCATCTGGCCTCTGACGTTTCATTCTATATGCCTCCATTTCCTCTTCAGTAGGTTCTCGAGTTTCATACATGCTATTGTAAGGCCGCTTCCTCTCATCAATCTGCATGGTCTCCTTGACATGAAGAAGGCGGGCCTCCTCTGCGTTCAGTGCCTATAGTGAGAGGAATAAAATGTGTATCACAGCTCTACATCAGATGTCTTTTCTTCAAAAGTGGCAGAGTACCAACACACCCCACTGAATATGAACTGCTCTATCAAAAACGCAGATTGCCTGAAAGAGCTTTGGAGTCAGCCCTTCTACTGTCAAGCTACAACTAATCACTATTTGGCTTATATGATATTTTTATACAGCACAAAACATTCTATAACATTTTAAATCAATGTTGAAGAAATTTTATTTAATAACAAAAATTAAATGAGGTTCACTTTACTTATACAAGCTCACAAATGATGCTTCTGGTAGAGACTACAATTCTGACTTTTCTCAAGGACTTGCCAAAACTTACAAACTACGGAGCTAGAAGGCAATTCTTTCCGGTCAACATGCCAATAACTCTAAAATGCTTTAGAATGCACATTTCTTCTGTCCATTAGTCATAATTACTAAATACTCCAAGAAGAAGGCAATACCTACACCTCACAATATCTCCATTAATATAACTTGAGCAAATCACTCAGACTCTAGGCTTGTTTCATCATTGTAAAAATGCATTTGGAGACAGGACTAGATCACAGGCCATTACAAATAAAGGCCTTGACAAATAATACTGGCAAGAACGGTGGCTCATGCCTGCAATCCCAGCACTTTGGGAGGATGAGGTGGGCAGTTCACCTGAGCTCAGAAGTTTGAGACCAGACTGGGCAACATGGTGAAATCCTGGCTCTATAAAAAAATACAGAAATTAGCTGCACATGGGGGCATGTGCCTGTAATACCGGCTACTTGGGACACTGAGGCAGAAGAATTGCTTGAGCCTATGAGGTGGAGCTTGCAGTGAGCTGCGGTCGTGCCACTGCACTCCAGCCTGGACAACAGAGCAAGACCCTGTCTCAAAAAAATAAAAACAACCCAAAAAACAAAGAATACTGCTACTTGTCACTTTTACTATTTAGACTTCACAAATTACCTTTTTCAATTTTTCATGCTTCTTTTCTTCATCATCACTATCTGAACTGCTCTTTCGATGCTTCTTCTTTTTCTTTTTCTTCTTCTTCTTTTCCTCTTTCAGTTTTTCTTGATGCAGCTGAAAGGGAGGATTGAAATGCAGTGTTATTAATGTGAAAACAAAGCTCAGGTGCACTACTTGGGCGGCTGAGGCACAAGAATCACTTGAACCCAGGAGGCGGAAGTTGCAGTGGGCCCAGACCGTGCACTGCGCTCGAGCCTGGGCGACAGAATGAGATTCTGTTTCAAAAGAAAAAAAAAAACTCAGGTGCAGGTTTTAAAGCCCTCCCTCCAGGACTTAAAAATTCAGGACAAATGATTATCAACTTACCTCCATGAGGGTTTGAGGTTTTTTCACAGATTCTTCCCCAGTTATCTCATTTATAATACACTCCTCAGAGTTCTGTGGGAAATACATGTAATTTGAGTTGAGTGTCATAGTTACTAATCATCTAAGAACAAGTTAAAATTTGAAACATGAGACAGCATGTTTTAGTTTGACTTAGGAGCTTCGGTTGTTTTATACCTTTAAGAACCAAAGACAATTACTTACAACAATCTCCTTCCCAGCTTCTCCAGTACAATAGGAATACTTGAAAAAAGAGTGACAGCATTTGTATCCCCATCGGCCTTCTTTCCAGTACGATCCCCAGATATGCTGCAGAGAGAGAAATTAAAAAGCTTAAAAAGGAAGCTGAAATTAGAAACTTCTGTATACTGTTGATAAGAGTATAAAATAATACAGCCCATTAAAGGTAATTTGGGAGAAAAATTATGGGGATTCAAGGCTGGCTAACAGGGAGAAGGTAGTCTGACCTGAAGTGTGAGAAGCAGGACCTGTAGTTACAAAACTCTTAAATTCTATTCCCAAAAGCCTATTAAAAAATTTAGGGTATCTGACTTCTCTTGAAAAACGTAGGAGTGGGAAATTCTGGGCCTATATAACCACTTGGCAATAATCAGCTGTTGCTGAACAGTGGATGCCCCATTAGATAGGGCTTGTGTTCTCCAGTTTGTACAATTTGCCTGGCTCACTTCACTCATGTATGATCACTGGTCTGGCTCCTATAGGGAGTTAGGTTTTTGACCCTCAACTAAGAGAGACAATTGTAGTTTGGTTACTTCAAGAGAACAGCAAAGGACAATATATGCTTTATGATGTTTACAATGCAATATGAATATACTACATTACTTATTAAATATTCTTGTCAAAATATTTAACTTATATCCAATCAAGCCGTTAGACCTAAATTCCTATTTATAAAACATACAGGGATAGAGAAACAAGTTATATAACACTACTAGGAACCAGTCAATACAGAATATGAGACAATTTACAAACTAATTGGCCTAATCTGTTAAATGGTCACCGTCATGAAAATGAAGAGATACACTCTAGAAAAGAGACATAATAACCGCATAACGATCAAAAGAAATTTGAAACGAATTCTGACTAAAACAAAAAATAGGTGTTAAAGGCATTTTTCTGTATATTTTGGAAAATGTGATTAATGACTAGATATTAGGTGATATAATGTTAATTTTCTGAAGTGCAATAATGTCGATGTGGTTATATAGAAGAAAATCCTCATTTTAAGGAGATATGTGATACAGCGTTTATGGATAAAATGTCATGATATACATAATTTCCAAATGTTTCAGTCAAATAAATATATACATAAACTATATGTGTGTATATATGTGTATTTTACATATATATGTAAAACTGTGCATATGCACACATACAACTAGACAAAGCATATAAGGCAATATGTTAAAAATTTCAGAATTTAGATGATGGGTATATAGATGAACATAGTATTCCTTCAAAATTTTTCTATTTTTGAAAAAATTCCATGAAACAGTTAAAATTTTTTTTTTTTTTTAAAGCATAGAGAATACAAATGGTTAGCTAATAAAGTTGTAGTGGAAAAATGCAATACAGAGCAAAACCAACAAGGACACAAAATTGTTCCAGTTTAGCACATACTGTGTGATTGTGGATCTTCACATCCTCCTCATACTTAGAGCAGGCAACAGCCCGCTCCTGTCCTTTGATGACTGTCCCATGTCTTGAGTACTCCACATAGTCTTCAGTCTGGGCTAAAAGCAATTCAGCTGGAGGGGCATCCAAATGTTCTTGGCCACCATACTAAAAGGACATTGGACATTATTCAATACATTTTACAACCTGATTTGCATTTAAATTTCCAGAAAACATTTATTTCTAATCAGAAAGAAAGGGAACATTCTTTACTGGGTTTTGTTATAGAAAGCACAGTAGGAAAAAAAAAGCCACAAATTTTTTCTGAGGCAAATAGAAGATGTCTCAGTTGCTATTCATCTGTTGAGTACAGTAAGTTACAAGATGGCCATAAATTCCTCTTATCTTTCTATACATGCCCTTTTGCCACAGGGCTTTGCTTTTCTTCCCATCAAGAGACGAAGTCTTTCTCTGTCCCTTGAATCTGGGCCTGACCATGTTATTTGCTTTGACCAATGAAAGTTGGCAAATGTGATGCAAGCAAAGGCACTTATGTACCACAGCACACTTTTTGCTGCCACTCTCTAGAACTCTGAGAATGCCATTTTAAAAAGCTGTGCTACCCTACTAGAGGATGAAAGACCACATGGGGTGGAGATGAGCTGTCCCAGAAGAGGTCCCCTTAGGACAATTAGCCTGTTAACTGCTAAACACAAGAGTGAGGCCATCTTAGTTCATCATCTAACCTCAGCTGAGCAAGCCCAGACCAGGAGACTTGGCCAACTGTGAGAAACAATAAATGTTTATTTTAAGCTATTAAGATTTGAGGTAGCTTGTTTTGCTGCAAAAGCTCATACAAAATTACCATCTGACTAAGAGAAAGGAAGAAAAGGACTATTCTTCATGGATTAAGAGGGCTCTCTTTGCATTATTTTCCAAATGTAAAACTAACGCTTATTAACTAGTAACTTCTCTTTAACAGAAGTTCTTCTTTAGCATTTTGGTCAAAATTACCTTTTCCAGGATGCTTTCTTTCTGCTGTTCTTTGAAATCTTCTTTTTTGACTTTGAAGGACTTATACAACAGCTCTAGCTTTGTAGGATCTGCCTGTAGATGCACTTCAGATCCCTTGTCATAGGCTTCCCATGCAAACACTAGAGTAATTCAAAACATCTTAGTGAGTTGGCAGCTGCATTACTGTATGCTTCTTGAAAACAAGCTTTAAACAATCCCAAACGTCTTATGAGCTGATATAAAATGGCTTGACATAGAGGAAACACTTACACTGTGTCTGAGCCATTGAAATGGTATCTCCTGTGTACCTAACAAAGTTATCTCCAGCATAACTCACTCTGTAAATACAAATAAAGAAAATGTTTCAGAGATTGATTTAAGGAAAATTAATTCGTAAAACTGAATCTGAATTAAAATGAACACCATCTATGGTCAGGTCAGAAAACAATTAACTTTCTCTCATCTTAAAATCTGTACATTTAACTTGATACTTACTCATCTGGATTCTTTCCTGCATTGGCATAAGGATTCTCTCTCATTGCTCTAGTTTTTGGATCATAGTAGGCAGAATTTGGATCTAAATTCCTCAAATACTAGAAGAAAAAAATATTTAAAGAATTAATGTTTACTCACAGCAAAAAGATTTCAGCAGACTAGTTGGAGGAGTTGAACATGATCAATTAAATAAATGTGTGTATACATTTCTGGGGTTCAGGTGAAGAGAAAAAACAGAATGAAACCTTATCTTAGAATGACTCTGACTATATTATCCATATGCTACCCAGAGTCGATAAAATTTATGCTGGGAAGACAAGTATTTTTCAAATATGTATGTTAAGCTGACAAGACTTACTTTTGCAATATCTTCTCGAATCCTGAGATTCCGGACAGTAATTCGTCTCTTGGAGTCAAAATTCTGTCCAGGCATGTCAATATCATCTGCATATTTATCTTCATCCTCATCTTCACTATTATGATCTTTTTCCTAAAAGAGGGAGAGGAAGGAAAAGTAAGAAGAAAAGAAAGCAGCATGTAGTTCTTTTTTTTCCCCTTTCCCTTTAACCAAACCCTTATTTACTTGTGTTCTTTAAAAGCTATTATTAGTGTTATTTATTATTAGCCATCAGAAATTTAAAAATTTAACATATACTCAGAGACAGCAAATATGTATTACCATCTGAGAATTTGGTTCCTCTTCTCCCCACTGGTGTTTTGGAGAATTCTGCATCATGAAAGAAGAAAAATCATTCATAATCTCATTCCACTTAATCCAATTAACTTTATTATTAAGATAATAAAGTATTATTATCTTATTATAAATAATATATTTATATAATAAAATATATTTTATTATATATTATATTTATATTATATATAATAAATATTTATTATATAATATATAATATGTAACTTATAAATAAGTATTAAGATAATAAAACTTAATTCTAACTGAACAAACTCTCACACTTCTCAGTTATAATGAGCGCAAAAATTCTGAATACAAGAGTGCCATTGTAAATAATTTTATTACACTGTCTATAAAGCCAGCAAATTTCAAGAGAATTTTAATTAAGATTATAACCACAAAATGGTAACAGAAAGATTAAGATGTCCAAAGTACCCAATAAATATTAATTTCTAAATGTGTTAGTCTTCAGACATACTGTATTCATTAAACGTTACTAGTTTCCTAGTAAGTCCAAAAAGAAAATATTACTGGGTTCATGTCTTCACAGCCAAAGTGAAGTTTGGGCAATGAAAAAAATCTACAAGTGACACAGTATTGTAATTTAAGGAGAGGCCAAACTCCTTGTCACAAGGATACACTTTTCTTCGCTAGCAATTGGTCAGAATACTTTCTAACTCCACAGAATGCCTACACTAACGTGGTATTTCATCATGTCCCTTCATAAAGGCTTCAAAGATTAAAAATACTTAAAAAAAAAGAGAATACATTATAGCATTAGTGAGGAGATGCAGAAACACGTGTATGTATATATACTATATAGATGGAAGCATAAATCTGCATGGCTTTTCTGAATGATGGCTAAGTGATATGTCATAAAAATTTTAGAAATACAAACTCACTGAAATACACTTCTAGAAGGTTATCCTAGTATCATGTCAATTATATAAAGATGTATAAGAATGTGATGTGCAGTGTTGTATATGTGCAATGTTTTTTCAAAACACTGGGAAAAAATCAAATTAATAGATCACTGGTTATATAATGTATTGCACTCCATGGAACACTGAACGGCCATTAAAAGTGATTCTATCCAAGGGGCAGAAAAGTATGTATCGTTTCCTAACTTTTTTGATTAAAAAAAGGGGAGGGGAGAGACAGATAGGATAAGGGTATATATTTGTATTTGTATTTATTCAAGACAGTCTGAAAGGAGCCACACACATACACAAAAGAGTTGGGGCGAGGGGAAGTTTAGTGTTAGGGTGGATAGAAACAGGGGTGGAGAGACTTCGCTGTGCATCTTCTTAAATTGTTTTAATTTTTGAGCCATGTGAATTCATACAAAAATAAATGATGCTATAGGTCTATAAATATAGACAGAAAACACGTTCCCACTGTACTCTATGTTGTTAAATTAAAAAAGAAGGTAATAAATGAATATATAAAGATGGATTCATGTAAGAAACAT
The DNA here is from genome assembly GCF_000001405.40 of Homo sapiens. Classification (NCBI taxonomy): domain Eukaryota; kingdom Metazoa; phylum Chordata; class Mammalia; order Primates; family Hominidae; genus Homo; species Homo sapiens. The sequence continues at coordinate 160,410,133 of NC_000005.10, forward strand.
TTTGTATTCTAGCACACATGAACAGGTATATGTGGACAAGAGAGACCTGGAAAGGCCTACTTCAAAATGTTCACAATTAACACAGGGATATTTTCTTTTTTATATTATGTTCTAATTTTTTTCCACTTAATATGTGTTACTTTCAAAATTAGAAATATAAATATTTTGTAAAAAATAATTTTTTTGAGTTCCCACTATTTGCTAGTTCACCAAAGACATTTACATACATTTCTATAGTGACAGCTAAGTCTCTAAATCTACTGTATGTGGTTCATCTTAATATCCAAGCATCCTGGGAGCGGGGAGAGATAGCATTAGGAGATATACCTAATGCTAAATGACGAGTTCATGGGTGCAGCACACCAACATGGCACATGTATACATACGTAACAAACCTGCACGTTGTGCACATGTACCCTAAAACTTAAAGTATATAAAAAAAAAATAATCCAAGCATCCAAGTGGGCAAAAATCATTAGCCCCTTACATACATTAAGTATCCTTACTGGGGAAATAAATTACATTACGTTTACAACAAACAACAGAGAATACATTAGAACAAAAGAAACAGGCCCTTTTTCTTTTCCCAAAGTTAGTAATAAATAAAAATAATCACAACAATAATAGCTACTAATTACCCAGTGTTTACTATGTGATATGTATATAAGCTTCCTGGGGGTAGGTGTTATCATTTCTATTTCAGACATACTAAACTGCAGCTCAGAGAGGCAAATTCACTTTTTTTTTTTTTTGAGACGGAGTCTCACTCTGTCGCCCAGGCTGGAGTGCAGCGGCATGATCTTGGCTCACTGCAAGCTCTGCCTCCTGGGTTCACCCATTCTCCTGCCTCAGCCTCCCGAGTAGCTGGGACTACAGGCGCCCGCCACCGCGACTGGCTAATTTTTTGTATTTTTTAGTAGAGACGGGGTTTCACCGTGTTAGCCAGGATGGTCTCGATCTCCTGACCTTGGGATCCACCCGCCTTGGCCTCCCAAAGTGCTCGGATTATAGGCGTCAGCCACCGCGCCCGGCCGGCAAATTCACTTTTCTAAGAGCATGTATGTCTCATGGAGCAGAGATGGATTTTGTTATTGATTGACTGATTGACTGATTGATTGAGATAGAGTCTCGCTCTGTCATCCAAGCTAGAGCACAGTGACGTGATCTCGGCTCACTGCAACCTCTGCCTCCTGGGTTCAAGCGATTCTCCCGAGTAGCTGGGACTACAGGTGCTCGCCACCACACCCAGCTAATTTTTGTATTTTTAGTAAAGATGAGGTTTCACCATGTTAGCCAGGCTAGTCTCGAACTCCTGACCTCAGATGATCCACCTGCCTCGGCCTCCCAAAGTGCTGGGATTACAGGTGTGAGCCATTGTGCTCGGCCAGAGATGGATTTTAAACACCTATCTGGTAACTTACAATGTTAACTTGCCTGGTAGGTTACCTTAGTAACTCGGTAACTGCTTACTTGGTAATTATTTCAAGTTCTGTTTGCTTTGTTACTTATACATGGTTTAGAGTCCCTTTTAGAAATTTAAACTAAAAAACTATAAATGTTTACTATTTATTTGTGCCTAGATTTGTTAAAAAGAAACTTGACAACTCTAATATGCATAATATATTTACTCTATTGACAAGGATTTTTAAAAAAGAAAAAAAAACTGGCTGCAATAGACCTTTCATTCATATAAAAAATGTTTTGCCCAGTTATATAACTAATACATATTCATTGTGGGAAATGCAGAAAATACTAAAGAAATAGAAAGAAAAATTCATAAATTCTACATTAAATAAAAACTAGTGTTCTGGTCTTTTTTTCTGTGTGATAATATTATACTATCTTTTCATGTATTATTCAAATACAAGTGTTAACCAGTGTTGTTAATGAAGTCTTGAGAAATGCCATTTTAAGAACTACACAGCATTACACCATGCAGATGCACTTAACCAATTCCCTGTTCCTGGACATTTAAGCTATTCCAATTTCTTTACTATTGTGAAAAATGCTGTACTATCTTTATGCATCATGATTTTTCTAAACTCTAGAAAATTCTTTAGGATGGATAGCTTTAATAATTTAACTTGAAAAAGTAAATGTTTGTGTGTGTCTAAATATAAATAGTGGCAATATTGTTCCCAAACTGACTGCATCAATTTATATTACTATGAACTGTATACAAAGTATCAGTTTTATTTTTCCCCCAATAGCATTTCTCTCTTCCTAACTGAAGAGCTATAAAATGAATTCTTGTTTCAATTTTCATTTCTTTGTTTAAAAGAAATAAAACCTTTTTATTGATCATTTTCATTACTTACAGCCTGTTCCACTAATTTTCCTGAGGCTAATTCCTCTTGGAGTTTCTGGGCTTTCAATGTTCGTTTTGCCTTTAAAAAAAAAAAAAAGAAAGAAAGAAAGAAAAAGTAAACATTTAAATTTTACTTACAACATTCAAGTCACCACCTAAATTTTTATATATTTAAAATGAATAACTTTAAATTAATTTATTTCAGAAAAGGTCACTGAACAAACCTATCTCTTTGGGATTCCTTGTAGCCCTAGACCTATTACTCTATAAAGAGCAGGAGTTACACAGTGTTTGAACCAGGCATTAATGTAAACTGAGCCAAATGGCATCAGTAGTAAATTGCAGGGAGCAAGCCCTGACAAAAACAAGCAGTTGCCACAGAACTCTAGATGACTGACTCTTACCAGGCAGGCGTGGGGTTACCATATATTACAATATTCAAGAAAAGATGAAATCCAGATTTTTATATGAAATCTTATAATTTTAAAATGATACCTCTAATTAAAAAAAAAAGGCAGTGTGACTATGACTTCAAAGGAATAAGGGTGAATAGGTCAAATCATAACAGTAAAAACTGAAGTTGGGTTAAAATAAAATAAAATTTTCTGAAACAAATTATCCATTCCCTTTCTACTACTCCCAAATGCTATGGGAGGCAACTATAAAATAGGTTCATGGGCAAGCTATAGCTTGGGGCCATACATTTCTAACCTCACAAAACCAAAAGCTTTGGACACTAATCTGTCTTCATGCTTCCAATATCTTTTGCTACCTAAGTCAGGGAGTAAAGGACCAATATAAGAATCAAATAAGAAGAAACTGCTGGCAAGTATGGCTAGCACACTATTTCCTTTACTCAATATTACAATTATAAAGGTAGCCTATACAGTAGTACTACTATTATAAAAATGCTACCATTTTTAAAGTGCTTCAAGATTTGAAAAGTAGAGCTGCTAGAGATACAGCAAAAGGACGATTCTTTAAAAACCCCAGGAAAGCAGGGAATTTTGCTCACCAAATCAACTTTGGCATACTCTTCAACAATTTTCATGTGTTCTTCTGGATTGTAGCCATTCCACCGATCCCTCTTCCCATCATAGTCAAACATCAGTTGAGGCTGGACATGTTCATCTGGAGCTATATTAGTACCTGTAAATTTGGCTCCAACTCGCCTAGGTCTCTAAAAACAGAGTAAGATTTAATCTTTTCCTAAGTTTTTATGGCCCAAAGGAAAACTTCATACAACTTTTACAGAGTGGGCACTTTACGATCTATTCAATTTACAGTTAGTCTTACAGTAGAAAATTTTGTTGGTGTTGAACCAATTCCACTGAAACTAATTTTTATTTAACTTGTACCTAAATATAGGTGATTTCAGAAAAAGAGAAGTTAGCTCTCTGACAAAGAAAAAAGAAAGACTCTGACAACGGTTTTCAAAATTTTCAAAGGTGAACTTACCTCAAAGCAGTCTTTCTTTTTGTGTGTCATGGCCCCACAATTTTCACATGCTCCTTTGCGGTACTTAGTAATTATGGAATTCTATAAATATATATAAAGAAAAACAAAAATGTCTTAACCACGTAAGTTAGAAATAACTTTGACTCTCATTACTATTTTGTCTAGGGAAATGATTTCTTTGTTAAAAGGAAAATAAGTTAGAGTCTCCACACATTTATAAATGTGAAACTTTAAAGAGTTCAGGAGTGTAAAATTTATATAAGAAACACAAAGATAAAATAGTAATGCACTGTGAATTTCAATACCAGATAAAGGGTTTTATTATCTGTTTCTACTTTAAATAGTATTGCATTAAAAATTCTTACATTAAGTTCTTAAACTCTCCATATCCATGAAGATGTATACAGGTTGCCTACATACCTCTTTTACACCCCTCTTGTACCATTCTCCAGATGAGCTGAACTGCTTTTGTTTTTCTGGTTGTGGTCTCTGGTGTTTTAAAGTAGGTCTTTTTGAAGGATCAATATACCATGGCACTGAAGAAATATACTGAGGAATATGGGGGTTGATGTCTCTGTAATTAAAGTAAAAAAAAAAAAAATTTAAGGATAAAATTGGAAAATAATCAGTATTACAATTACAAAGGTAGCTTATACAAAATCTAAGAACAGAAATATTGCAGTGGTAGGGGGAAGAGAACAAGGTTGCTATCTCTATACTATAATAAAGAATAATTAAAAATAAAGAAGTAATTTATTTTAGAGTGAAAATATTTCCAACTAAGAAACTAAGAATAGTGATATAACTGAAGGGGGACAAGAGAGGAAGGAAAATAGAGATGTGTGTTAGTAATCTAAATCTTCTATCACAAGAAGTTTTGGTTCAAATAATGTCTATAGTCAATTAATTAAAATAATTGTGTAGGTATTATTATCTAGAGATGTGACGGTAACAACCAGAAAAACTCAAAATAGAAAGATTTCATAGCAGTCACTTCTGTAGAGCAGGCCAGGGGTGGGAACGGTAAAAAAGGACTGTTGCTATTCATTATAAGCCCTTCAACATAATTTCATTATTAAACCATATGCATATGAGTTTGATAAAATAAAAAACAAAAATGACATAAATGAAGAGAGGTTCCTCTCAAAGGATGAAAAATTAATAAACTAAGTAGACATGAATTTGAATTCTGAATGAATGGATCATACAAAAAATTAAGTACTTACTTTCCTTCTTCATCAACTTCTGCAGGAGCATTGCCCAATTTTCGCTGTTCTTCTAGCTCCTTCTTCTTTCTCCAGTCCTCTCTGGTCATCTTCTTTGGTTCTTCCAAACTCATTTCTTTGGACCCCGATAGGGGTGCAGCATTAACTGCATCTACAACTGTGGCTGACATGGTTATCTGGCCTCCTCTAGGAAAAGAAGTGAAACTTACAGTAAAAAGTAGGCCTTCATGAATTCACTCAAACTACCAAAAATACATCCTAATAATATATACTGTTTCATATGTTTTTTTTTCTCCTATATTATGTGTAAGGAAGGGTCTCTTCCCCCTCCTCAAGGTCTCTACATACTGTTAGCACTGTTTCTCTCTCAACTCCAATTTACAAATGGAGAGAGACACACACGTGTATTTAAAATTTCACAGGACTCTTTTCTCATATCCATCCTTAATCCCTCTTTCTGTGTATGTCTCAAACTTTTCTAACACAGTAACTCTTAATGAGAGAAAAGAGGGTCCTATCTCTGTACCCCTTCAAGAATGAATATCTCAAGAGTTATCTATATTCACTGCCTCCATTTCCTCACCTTCTATTTTCATCCTCACTCACTCTAACTTAGCCCTCCATTCCCTACCATTCTAAAGAAAAGAGTTACATCATTAAGTCATCAAGGACCATTGTGCTAAATCCAATGGACATTTTTCAGCTCTGTTCCTTCCCTTTTTATATATTATGTCTTGACTTCCCTGACACTACATTCTCTTGGTTTTTCTTTTTCTTTTTTTTTTAGAGACAGAGTCTCGCTCTGTTGCCCAGGCTGGAGTGCAGTGGCATGATCTCAGCTCACTGCAACCTCCGCCTCCCAGGTTCAAGCGATTCTCCTGCCTCAGTCTCCCGAGTAGCTCGATTACAGGTGCCCGCCACCATGCCCGGCTAATTTTTTCGTATTTTTTGTAGTGACAGGATTTCACCACACTGGCCAGGCTGCTCTCAAACTCCTGACCCCAGGCCATCTGCCCACCTTGGCCTCCCAAAGTGCTGGGATTACAGGCGTGAGCCACTGTGCCTGGCCCTCTTGGTTTTTCTTGTACCTCTCTTGTCATCAAATTTTGCCCAGTTATTTAATGTTGGATTCCTCAAGGCTCAGTCAGCACCTTTTAAGCCACTCTAAACTCCCACTAATGGATAAGCTCATTTACTTCCAAGGCTTCAATGGTCACAATACAACACTGCTGGCTCTCCAACTTATTTTTCTATAAAATAAAAAATAATAAAGGAACAACGTATTTTTCTATTCAAGACTTTTTATCTGAGCTTCAGATACATATATCCAATTGCTTACTTGACATCTCCACTTAGAGGCCAGAGGCATTTAAACTCAATACGTCTTAATTCAATCTCATGATCTTCCCTCTGAAATCTAATCTCCTACTCTTCCCTATCTTAATGAAAGACAACACCATCCGTCCCTTTACATTAAGTGCTTCAGCTTATCCCTACATCTATCTCATCACTAAGAACAGTTATTTTCACCTTTTGAGTATCATTCAAATGCATCTACTTCTTTCCATTCTTACTGCTACCACCCTAGTGTAAGTTATTACTTTTTCCTACTTACTGGACTCTTCTGATTCCCTCCAATCAATTCTCCACATTGCAGTGTTAATTTTTCAAAACACAAATCTGATCATATCATGTCTGACATGGTTTGGCTCTGTGTCCCCAGCCAAATCTCATCTTGAATTGTACTCCTGTAATTCCCAAGTGTTGTGGGAGAGACCGGGTGAGAGATCACTGAATCATGGCGGCAGTTTCTCCCATACTGTTCTCCTGGTAATGAATAAGTTTCACGAGATCTCATGGTTTGATAAAGGGAAACCCGTTTTGCTTGGCTCTCATTCTCTATTGTTGCCGCCATGTGAGAGGTACCTTTCACCATGTTTGTGAGGCCTCCCCAGCCACGTGGAACTGTTAAGTCCAACAAACTTACTTCTTTAGTAAATTGGCAGGTCTGGGCTATGTCTTCATTGGCAATGTGAAAACAGATTAATACAATGTCCTACTGCCCAAGCTTAAAATCCTCCAATGCAGTACCGTCCAAAAATTCAATACAGCACCATCTAAGAGAAATACAATGCTAGTCCCACATGTAATTTTATGTTTTCCAGTAGTCACATTAAAAAAGTAAAAATAAACAGGTAAAATTACTTTTACAAGATTTTATTTAATGTAATATATCCAACATATTATAATTGCAAATTTGAATTAGAAAAAAAACAACTCTGTCTTTAAAAGTTGATATGGGTTTTACACTTATTTAAACTAATCACATTTCCAGTCTCAATAACCACAAGTGGCTAATAACTATCATAACGAATAGTGACACCTGGGTGCGATGGTTCACACCTGTAATCCCAGCACTTTGGGAGGCCGAGGCGGGCGGATCACCTGAGGTAAGGAGTTTGAGACCAGCCTGGCCAACCTGGCGAAACCCCGTCGCTACTAAGCATATACAAAAAAATCAGCCAGGCGTGGTGGCGTGCACCTGTAATCCTAGCTACTCGGGAGGCTGAGACAGGAGAATCACCTGAACCCAGGAGGCCGATATTGCAGTGAGCTGATATTGCGTCACTGCACTCCAGCCTGGGCGACAGAGCTAGACTACGTCTCAAAAAAAAAAAAAAAAAAATGACGCTCCAAAGGATTTTATCATTCGTACTCTAAAAACTGACATCTTTTTAACACACCTACACGGTCCACCATGGTCTGGCACCTGCCTACCTTCCAGCCTCACCATTACAACTATCCCCGCTTCCTTCTCTACTAACTACATAGACCTTCTTGTAGTTCCTCTAGTTCCTCTAACAAACCGTGCTCCCTGTAGACACTGGGCCTTTACACAAGCTCTTTCCCAGTGGAAAGTGCTCAATGCCTGGGGGTCTACGATGCTTCTCAAAGGTGTTCTCTTCTATGTCTGACCTATAGAAAACCTCCACATATATTTGTGTAACATATAAACTGATGGCCTAAATATACTGCGAAGAGAAGCACAACAACGGTAAATTTAATCTTTATTAAAACAGCTACCATTTCTCGAGCCTACCGTGTATCACCTCATCTAATCTTCACAATAAGCCCAGTAGATAGGTCTGATGAACACCATTTTACAGTGAAGAAACAGGTTCTGAGAGGTAAGATCCTCAGCCAAGAACACATTGTAGTAAGAAATAAGGACTTCAAACACAACTCTGACTCCAAAGTCAGTTCTCTAAACCAGTATGTTATACTTGTCCACAGAACATTGGCTTCTGGGCCTAAAATATTAAAAACTAAAACTGAATAAAGTATTATAGTCACCAAGTTGTACGCACTAGTTTCCGTCGCTGTGGAGGGACCTATTTTCTCCAACTAAAAACAGTAATAGCTCCCACTTACTGAGGGCTTACGTAAGACACTGTTTAGCGCTTTACTTACATAGATGTTTTCATTTATACCCGCATGATACCCCACTGAAGTCGGATCATCTCGACTTAACAGGAAAAACTGAAGCTCAAGTAAATTTTTCTGGCGAGGAAATACAGTCTGTCAATTTGGGTACTGGAAGCAGCTTTCCCTGCTCGCAGTCCGGGGATTGCTCAAGGTCTTCGAGGCACCGCCACAAAGGCGACACTCTCATAGTTATCCCGACTGTTTCCCTGAAGACGCAGGCCTGGCCTGGCAGGGCACGAGTGCCATGAATGGGTCTCAGGACAGTGGCTTTTCGGTCCCCCGTCCTCGCTCCCTCAACACCTGAGGGCTCATCACCCCCGTGAAGATATATCCAATAATTAGGAGCCTTCGACTCATTTTCTCAGGTTCCCCAACTCCCCGTCGCCCGCAAGTTCTAACAATATTTTCTTACCCAGCCCCGCCGCAGCTAGCCCCAAGTCCATCCGACAGAATCCAAGCCAATCTCGTAATGTTTACTTCCGGCTTTTCGCCTAATTCCGGCGGCCACTGCGGTAACTTCCGGATGACCGGCACATGCGCACTAATTTCCTGGCGGGGCCGGGGGCGGAGGGGGGCCCTCCAGTGCTCCTGCGCCGTGGGAAACGCGAGAACTCTAGCTGCTGCGTATCGCGCTATTTACCCGGCTTGTGGGGAGTTTCAAGTTGGGCGGCTACTTTTTGGCTTCTATTTAGGAGCTTTCTTTTAGAATCGGAGAATTTTAGGAAGTTAAAAAAAAAAAAAAAAGACCAGAACAGACAAGAGCTTAAGCCTCACCAGGGGACTATGAAATGAATGGGGAAGTTGGTGACGTATCAGCTTAAAAAAAAAAAAAAAGCAGTTAAACTTGGCACTAATTAGTAGCCAGGCTGTGTAACATGCTGGGGATTTGGTGAACAGTGTCTTCCCTCAGATTTACATCAGAGTGCGAAAGACACCGAAACAACTATTCAGATTTAGCAGCTGTGAAAAGTTGCTATGAAAAGAATACCAGGTGCTGTGAGAACATAAGGCATGTTATCATTAGAAAAAAATACGACAATTTCCATTTTGGAGAAACAGTATCTATGCTATCCCATCCCTTCTTTAAAAGTATACATGTGAAATAAAACACTGGAAAATAAACTAATTTTCGTGGTAGAATTTCTTGTGATTTTTTTTTTTCTTTGTGCTTTCTATTCTGGTTGTTCTCCCCCTCCCCCCCATAACGTGTATCCTTTTTGAATGTAAAAGTAAAAGTAGCTACCATTCCTGCCTCAATAAAATAGCCCAACATAATAGAATCTATTTTTTTCGTATTAAGAATTTGCAATACCTGGAGTTTAGGAACATAAATATTAATTTTGCTTTTACAGGGCAGTAGATGAAGAAACAGTGTCAGAGACTAGCGTGAAAGTGAATAGAGTCTATGAATCACTCAGGCTTTGTTTTTTTCCACTTAAAAATATTCCTGAAATTTGCTTAGGAGTGTTAAGGCCTAATTAGCCAAAACCACCAGGAGAGCGCATCTCGAAGAGGAATCAGAAAGCGCAGGACAAGACAGTTGAATCTTTTCTAAGACTTGAGGTCCCTCTGGAGGGTTCTGAGGAAGGTCTAGGAAAGCCGGGATTGGTTCTGGATGGGTTGCTGTTTGTAAAGAAGGATTGGGAGAAACTGATTAGGGACTAAGTGCTGTTATGAGTGAGGGTGGTTTAGCAATTGAGTATTTCCAGTAATAGGAATAGCAAAGCTGGTCTGAGGGCATCATTAGTAAGAAAACAGTGGTTATTCAGAGAGGGTGGTTATGGTTTACAGCTGCTGCATGACCTTAGGAGAAACAATGCTTTCTGTTGGTGAAAAAAAGAAGACATCCTAAGACAAACCTTGCACCTCAAAACCTCTGTAGATAGAGAATCCCCACTTGGAAGCTATAGGTGTTGTGCAGATTTAGTCTTAAAAATTAACACTTTGAGTGCTGATAATATAATATGATGATGTAAAATTTAGGAGATACAGGAGGAAATAAAGGATGGGGATAAAGGAAAAAGAACAGTGAAGGGACAATAAAGGTATGCATATTTTTCTGTCTTTCCTCTTTTCTTCACCTTAAGTTAGGCTCTTTTCTTATAACCTAGTATAATGTCCAGCATTTAATAGGTATTCAATAAATATTTGTGAATGAATGAATCATTCAATCAATATTGGTCCTGAAATGCCAGGGAAAAAGAGATGATGAACTGGCATATATTGAGAACCATGTCTATGTCAGGTATAGTGTCAAGCCTTTCGTGAAAGAGTAATATGGAATCAACTCCTCTCTCTCAGCTGATCTGCAGCTTAAAATGCATATATGGTGAACTGTGGGAAGCGGAGTTTGAATGACACAGGTCAGCCTTATGTTTTAATTTATATCTTCATCTTGTAGTTGTTCAATGTATTCCATTTTACTATAGAAACAGGAAAAGGTCGTCAACTTTTTCAAGCAAAATTTCTTTTCATATCTGGGAAATTGGAATTCCTTTTTTATATCTTTATTATCTCTCTGATATTCTCTTGCTCCCTGGCCAAGCCCTTCCAGGCAACTTTGGTTAATATATTATTGAGATGTTAGAGGTTTAAAATAAATCACTATCAAAGGATAGAATTTTAAGGGAAGACTAAATTATGTATTCATTAGAATCATAATTTTGTTCCTAAGACAGATTCGTGATGGTATAATAGAAACAGTGTCTTAGCCTGAAGTATTGAGGATAGTCCTAAGATTAGGGAACGATCAGTTCGTTCTTAATCATAAGCATAAGAGAATGACTCAAACGCTGCTGTTTGATCTACCTGTACTTACATTTCTTCTTAATTTTAAATTCTTCTCTGCTAGTATTCTTTAGACCCAACATTGGTTGTTTCCCCTATTTCTTCAATATTTCTATTTATTTTCCATCCTTTTTACAGGGTCATCTAAATAAAAATATCTTAAAGCAATAAACCATTGTTATTGAGTCAGTACCTCAGTCCATGCAGCTTAATAATATGGAGAGCAAAAAAAAAAAGCCTCTCGATTTATTTTTTAATATTACACGATCCTAGTTTTTTCTTCCCAGAAAACGTGCCACAAAGTTTGCAAGAAAGAGCTTTTGGGGCGGAGCCCTGGCTGCTTAGGTCCTTTCCATTGGTTCTACTTGGTGACCACGCCCACGGCCCCGCCTCCTGGGCGGAAGAGCCAATTGGGCCGCGAGTTGTGGTTTAAACCAGGAGTGCGCCGCGTCCGTTCACCGCGGCCTCAGATGAATGCGGCTGTTAAGACCTGCGTGAGTGAATGGGAGGGTCGCGGGTGGTTAGTTGAGCCGGCTCCGGCGGGGAAGGAGGCGGGCTGCGGCTGCGGCTGGGGCTGAAGCTGGGGCTGGGGTTGGGGGACTGCCCGGGGCTTAGATGGCTCCGAGCCCGTTTGAGCGTGGTCTCGGACTGCTAACTGGACCAACGGCAACTGTCTGATGAGTGCCAGCCCCAAACCGCGCGCTGCTCGGGACCTTAGAGCCTCTGACTCAGGCTGGAAGATTTGAGAGCTGGATTAAGTACTTGTTGGCTCACGCCCGTGACTGTTCCGCTGTTTAGCTCTTGTTTTTTGTGTGGACACTCCTAGGATAGAAAGTTTGGTATGTTGCTATACCTTTGCTTCTCCCACCTTCCCCAATATCTAATATGTATTTCTCATTCTTAGAATAATCCAGAATGGCTACTCTGATCTATGTTGATAAGGAAAATGGAGAACCAGGCACCCGTGTGGTTGCTAAGGATGGGCTGAAGCTGGGGTCTGGACCTTGTAAGTATACAAGGCTGCAGTCGGATACACTGGTATTGTGGACGTGGCCTGGAGCTGGACGAGACATTTAGTGTACTTTTTGGGCAATTGGAGTCGTTTGTTATTGGTCCTTTTTCATTTTTAATATCTTAATGAGATGATTTAAGGAAGTTACTGAATCTCTGCTATTAGGCCTATCATAGCCATGCCACTACCAAAAGTGGGGGGTGGGTTTGGGGGTGAGAGGTCAAGTTTATATACACAGTATTTAAGTTGTACAGGTATTTTGCTGCTGGAATATTCTTATGGTAAGACTTTTTCTTCAGCAATCAAAGCCTTAGATGGGAGATCTCAAGTTTCAACACCACGTTTTGGCAAAACGTTCGATGCCCCACCAGCCTTACCTAAAGCTACTAGAAAGGCTTTGGGAACTGTCAACAGAGCTACAGAAAAGTCTGTAAAGACCAAGGGACCCCTCAAACAAAAACAGCCAAGCTTTTCTGCCAAAAAGGTAAGTGTTGGCTATAAAGACACTGTTTAAACACTTAAGCACTTTTGACTCTTAAAATGACTATTGGCATCATCCTACGTAGCTTTCTTCCCTCTGAGTAGAAGGGAAATAGAGGTTAGCAAGCAGAGTAGTGGAGGAGACTCAGATTGTCCTTGTGGACTTCTTGGTACCTTGAGATTGGAAATCTCAGATGCAGCTAATGCATATTTTTGCCTCATGCATATTTTTGCCTCACCTGTCCTTCACTAGTGTCGTGAAACTGGTTGGTGGTGTCTACTTACAGATACATACTGAGAGAGAGGGTGCCTTAAGAGAAACTGGTTGGTGGTATCCACTTACAGATACATACTGAGAGAGAGGGTGCCTTAAGAGGTTCTGTTGCTGCTTTAATAGCACAGGTGCTGCCATTCTCTTAGCCTTCCAGGGCAAGCAGCAGCTTGTTAGGTGACAATTTGCTAGCATGTTGATCTTCGTGTGAGTGTGAGTCACAAGCTACAGGTCTGTGTATCCCAGATGAGAGGACTTTGCTGTGAAAGATGACATTAGCATGTGGATTAACACTTTATTTGAATAACTGTTTTGTTTAATTTGCATTAGGAAACAACTAGTGAATTACATATAGTGCAACTTAGGACAAAGATGTCTTCTTTAAAAAGTGAATTAACTTAAAGAAAAATATTAAATACAGGAATTGCAAAGACATGGCAAAAACAATGAGACACAGAACCGAAGTGTGAGAACCCCATAGGGAATTCTAGGCATGCATATGTGAGGTGAGATAAAGCAGGAACATGCCGGCTTCCATTGTAGCACCCTTCTATAGTAGACTGTAGTAGACCTGTCAACTCCAGACTAGAAGATTGCCCATGGTGTTTATTCTAAAGTCCTTGACAGTGTCTTGCTGCCTCTTACTCAGTGTGTGTATTTGAGGAACACAAACTTGTTTTTAATATTAACCAAGCAAATAATTTAAGGTAACACTTGTGGAAAAAATCACACTCCTATAAGCCAAAAATGGCTTTGATGATTAGCTACTATCCTGGGTGATTCATGCCCATTTTCTCCTCTGTTAGGTTGAATAATTGCATTGATTAGCTCTGAATTAACTGCATTCTTGATCACTTATGCTGACAGGTGCTGGTACTTAAATTTCAGATTTTAACTTTTGAGTCATGCTACTCGAATTACATTTGAATCATATTATTTGAAGTATATTTAGGTGCAATTATGAAAACTAAGGATTATGGCTTCTTAGAAGGCAGCATGAAATTGACAAATTTAAAAACTAATCAGCTAATAAGACTTCCACTGTCACTAACCCATATTTTCTTTGGCTGTTCTAGATGACTGAGAAGACTGTTAAAGCAAAAAGCTCTGTTCCTGCCTCAGATGATGCCTATCCAGAAATAGAAAAATTCTTTCCCTTCAATCCTCTAGGTAGTATCTTTTGCAATTGCGAAAAGTGCTTTTGGCCTTTAGTTTCTTAGTATTCAGCTCAGCTGTAACTTGTTATGAATATAATATATGACCAAAAACTATGATGAGACTGTCTGAATCTGGGTTGCTTTGGACAAGTGTACTTGTTGATGGAATTATTTGCAAGGTATCATCTTAGGTCAGGAGGGGAATAGGAACAAAGATGTAGAAGACATTGTTCCTGTCTGTAAAAGCTTATCACCTAGAGGAGGTAAGATGTATTCATGAACATTGAATAAGTCCCATTGTGGACAGTCTTTCTCACAAGGCTTTTAGAAGTGAGCTTTATGTCAAGTTGAGCAATGCCTGAGAGTAATTTGGTAGGATTATTTCTTTGGTTTGAAAAATCTACATAAGACAGTGAAGACATGTTTTTCAAATTTCTTCAACCTGCTACATGTATCTGAAGTATTTTCTGTTTTGGAAACAGCTTTTCAAGCTTTAATTTACTCAACCATTTCAGGAGAAGCTACTGTGTGTCAGGCATCCTTAGGTCCTGGACACACTGTTTAACAAGATGGGCCCTGCCTATGGGAGCCCATAATTTGAAGGGAAAGTCAGATGCTGGACAAGTCATCTCACTGTGAGTGAGCCAGAAAAAACAGCATTGTAGGTCAAAGTGGTGCAAAGATCGTGAGGTAGGAAAAGAGACTAAAGTGGTTCTAGGAAAAATACAGGCAGGGTAAAGGAGGATACAGGTGAGGTGTGGGATCAGATCAGGGAGGGCCTTACGGATTTCTGAGCTGGATCTTTTACCCTTTTATTTAGCCAAAGAGGTCATGTAGTTATTTTACTAATTTGCATTCAGATTGTTCTGGCTTTTAGAAACTACAAACATTTCTATGATTAGTATTCTTGAAATGATCTTGTTGTAAGTTTGTGAGTACATCTGGAGGGAAACTTTGAGAAGGATTGCTGAGTTCAAGGGCTTGTGTGATTAAGTTTTAAAATTATAAAATGTGGTGCATCCGTGCTAATAATTACCATTCAGCCATTGAGGAAAATGAGGTAGATTTATGCATATTGATGAAGAATGAAGACCACAATATCCTGTGTTACAGGAAAGAGATATTGCTAAGTGGCCCTTCAAAATAGTGTAAATTGTTAAATCCGTCTACAGTGGATGAAGATGTCTGCTTCCTCCAGGTTCACTATCAATGTTTTAAAACTCTAATCTTTATCAGAAAAGAAATATTTCATTGTTTTAAATTTGTTGTGTGTATGGTGAACATATTTGATTATTGGCCACTTACAGTTTTTCTTTTTTTATTAACTTCCGGTTTGTGTTTTTCTTTGATTAAAGAGCTCTTTGTAGATAAAATTAGCTCCCCTTATATTGCAAACTTCTTTCCTCTGGAGTCTTCTGTCTATGGTTTCCTTTACAATTCAGTGGTTTTAAGTTAAATAGTCACATATCATTCAATTCCTTTTTGACTTCTGGGTTTTACCAGGCTTGTAAAAGAGCAGACTAATTCTTGAGTACTTAGGCTTTAGAGAACTTTCACACCTACGGACAAAGATAAGGAAAACCATGATTTTCTAATCTTTTGAGAAAACAGCTCCTTGAAGAAAATTCAGTGTTAAATCCTACTTTTGTTACTGTACAGAAAAATCACTTTTTAAAAATAATTGCTAAGAAGTAAGGTACTTGGATTTTAAGAATGAATGTTACCTAACACAATGGTTCTCCATTTTTTTTTGTTTTGTTTTAAAGACCCTTTTACACTCTTAGAAATTATTGAAGACCACTTTTGCTTGTGTGATCTGCTCTTTTCTGTATTAGAAATTAAGACTGAGAAACTTAAGATATTTATTCACTAAGTAATCACATTACATTAATGTAAATTTTTTTTTAACATAAAATATTTTTTGTTCTGGAAAAGTTTGGAGAAGAATGGCATGGTTTATATTTTTGAAAATTTGCTTTATTTGGCTTAATACAAGACAACTGGATTCTTATCAAATTCTATATTCACTCTTACATCTGTTAAAATATACGAAGAAAACCTGGCTTCACACAGATACGTTTTTAATAGTCTTTTCAGATAAGTGTGGATAGGTTTTTTTGCCACTACACTAAAACCCACAAGTGGCTGTTTCTGAATATAAAATTGCAATGTGGAATCTGAAACCGTATCAATGAGCATTTTGTATCTTGACAGTAAAATCCATTGGTCTATTTTGCACTTGGAATGTATCTTATATTCTTGCATCTATCTTGCATTGACCATTCAGAAATACTGGTTCACTGAGATATGTAGATACCCACATGTTGAGATGCTTTATTATACAATATCAAAAGCACATTAATACCACAACTGATCTCATCAGAAAAGTCTAAGCACCTGTCAAGCTAATGACTGCAGATAAGTTTTCCAAAATTCCTTTTTTTGGCCAGATGCAGTGGCTCACGCCTGTAATCCCAGCACTTTGGGAGGCAAGGCGGGCGGATCACCTGAGGTCACGAGTTCAAGACCAGCCTGGCCAACATGGTGAAACCCCGTCTGTACTAAAAATACAAAAATTATCCGGGTGTGGTGGGCGCACCTGTAATCCCAGCTGCTTGGGAGACTGAGGCAGGAGAATCGCTTGAACCCAGGAGGCAGAGGTTGCAGTGAACGGAGATTGTGCCACTGCACTGCAGCCTAGGTGAAAGAGTGAGACTCTGTCTCAAAAAAAAAATATTCATTTTTTAATTTTTGACAAAATTTTAACGTTTTATATTCTGCCATTGGCAACAAAGGCTGTCAGTTTTCCTTGAGGTGATAGACTTCTTTCATTCCTTTAAGAAAAAGTGTGACAAGCACCCAGGTCTGAGTGACCATGGGATTTCTTGCAGTTGTTAATTCAAGTAAAAACAGTATTCCAGGAAAATGTTCTCTAGTTTTAGCTTGCAACTCATATAGTTGCACAAATCCTTTTAATCGTATTTTGGTGTACAGTGGAAGTGCTTTATGGCATACTTCTCATTTTATCACACAGAACATTAAAAAGACATCTCAAGGATGGAGAGCTAATAAAATTAATACTTTCTACTGCATATGGTGAAGTGACAGTAAGTGAAACTGGCATTTTTAAACTACAAGCGAAGAAGGATGCAGAACAGAGAGACTGCTAATATGGTTTACTGTCACTGCCTTGATTTGTGTTGAGGCACCAGCAGCTTTCTCCACCGCTGCCTTGGTACCATCATTACAAATGTCAACCCAGTGGAAAAAGGTGTGAATATTGTCTTGAAAATAGTTTTGACCTCATGGACCCCCTCAAAGGGTCTCAGACCACAAGGGATCTACAGCCCACACTAAGAACTGCTGCCCTGACAAAAACGCTTTCTCTCTGTAACAGACTTTGAGAGTTTTGACCTGCCTGAAGAGCACCAGATTGCGCACCTCCCCTTGAGTGGAGTGCCTCTCATGATCCTTGACGAGGAGAGAGAGCTTGAAAAGCTGTTTCAGCTGGGCCCCCCTTCACCTGTGAAGATGCCCTCTCCACCATGGGAATCCAGTAAGTGAGCAAGTGCCCTTCTGGAAGGGCTGCAAACAATTTGTTTCATAACACTTCCATTACCATGGGAAGAGTTGTGCGGGAGGTGAGCCTGTGAGTAATTTCTGTCCTTCAAATGACAAGGATTAGTTTTCAGAAAAATAAACTATTCTCGATTAATATTGCTTTTCAGTCCCAAATGCCCCAGTAAAATTGTTATTCTGGAAACTGGATAGTCTTACTACAGCCAAAAGATTAATTCTCACTTACATCTTCTTAGGCTATAAGTTGAAGCATATATAATAAACTTGCTTGGAATGATGATTCCATGTTATATCCAAAGCTAATATAAGATCAAAACACCTGTGCTGTAGCATAGACTGACAATAACTTCTTACTGCAGAAGGTCTGAGGTCTTCGTTTGAACTGGTAGTCAAAGCCAACATTATGTTTTCTGTTTGTTCTGATGTGGGATAATTTGTCCTAATAAGTTACATTAGTGAGACTGTTAACTCTTACTTTGGTCTCTAAGAACAATAGAGATTCAGATACTTCTAAAACTTACTTCCTAATGAAAGTCAATTCTGGGGCCACAGACACATTCCAAAAAATGTGTCAGGAGGGGATGCAGGTGATTGATTTGACAAAGGGAAAAACATGAATTTTTGATTGACAGCTAATGTCTATGTTGATATGGACAATGACTCAAGGATTTGCAGAAATTTTAATAAGAGATTCCTGTTTTCTAGATCTGTTGCAGTCTCCTTCAAGCATTCTGTCGACCCTGGATGTTGAATTGCCACCTGTTTGCTGTGACATAGATATTTAAATTTCTTAGTGCTTCAGAGTTTGTGTGTATTTGTATTAATAAAGCATTCTTTAACAGATTCTTCCTAGTATTGTGGTTGCTTTTCCATGGAGGTTACTTAAAATAACATGAAAGCTAGCTGAGGTGTTTAACAAAGAGTCTATAATGTGACAATAGAGATTTGTCTGATGTCTAAAAACTTAAATCTTTTTGGTTTAACAGCTTATTTTAGAAGCTGCCACTGTTTTTTCCTGAAAAGTATACCCCTCAATGTGTACTTTATTGACTTTTTGTGGCCATTAACTAGTGACAGTTATTAGATCTCTTAATTAGAAGAGCTACTTCCAACTCATTAAGTATCTATTGCTGGGCATTCTTTATTGCCGGTTCTACTTAGTTTCTAATGACTTTAATACTCAGTATTGAAAGGCTCTAAATCTGAGAATTCAGCCTCCTTGGGATCTTCAATTAGATTCCTTAAAGATCACTGGAGATAATTTACTGATAGTAAGGTCTACACTCCACCTATAGGAAACTGTATTTAGTTGTTTACCTTGTGTTGGACATGAGTATTTGAGAAGCATTATTATGTTTAATGTTTGACACTTTCCCAGGTAAGACAATGAAGCGCAGAAGTTCATTGATTTGTCAAAGATGTGAAGAGCTAGAAAATTATTAGAGCTGGTATTTTGATCTCAGTTCTGAGGTTGGAATCAAAATAGAGATGGCAAATGGTTGCTCATAGGTTTTCTTTTTGAGGGAGGGGGTGGATATTTTAAAAACCTTAATCATTTCCACTATTTAAAATTCCAGTGTTTCACCAATCTGGCTTTGGAGATTCTCTTGAAAAGAGATGTGTCCATAGTAGACCCTGTTTCCAACACTTGCTGGGGCTGGAGGTAGATTGCAGGCTGCTGCCTTTTAGGTGGAGTATAGGCTTTCTATCCCACAGACCCTGCCTTAAATGGCCTCAGTGAGAACTGAAGTGATCCTTTTACCTTTCATGTCTCTTCTGAGACCTAGCCTACTTAACTCACTTTACTCGCTTGGGCCATGTAGTAACCTGAATTTGACCCTTGCTTGATGCTAAGTTATATAAGAAGTCTTTCCCTTGATATATCAGTAGCTTCTATGGTCAAGTTAGAATGTGAACACTTTGCCATTGTCATTGGAGGAAGCTGAAGGATATTAGGCATGAAATACTAAGAACACCTACAACCGCTTATCCTGACTTTAAAACTTTTTACCTTCTAAATACAACTGAATCAGTGTGACTTTCTGGAATTAGTGGAAAGGCAGACTTCTAGGAGAAGATAATACCATAAGACTACTAGGGCACTTGGCTTTAGGGGAGAGTAATAGGTTTAGCATCCTCAGGTAAAATAGGGCTGCTAAGAAAACCAAAGTATAGGTTGGACACAGTGGCTCACACCAGTAATCCCAGCACTTGAGAGTTTGAGGTGGGAGGACTGCTTGATCCCAGGAGCTTGGGTTCAACCTGGGCCATGTAGTGAGACCCTTGTCTCTCAAAAATTAAAAATAATTAGCCGGGTGTGGTGGCGCATGCCTGTAGTCCTAGTTTCAGGAGGTTGAGGCAGGAGGATTGCTTGAGCCCAGGAGTTCAAGCTTACAACTTGAGTGGCTATAGTCATGCCACTGGGTGGTAAAGTGGGTGGTAGAGTAGCCTGGGTGGTAGAGTGAGATGCTGTCTCACAAAAACAACAAAAAAAGCAAAGTGTAGTTCTGAATGGCTTTCATACTCTGCAACACAAACTGAAGCTTTGGAAAATTGTCTTTTGTGGTAGAGGGAACCAAGGGCTGGGAGCAAGGGGACTAGTCAGTCCCTTACCAGTTAATTGCCGTCCTCTGGGTCAGAACTGAGTATAGAGGGATCTGATCTTTTCATCTGCTGTTAATCAGATTGCAATGTGCATAATGTGTGCTGAGACTGAGAACTTTAAGCAGATGCTCCTCCATTAATACAGATAATTTGCATCTTGTGGGGGTTGTTGCTATTTTGTTCTGACACTTTTTGAAATAAGACAGACTTTATTCATACCTTTACAACTCTGTAAACCTTCTGCATTTCTCTACACTACCTCTGAGCCTGCCTCTCAGGATACTGTACCTTCTTATAGTAGGAGCTAACAGTCAGGAATGCCATTATCTTGCTACCATTTCTTCTTTCTTATTACAAGTTGTATTTTTCTACTTTCCATGCCAGCCATGGATTTTACCTTTTTTCATGCTGGGTATTTTTACATTTCTATTAATATTCTTAAACTTTGTTCTAGAGTATGGGTAAGGTACCTAGAAGCAATTTGATTCATTTGAGACTTGCCTTTAATGTTAGGCATCACCAGAGCAGCATTTAGCCCAGGGCTCATTTCCCCCTACTACTGAAGTGTGAGATGCTTAGGACTCTGCTGCCCCCTGAATTATGAGGTTTTCCTGTCTAGCTGGTGGGAGCAGACACTATTCCCAGCCCTGTGTGGGCTTCAGGAATTCTTCCCTCTGATCTTTTCAGCTATATGGATCAGTGCTCTTCTGAATACTACAGGGAGACCCTCTGCAAATTTCCAGGGTTCTCTCTGTGCAGCTCTCTCCTCTCCAGTGCTCTGCTCTGCAAACTTGGCCTGCCTTGGCCTGACTCTGCTCTGTCTCTTCAACTCAGGAAATTCACTGGGCTCTGCCTGCCTCCCTTTCTTCCCCACTCTGAGGCCTGGAAACTCAAAAGTAGCCAGTAAGGATAGTCATCGGCCTCACCTCACTTATTTCACATTCCTCAGGCATCGCTGTTCTCTGTCGCCTGATGTTCACTCTTTGGGCAGCCCTCATTTCATATATTTTGTCTTGTTTTTTAGTTTCAGGCAGGAGAGTAAATCTGGTCCCTGTTACTCCATCTTGATTGGAATTGAAAGTTCCTTCTAGATATTCCTTTCATTTTTTTTCTTTTTTGAGACGGAGTCTTGCTCTGTCGCCCAGGCTGGAGTGCAGTGGTGCAATCTTGGCTCACTGCAAACTCCACCTCCCGGGTTCATGCCATTCTCCTGCCTCAGCCTCCCGAGTAGCTGGGACTACAGGCGCCCACCACCACGCCCAGCTAATTTTTTTTTTTTTTGTATTTTTAGTAGAGACAGGGTTTCACCGTGTTCGCCAGGATGGTCTCGATCTCCTGACCTCGTGATCTGCCGGCCTTGGCCTCCCAAAGTGCTTGGATTACAGGCGTGAGCCACCATGCCCGGCCTTTTTTTTTTTTTTGAGGTAACATTCACATAAGAAAATTCATTTAAAAATGTACAATTCAGTGGCTTTTAGTTCAGAGTATATGCAACTATCACCACTGTCTAATTTCAGAACACTTTCATCACCCCCAAAAATAAACCCATGCTCATCAAGCACTCATTCCCCACTTCATTTACTTTGGAATGATGTCCCTCTGCCACCAGGATGAAGTCTGAGTTGCTCAGTGTGGCTCACACGGCCTTGTGGTGGCTCCTTGGGGGTGTAATTTCCTGTCCTGATTCACCTGGCCAAACCTGTCCATCTCTAGTACTCCAATGAGATGCTTTTCTTACCAGAAGCCTTTGCACTTACCATGCTCGGCTGTGTCTGGTCCTCTCCTCCGCTCTACTGGGAGCAGGATGAGGTGTGTCCTGTGCACTGGTGTATTCTCTGCCTGGCATGTGGCAGGTGCTTCAGGGACTTGCTGAAATGAGTAAAGATGTCATCAGTCCCTGGGGATCCAGGTTTCTAGAGACCCAGCGACTGCACTGTACCCACTGTTAGCATCACACGGTATCAGGGCCAGGGAGCCTGACTTCAAGGTTTCCAGAGAGAGAGTGGTGGGGGCAGGCACAGGTCTAGGAGGTCAGCTTCTCCTACCCTAGACAGTTCCTGGTCACCTGTCTGTCTGTGCCCCACCAAGCCCAGGTATAACCTGTTTACTGAGAAGCTCCAGCTCTGCTGGGGAAACATAAACTGAGTTTCTTTCTTTTTTTATTGCCACCAACTGTGTTTTGTTGACCTGTTCTCCTTTCCTCCTTTCTGGGTGGTGGGTGATGCTGAGCAGCATTCAGACAGATTTCATAGCTTTCCAGTTACTTTTGGTTAAAATTAAACTTTGCTTATTTTAAAACTTGAGGTTCACACCTATTTCAGGCTCTTCTCCCTCTCCCCTAGTACAGGCGAGGGCTTGGCAAAAGCCCATGTGTATGCTCTGCTCACCACACATGTCCCTTCTCCCCTTCCGGTGTTATGACCCTCATAGGGGCTTAGTCCAGCCCCAAGCCTGGGAGGACGGCTGGAGGGAGAAAAGAGTCTGCTCGTGTGACAGGCCACTTGTTGGTTATGGGAAGTGTGCTGGCTTCGTTCTGGCTGTTGTGCTCTGCACGATGCTGGTGGCCTCTGCTCATGGGGAGGTCCTTGTGTAGAGAATCACCCTCTTCTCCACGGCTGAAAACCCTGTCCCTCCTGAGAATGGCAGCCTGCCTCTCTTCCCACACCTTTCCCAGGTGGGCCCTTCTATTCCTTGGTCCAGGGGCTGTCCAAGGCCTCTGCCCTTCCATGATTAACCACTGGGATCTTTTCCATCCCCTTTGAGGGCTGCAGAACCAGGATGGGGTGAAGGTTTCCCTGCAGGCCTGGGTACTCCAGCAGGTCCCCACCGTGAGAAATCTCTGGACCAGGAGCAGGTGCCAATCTTTAAGTTGCAGTGAGTCTCTACATGCCGATGATCCTCTCCTCCCCGCAGTGCAGTGAGAAGGCTGAAAAGGACAATAAATACTCCCAGAATGCTCTCTCAAGAGCCCTCTCTCTCACCAGTCTTGGTTCTGTTGGTGGCACCAGCATAGGCTTACCTATTTCTCCTGCAACTCAGCTGGTGTGTGTCTGGGGGTGAGAGGCCATTCTCCCCTTCCTGAAGATTCCTATCTTTATGTGTTCATTTAAAGCTTTTCATGACTGCAGGTAGGAGAGGAACACCTCTCCCACCACGGACACAGCTTTTCTCTGCAGACATCCCCAAAGCGGGCCACCTCATCTATCAGGCCTCTTTCTGCTCCTGATGGTTGATGCTCCTAGGACTGGCATCTCTTGGCAAGCCCAGAGCTAACTTTAGAATATGCTACACTCAGTGGCTTTTGGGGACTTTAGCTGCATGTTTTCAAGCAACAGGAACAATCAAACAGCAGATCTGTCTCTCCTTTCCAGCCAGAGTGAACTTGGACATGGGTCTTGTTTATCCTTGCAGTCTCCAAGTCCAGTGTCTTGCCTGGAGTAGACGAATGATCAGTTTGTGGAACTGAATCACGGCAGGAAGAATGAGTGCAAAGAGGCTCCCTTTGGCTCTGTGTGCACAGGCTCCTGGGAGGATTTGTGCCTACACTCCCTTCTGAAGAGGCCTCTTTTTCCTACAAGAGGAGCCTGGGACTGATGAGCCATTTCTCTTTTCAGATCACATAGTGGAACAGACCGCAGGCCCCACCTTCCTCCGCTGCCCGAGGAGTGGGAGTGGGTTTCCATGGCAATGGCACGCACCAGCGCTCACCTCCGCTTTGCAGCCCTGCTGCAGAGGTGAGAGCTGCCTGCCTTTGGTATGCTGCTCAGAGCCCAAGCCAGGCTGGCTCCTGGCTTCCTGCAGTCTTGCAGGGAGGGACACCAGAAAGGACAGCAGTGTAGGGACGCTAGCCCAGAGGTATAAGTCAGGGGCAGGTCACATGACTAAGAAGCATCTTCATCTTACTGGAAAGATGAAAAGTTAGTTGAGTATGATGTTCTGTATTACTAGTTGGAAAACTGGGCATGTGACTAGAGCCGTACAACACATCGTATTTCAGTCTTGTAGTTGGAGGCAGAGAGGGTGGTATGTGAGATGCCACAGGGGAGAGAGGGAAAGGCAGGCATGGACTCATACCTTGAAAAAGAGACAGAGAAAGAAGGGGGACCTAAGAAAGCAGCAGACACAAAACTACATGGTGCTTGGTGCCTACCGGGTACTCAGACACAGGGCTGTTGAGTTTTATGGGAGGGTTGTGTTCCTGAAGACCTTGTATAATTACCATAAATTAATGTAATTTAAGACTAATCCTGACATGGATGTTATATTTGTGTGCTAGGGCTGCCATAACAGAATACCATAGACTGAGGGAGCTGAAACAATGGACATTTATTTTCTTACGATTCTGGAGGCTGGAAGTCCATGGCCGAGGTGTGGCAGGGTTGGTTCCTTCTGAGGGCTCTCTTTTTCTATTGTAGTCATGTCCCTGGCTTCTCACTGTGTCCTCTCACGGTCTTTGCTCTGTGTTGCCTGTGTCCTAATCTCCCCTTCTCCTAAGGGCATCAGTTAGATTGGATTAGGGCCCACCCAGATGACCCTGTTTTAACTTGATTAACTCTTTACTGGCCCCATCTCCAAATACAGTCATATTCTGAGGTGCTGGGGGTGAGGACTTCAGCATATGAATTTTGAGGTGGTGGGGAGGGACACAATTTATAACAAGTATCAAGTGTTTCTGTTACAGAAGCAAAGTTATATGGCAAAAGTATAAACATTAATTTAAAACCCAATAAAAGTGAAATTAGATGATTCTTGATAAATTCTAAAATGATAGATTTAAAATTTTATGTAGAAGTGAGATTTAGTGATCCTTTTTATTGTTCAGATCTGCATAATCCAATTTTCCTCATGCAAAAAGAAAAAAAAATCAACTGAATGGCCACTATGAGCCAGGCACTCTTCTAGGTACCAAGGATACTGCACTGAACAAAACAGACAAAAATCTCTGCCCTCCTTATGAAACTTACATTGTAGCCAGAAGAAACAGACTATCTACAAAATAGTCAATTACATGGTATGCTAGAAAGTGATAGGTGTAGTGGAAAAAAATAAAGTGGGAAGGGGGTATGTCCTGTGGGTGAATGGGTAGGTGGAGGAATTGCAATGTTAAATAGAGAAGTTTTGGAGGGCCTCATTGAGAAGCTACTTTTGAACAGAGATTTGAAGGAAGTGAGAGAGATACCCAGAGGACATCCAGGGCTGTATCTATCAAGGAAGCCAGAGAACATTTACAAAGGCACTGACGTAGGAATGGATTTAGTATGTTTGAGGAATTGCAAAAAGGTCAGCAGGGCTGGAGGGTAGTGAGTGATAGGGAGAGGGTTAGGAGACAGGGCCAGAGAAGTAGGCAGAGGTTGTATCATGGAGGATCTTAGGGGCTGTGAAAATGAGTTTGGATTTTAAGTGTATGTCCCTGAAAGACCAAAAGAAGGAGGCAGAGTAATGTTGAGCTGGGAAGATGGAGAGTGGGGTGCTTGAAGATCAGATAATCAGTTATGGAGTGTTTGAAGTTTTTCTTAGTGACAATGTCTAGGAGATGACCATGGGACTGGGTGGTTGAGGTAGATGGAAGACAAGCTCACTGGAGAATTGCCAAGGAATTCAGAGGACAGTAAGTTGGAAGGCATAGACAGAACAAAGGAGCAGTAGTAAAGAGAATGGCAGTGAGCTACGGACAAAATCTTTAAGGCGGGGTGGGGAGAAGGGAATGACACAGGTGTTTGCAATGAGATAAGCAATGGATGGGCCTATTTGATGATATAAGATTCCAAGCTGCAGTTTGAGGGTAGAGGGAGAGAGTGTGGTCTGGAGGCAACAGCGAGGATACAAGAGGACACTATCCCATCCCCCTACTGTCGTACTGGGGAATGGGGTGGAACAGGGGTCCCCTCTTCACTGATGCTGATGGGAAGGCCACATGAGGGTTGGTGACCAGGGAGGGATGGCAGCCAGGGGAGCCCCACTCTAGATGTGAAATATGATGTCTTTTAGGATACTGCTATTCATGACTCATTTACATATTTTAATAAAACACAATTGGGAGTATCACTTCTTGACACTGGGCTTCTTAGTCTAGGCGAAATTGAGTGAGAATTTTTAGAAAGTTCTTTTCCCTAGAAATGGAATAATAGGAATGAATAGTGATATGGTTTGGCTGTGTCCCTACCAGAATCTCATCTTGAATTGTAGTTCCCATAATCCCCACGTATGGTAGGAGGGGCCCGGTGGGAGGTAATTGAATCATGGGGGTGGTTACCTCCACGCTGTTCTCATGATAGTGAGTTCTCACAAGATCTGATGGTTTTATAAGGGGCTTTTCCCCACCTTCGCTCTGCACTTCTCCTTGCTGCCACCACGTGAAGAAGGATGTGTTTGCTTCCCCTTCCTTCATGATTGTAAATTTCCTGAGGTCTCCCCAGCCCTGCAGAACTGTGAGTCAATTAAACCTCTTTCGTTTATACATTAACCAGTTTTGGGTATTTCTCCATAGCAGTGTGAGAACAGACTAATACAAATAGTTTATGCTCCTTGGTCTTTATATAGAGGCATCTAGGATTAAAGCAGAGACCCTCTTTATTGCTTGAAGGATTCTGTTTTGGGACTCATCATTGCCCTGATGGCTGGCTGCATCCGGAACACAGAGGAAGAAAGAGTTGCCTTCAAGGACATGCCATTTCCAGGAAAAGAGCAAGAATGTAAAAAATAAAGAGGTTGAAATGAGTTTATGAAGTTACTAAGAACATTACAAGTGGAATGAACTCCCTGGAGATGTGACTCTCAGGAGGGCAGAGCCCTTTGTTCACTTGCCCTATGGACAGCATATTGTACATCAGTGCTTCCAAAAGGGTGCCTAGACATACCAGGGGTCCCCAAGACCTTTTAGGGGTACATGACATCAAATATATTTTAATAATAGTGCCAGGATGTTATTTGCCTTTTAAATTTCCATTCTTTCACAAGTGTACAGTGGAGTTTTCCAGAAGCTACTCCAAGTATGGTATTATAGCAGAGCAAATGAAGAAGTAGATGTGAGAAATCAGCTGTCTTAAGCCAGATAGTAGAGATTTTCAGAAATGTAAAACAATGTCATGTTAATTTTCTAAATGTGGGTGTTTTTTGGTTTAGGAAAATAGTTACTTTTTATAAAAATATATTAATTATGTTATAATTAATTGCTTTATTGTGATAATGTTTAAATAAATATATTTTAAATTCCTCAGCTTTAATTTCTAAAACTGTAAATATTGATAGGTATAATCCTTATAAACAAAAACTCTTTTTCATCCTTAATAATTTCTTTAAGAGTGTAAAGGAAGCCAGGCAAGGTGGCTTGCATCTATAATCCCAGTGCTTTGGGAGGCTGAAGTGGGAGGATTGCTTGAGCATAGTAAAACACCATCTCCACAAACAGCAACAACAAAACCCAGACTGTAAAGGAATCCTGAGACCAAACAGTTTGAGAACTGCATGTCTAGTGGATAAGCACCGAGGCTCTGGAGTTAGTATGCTTGGTTTGAAACCTGGCTTTGTGATCTTAGGCAAGTTACTTGACCAGAGACTTAATTTCCTTATCAGTAAACTAGGCTATGTCACAGTTATTGTGAGCAACAAATGAAATAATGCATTATTCATTATTTCATAAACGATCATTTCATGAATATTTCATCAAGTAATTTATTGAATACTGTATCTATGTATACAAAACCCTGTGGTTGCTGCTTTGAAGGATGTAAAATGACACAAGCCACAGCTCCCACTAGCAAGAGGTTTGCTGTCAAGGGTGAGATTTCTGGATTTGTAGTTAGCACCTTTGGGTTCAGTTCCCAGTTCCACCCTTGACCAGCTGATCTGACTTTCAGCATGCCACTTGCCGTTGGCTAAGGCCAGATCCTGAAGGCATCTTCGATGGTCCACAGAGCAGACAGTAAATTCCCACTTGCATCTTTGAAGCATCACTGCCTCCTGCCTCAGTTTAACAATTGGTTTTGTCCTTCCCTTTGAAAATGAACTGCACTACCTTTCCTCCCAAGCTAATGTAACCATGCCACTAGAGGGCACCTCCTGCCTTCTCAGTCAGTCGCAGCTTCCTCTAATTTGGAAATGATCTTTCAGCTGAGATGGGTGGTACGTTGGGGTTCGATGTCTTTAGGATTCCTCAGCTTGATGGATGTGGTAAGTTTTGTCCGAAAATCCTGATTGTTTTTTGCTTTTTCCTTTTTTCTTGTTTTTTTCTTTTACATCAGACCTCTTTTAATAAAACTGGGGTGGAGAGGTTGGTGGAAGGGAGGGCGCTGTTACCACCGCCACCTGACATTGATAAGTACTTACTGGCTGCCAGATCAGTGCTAAGTGCCTCACACGCATCGTCCTTTGGACTCTCAGAGAAACGCCATGGGGTGTGGGTATGCGTGAGCATTCATTATTGATGGTTGGAAACTTGGGCTCTGATTGGTTAAGTAACTTTTGCAACATCCAGCTAGAAGGCACACTTGGTACCACGAAGCGGTCTCCATAGAAGCTGGCCTCACCTGGCTGTTAAGTCAAGCAGGGAGCGGCGGGTCTTGCTGCTCTAGGACAGTAGTTCTCAGCCTTATCAGACATAAAAGCCCCTTTCTGTATGAAACATTTCGTAACACCTCCTGTACTACCCTGAAGTGATATCCACAGGCAGTGTGTGCCTATGCTTACATGTCCGCTTACATACAATGCAAAGGAAACCTTCTCCTTTTAGGAAAGTATGTCTTACAAGTATTAGGCTTGTCTATCTACACCAGAGGACAAAGGTGCCGGGCTAATTTCGAAACTGCCCACCAGGGGGCGGCATACCACATTCCCTGCTGCGATCAGCTCGCACAGACAGTCCCCCTCCGTGGTGGCTTTGGCTGTTTCCCCTTCAACTGGAATTGCCCCGTTAGACTCTTCCTGAGGTCCCCGGAGTGGCACAGGGGGTTGTGGTGGAGAGTGAAGCGAAGAAGTCACAGAGCGTGGAGCTGACCCTCATGTTAGTGTGATAGATTTCTAGTCACGTGTACCCACCATGAGTACAGTCAGATGCTTTAAAATTTTAGTTTCCTTACTGAGTGATTTGCTTACAAAGTGATTAGGAAGTAATATGTTTATTTTCATTGATACTGCTTTAAAAATTTTTTTATATTATAGTCAGTGAGCAGTATTCGTTTAATATTTTTCTTTAAATCAATTCAATTTTTCTTTAACATGAATACATATATTTAAACGGAAACTTTAATGTGTCAATGGAAAACTTGCATCATTTGACATAATCGGAGGGTAACCAAGACGAAAAGAAAAAAAGCAATGGTACTAAGTTCTTGCTGATACTGATGCGGTTTCCCACCAAGGATCCATTTTCTCTCTTAAAAGAGTTTCTTAAAGAAATATTTAAGGAAAGCTGTTAAAGATATATTAGCACTGAATTGAGATTATCCTTAAAGTAATCAGAGAGGCTAAAAGAGAAGTGAAAAGGGAATGGTTTTCTCATGATGTCGACCAACATTATTTTATTTTTATTTTTTAATTTCAATAGTTTTTGGGGAACAGGTGGTATTTGGTTACATGGATAAGCTCTTTAGTGGTGATTTCTGAGATTTCCGTGCGCCCATCACCAGAGCAGTGTACACTGTACCCAATGTCCCGTCTTTTGTCCCTCATCCCTCTCACCCTTTCCCCCGGAGTCCCTAAAGTCCATTATATCATTCTTATGCCTTTGCATCCTCATAGCTTAGCTCCCACTTAAAAGTGAGAACATACGATATTTGGTTTTCCATTCCTGAGTTACTTCACTTAGGATAATAGTTTCCAACTCCATCCGGGTTGCCGCGAATGCCATGATTTCATTCCTTTTTGTGGCTGAGTAGTATTCCACGGGGTATATATACCACGTTTTCTTTATCCACTCGTTGGTTGGTGGGCATTTAGGTTGGTTCCATATTTTTGTAATTGTGAATTGTGATGCTATAAACATGAGTGTGCGTGTGTCATTTTCATGTAATGACTTCTTTTCCTTTGGGTGGATACCCAGTAGTGGGATTGCTGGATCGAATAGCAGATCCAATTTTAAGATCAACACTATTTAAAGTTTTGTCTGTGTACCAGTAAAATCATCTCCTATATACCAGTGGACACAGTGTCTCCCCCTGTGGAGACAGTGGATGGCTTCCTGGGCTGGAGTCGAGGGACTGCTTGCTAGCTGTGTGTTCTGCACTGGTTGCTTGCCCTCCCTGAGCCTTGCTGTCCTCATCTATAAAATGAAGAGGTAGGAGGAGATAATCGCTGTAATTCTTTGGGATCTAATGGTCTAAGACTCTCTGAAGTACTGATTCTTATTGGAAGGAGATACAGTACTTAGCAGGACATCCTCCTTTTTGTGTGCCTACAGCCTTTGAAGGGGCACGGAAAGCTGCAGATTCTCCAAAATCCCAGCTGACACCCCCATCTCTTGAGAGGCAATTCAACCTCCAGGAAGAGCCAGCAGCTTAGACCCTGGAGTCCAAGAGACCTGGATTTAAATCATTGCTCTGCCTTCTACTAGTTTTGTAACTTTCAGCAGATCACTGAACCTCTTTGGCTTCAGCTCCCTTGTCTATAAATTAGGAACAATAATGCTATTTATCCTTATTTTGAAGATCAAATTATTATATGCATGGTAATTGCTTACCATAGTGTCTGGACCATAACTTAGCTGTTATTATGGTAATTCCTAAGGTTCTTCAAAAATGAAACAACTTTCCTGGAAGTAAGCCACTGGGGAAGTTATTTGGTTGCCCTGCCCCCAATATTTTAAACCCATGAGATGAAATGAATATCATGAGCACCCAAGAAAGGGAAGCCTTGTTTGAGAAAGGTGAGTGTGAATGTACAAGGCTGCCTACTCCCATGTGGCCTTGGGTGTGGTGTGAGAGACCAGCGTTATTTGTGTGGGACTTTACAAAATATTAAACTTTTTTTGGTTTTAAAGTACTAGTTGAGCAACTTGTGGCTTTCCAGCCCACAGGCTTCCTGAGTCTCTGCTTGGTCCCTATGTGCAGGTGCTTACAAGTTGTGGGGACAGGGAAGTGTGGGGGAAAAGTAGAGGGGTAGGGTTTACCCCTGGTGGCCCTTGATTGGCTCCATCACCACTGCAGGCCTGTTCTAACCTGGCCAGGGCTGGATGAGGTGGCTGGGGCAGTGGAATCCTGATGTTTAGAAAAGCTGCATTGCTCATGCTGGGAAACTCCTTCCTGTGAGGTCTTTGCTGCCAGTTCTGGGACATTCCTGACCAGATAGAATTCTCCTGATGGAGATATTTCATTGGGATGATAATATGAATGCTACCTAAAGCATGGAGAGTTTTGGTATTTGAGCTGTGGACCTAGATTTTCATCCTGACATGACCACTCATCAGCTCTGTGACCTTGGGAAAGATACTGAACACCTCTGGTTCTTTCTTTCCTTATCTGTAAAATGAAAGAGTACCATACCAGTGGTTGTGAGTGAGCATGTGTGTGTATGTGTGTGTGTGTGTGTGTATGTATGTGTGTGTGTGGTTGATAGATCACAAAGCCTTTTCAAGAGCTAATGAGAGTTATAGACCCTGTCTCCAGAAAAGCATAGGTCCCCATTACATTTTATATATAATTCCAGGGTTTTAAAAGACTTCCCATCCCCCAAACCCATCCATAGATTCCAGAGTACAAACAGTGGTTCTATGCCTCATTCAGCTTATAAGCCTCTGTGAAGCCCATGGCTTCCAATTTGGCTTCCCTACTCAACCCAAACCAAATGTAGATTCTCTTAATTTGTAAACTTGTGTTTAGTATATTCTCCCTAAAATACCAACTCAGCCCAACAGGGCCTTGGAAAAAATGTGCTACCAAGGCCATTGTGTATGAAAGTGCAGGTATTCCCTGCACAGGGCATCCTCCGCTGCTTAATCAGGCCTTTTCCTAATTAACATATAGGTGGGCCCGGGCCACCAGCAGCTTTTGCAACATATACGTGGGCACCAAATATAAGGTCCAGCGGGAGATTCTCCATCTAAAGGCTTGACCTGCATCTGGTTCTCTCTGTGAAGCAGTGGTTAGGAAGAGGGGTCATTAGGCTAGAAAACACACTCAAAGAAGGCTCAGGCAAGGCTGAGCTCCTTGAACTAGTTGGGACTTTTTTATGGAAAGAAACTGGAGTTTCTTAATTGCCACTGGAGTTCTTAGTTGCAGACAACAGAAACCAGTCCTGGCTGATTTAAGCAGAAAAGGAATCAATTGAGAGCATGTCAAGTGGTTCAGAGAAATGCCAGGAAAATGATAGAAGAGGCACCAGATAAAGGGAGGTAACAAGGAAGGTCAGGCATCGGCCAGGGTAGCAGTCTGGGTGATGACACAGCGCCAACCTGGCATGGATGCCACTGACACTGAAAACCCTAGCTTACACAGCCAGCACAGGTGACACAGGATGCTGCTGCTATTGCTGCCACTATTACGATGGGTTCATGGCATATGCATATCTAATTGGTTGAACCTGGGTCATGTCCTCAACCATCCCTGACACTTTCAAATTCTATGGTGGGAGGTGCTCTCTGCTTCCCACCAAGACTCTTAAGTGGGGGAATTCCTCCAACAACTGAAGGCAGCCCTCCAAAGTCAACTAATAGTCAGCAGGAACAGAAACCAGCTTGAGCTAGCTTTAGTATAAAAGACTCTTTCAGGCTATTGGGTGTTTCATGAAACAAAGAACAGGAGGGAAGCCAGGCCTTTGGGAGGGCGTGGAGCCAAGTACTTGAAAGTCAAAGAACTCTTTTCCCAACTCTCACCTCTGCTTCTCTGTGCTCCTTCTTCACTTCTTTCTCTCTGCATTATGACACTTCA
This sequence comes from Homo sapiens, assembly GCF_000001405.40. Lineage (NCBI taxonomy): Eukaryota > Metazoa > Chordata > Mammalia > Primates > Hominidae > Homo > Homo sapiens. Next base: position 160,443,358 of record NC_000005.10, read on the forward strand.
TTCCCTCAGTCCAGGAGATGGGATCAGGTGGTCTTTGGAAAGGCTTCCTCCCATGGCTCAAAGGACACCTCCTAGAAAAGCAAGGCAGGCATTCACTACGGGGTGGCTTCCTGCCCCCTTCACACCTTCATTCTGGTCACTCAGCTTGGGTGTCTGCTGTTTGATACTGTTTTCTTCTCCACTCTCTGCTGAGGTCCCTTTAGATAGCCTGAATATCCCTCTTCGTATCTCTCTGAGGCTGCAGGTGGAGGCTCATATATTCCTAGAATGTTAGGCCTTCGTTTTACAGATGCACAGTCTGAGGCCTAAGAAATTAAGTGACTTACTCGAGATTCTGACTGTCCCATGAATGGGTTGGAACATGGTGCTTAGCATGTAGAAAGCTCTCAGTAGACTTTAGTTATGTCATTCAGATTTCTTTTAATTCAAAGCACATTCCTTTCCTTTTCTCTCTTTTGTTCTCATGGCTCTCTTTCTCCACTATTTATTTGTCCTTTCCAAAAATATATACTGAAGGCCTTCTGTGTGCCTGGTAATATTGTCGATGCTGGAGACTCATCTGTGAACAGACAGACAAGATTCCTGCCCTCCTAGGGCTTTTATTTCAATGGAAATAAAATACACAAACAAGATTATTTCTGATGGTTATAGTGCTCTGAAGGAAATAAGAAGAGAAGTGAAAAGGTTTGGCTCTGAGGGTGGGCTACTTTTGACAGCGGGTTCAGGGAAGATGCCTCTGAGTTGGCGATTGGGAACTGAAGTCTGAAAGATGGGAGCTGAGGAAAGAGGGAACAGAAAATGCAACAGCCTTGAAGTGAGAACACCTGGAGCTTATTAGCAACAGAAAACCTGGAACACGATGGGGCAGAGAGTGATGGGAGAGGAAGGCAGAGGTCAGCTTAGGAGTAGCTTTGTAATGGTGTGATTAAGTGTAAAGAGAAAAGAGTGATTTAAGTAGGAAAGTGTCATGATCAGATTTACATTAAAAAATGATTTTTATCAGACAATTCCAAATTGAGAGGCATCCTATAATCAAACCAAACAACAGTGACAATAACCCAACTGGCTGGCACTCTTCAAAAATATCAAGATCATTCAGGTCCTTTGCTCATTTTTAAATAGAATTTTTTTTTCTGTTGAGTTGTTTGAGTTCTTTGTGTATTCTGGATATTAGTCCCTTGTCAGATGTATAGTTTGCAAATATTTTCTCCCATTCAACAGGTTGTCTCTTCACTCTGTTGATTGTTTCCTTTGCTGTGCAGATATAGTTTTAGTTTGATGTAGTCCCATTTGTTTGCTTTCATTCTTATTGTCTGTTCTTTTGAAGTCTTACCTGGAAAATCTTTGCCTAGACCAATGTCCTGAAGTGATCCCCTTACGTTTGAATAGACATATCTCAAAAGAAGACATTCAAATGGCCAGCAGGCATATGAAAAAATGCTCAACATTGCTAATCATTTGGAAAATGAAAATCAAAACCACAATGAGATATTACTTCACACCTATTAGGATGGCTATTATCAAAAAGACAAAAAATTAACAAATACTGGTCAGGATGCAGAGAAAAGTGAACTCAACTTTTGATGTCAATGTAAATTACTATAACCATTATGGGAAAGAGTAGGGAGGTTTCTCAAAAAACTAAAAGTAGAAGTACCATATGATCCTGCAATCCCACTACTAGGTATTTATCCAAAGGAAAGGAAATTAATTTATCAAAGACATAGATACCTACATCCCCATGTTTATTGCAGGTCTATTCATAATAGTGAAGGAATCAACCTGAATGCCCATTAACAGATGAATGCATAGAGAAAATATGGTATATGTACACAATAGAATACTATTCAGCCATAAAAAAGAATGAAATCCTGTAGTTTGCAGCAACATGGGTGAACCTGTAGGACATTGTTTTAAGTGAACTAGGTTAGACACAGAAAGATAAATACCACATATTCTCATTCGTGTGGGAGCTAAAAAAATGAGCTCATAGAGGCAGAGAGTAGAATTGTGGTTATTAAAAGCTGGTAAGGGTGTGGGAGGGGAGGATAGGGAGAGGTTGGTTAATGAATACAAAGTTACACCTAAAAAAGAGAAATAAATTCTAGTGTCCTGTAGCACAGTAAAGTGAATATGGTTAGCAATAATTTAGTGTATATTTTCAAAAAACCAGAAAAGGGGGTTTTGAGTGTTCACAAAATAAAGAAATGATTACTATTTGAGGTGATGGATATGTTAATCACCCTAATTTGATCATTACACCTTGTATACATGCTTCAAAATATCACTTCTTATCGCATAAATATGTATAGTTATTATGTATCAACTGAAAGTAAAAGGAAAAAGAAGTCAAGGTCATGAAAGACAAGGAAGAGCTGAGGAATAGTTCTACATTAAAGAGACATGGCAATTAAATGCAGTGTGCAATTGTGGGATGAATCTGGGACTGAGAAATAAGTTGGTAAAGAACATTATTGGGGGAAATGATGAAAATTAAGAATAGACTGGCTTTTGAAAAGAGGATTGTATCCTTGTTAAATTTCCTGAATTTGATAACTTGAAGGTTATGCAAGAGAATGTCTTTTTTCTTAGGAAATACATGTGAAAATGTATAGGGGTAAAAGGGCATGATGTCTGCAACATACTTTCAAATTATGAAAAAAATGTATGCATAGGGCAAGCAATAGCAAATGTGGAACAACAATAAAATTTGGTGAATCTCCATGAAAACCATAGTTGAGTTCTTTGTACTATTCTTGCAACTTTTCCCTGGCTTTGATTCTTGATGTGGCTGGGTTTAAGTCTATTTAATCTTGCTATTTGTTTTCTACTTGCCCATCTGTTCTTTTTTTTTTTTTTTTTTAAGACAGAGTCTCACTCTGTCACCCACACAGGAGTACAGTGGCACAATCTTGGCTTACTGCAACCTCCACCTCCCGAGTTCAAGGGATTCTCCTGCCTCAGCCTCCTGAATAGCTGGGAGTACAGACATCTACCACAAAGCCAGGCTAAATTTTGTATTTTTAGTAGAGATGGGTTTTCACCATGTTGGCCAGGCTGGTCTCGAATCCCTGACCTCAGGTGATCTGCCTGCCGTGGCCTCCCAAAGTGCTGAGATTACAGGCATGAGCCATGACACCTGGCCTGTCCATCTGTTCTTTGCTCTCTTTTTCCTCTTTTGCTATCTTCTTTTGGGTTAAATATTTTGAAAATGATCTCTTTGTTGACTGATCAGTTAGAAATTTTTTTAGTGGTTGCTTTTGAGTTTATGGTATATGTCTTTAACTTATCATAGTATACTTTTAAGTGTTATTATGTCACTTTATTTATAGTATAGGAATCTTGCAACAATATGCTTCCATTTCTCCCTTCCTAGTCTTTGAGCTATTATTGTCATACATTTTTACTTTTTAATATATTATAAATCCTATATTATATTGTCATTATTTTTGTTTCAATGGTTAATCATCTTTTAAAGAGATTTGAATAATAAGACAACCTCTTCTATATTTTTTGGTATACTCTTTATTCCTTTGCGTATGTCCAGATTTCTTTTTGGTATCTTTCTCCCTCTGTCTGAAGAGCTTCCTTCAACATTTATTTTATTTTTTTAAATTTATTTTTGAGACAGAGTCTCACTCTGTCACCCAGGCTGGAGTGCAGTGGTGTGATCTTGGCTCACTGCAACCTCTGCCTCCCAGGCTCAAGCGATTCTCCAGCCTCAGCCTTCTGAGTAGCTGGGATTACAGGCGCCCGCCACCAAGCCTGGCTAATTTTTGTATTTTTAGTAGAGATGGGGTTTCACCATGTTGGTCAGGCTGGTCTCAAACTACTGACCTCGTGATCCACCCACCTCAGCCTCCCAAAGTTTTAGGATTACAGGCGTGAGCCACCACGCCTGGCCTCAACATTTATTGTAATGATGGTGGAAAAGTCTTTAATGTGGAATTCTAGGTTCAGAGTGTTTTTGCCTTTTAGGTTATTGCCTTCCCTGTCTTTCTTCCTCCCTCCCTCCCTCCCTTCTTCTCTTCCTCCCTCCCTCCCTCCCTCCCTCCCTCCCTCCCTTCTTCCCACCCTCCTTTTCTTTCCTTCACCCAGCCTGGAGAGCAATGGCGTGATCTCAGCTGACTGCAAACTCTGCCTCCCAGGTTCAAGCAATTCTCCTGTCTCAGCCTCCCAGGTAGCTGGGATTACAGGCGTACCCCACCATGCCTGGCTAATTTTTGTATTTTTAGTAGAGACAGGGTTTCACCATGTTGGTCAGGCTGGTCTTGAACTCCTGACCTCGAGTGATCCACCCACCTCAACCTCCCAAAGTGCTGGGTTTACAGGTGTGAGCCACGGAGTCCAGCCTCCCTTTAGGTACTTTAAAGATTCTGCTCTATTGTCTTTTCACTTGCATTTCTTATCCTTGCCTCTCTGTCCCTGGCATGTTTGGTTGCTTTTTTCCTCTAGATATTCTCCTTCCCCCAAATACCCAGTAGCACAGATTTTGAATGAGTATGATGTGTCTTAATGTAGTTTTCTTTATTTTTTTTTCTGTGTTTGGAGTTTGCTGAGCTTGTTGGATCTCTGGGTTTATAGTTTTCATCAGATTTTGAAATGTTTTCATTCAATATTTCTTCAAGTAGTTTTTTTCTGACTACCTCTCTTCTTTTGGGGACTTCATTTTTATGTATAAAAGGCCTCTTGAAATTGTCCCATAGCTCACTGATGCTCTGTGTATTTTTTCCAGCCTTTTACTTTCTGTATTTCCATTTTGTTTTGTTTCTATTGTGATGTCTTCAATTTCACTAATGTTTTCTTCCACAGTTTCTAATGTGTTCTTTTTTGTTTTTTAAGCACCTTGTCATGTGAACAGATAATCTACTCTTAATCCCATCCAGTGTACTTTTTGTTGTAGATATTGTAATTTTCAATTCTAGAATTTCGATTTGGGTCTGTATGTTCTTTGAATATGCAGAATATAATTATAAGGACTGTTTTAATGTCTTTTTTTTTTTTTTTGGAGACAAAGTCTTGCTCTGTCACTTATGCTGGAGTGGAGTGGCACGATCTCGGCTCACTACAACCTCTGCCTCCCGGGTTCAAGCAATTCTCCTGCCTCAGCCTCCCGAGTAGCTGGGACTATGGGTGCCCACCACCATGCCTGGCTAATTTTTTTTTTTTTTTTTTGTATTTTTAGTAGAGACGGGATTTCACTGTGTTAGCCAGGATGATCTCAATCTCCTAACCTTGTGATCTGCCCACCTCAGCCTCCCAAAGTGCTGCAATTACAGGCGTAAGCCACCACGCCTGGCCTGTTTTAATGTCTTTGTCTGCTAATTCTGACATCTGTGTTAGTTATGGGCCAGTTTCAATTAATCTTTTTCCTCATTATGAATCTTGATTTTCTGCTTCTATGTTTGCATGTGTATATTTTTTAGTAGATGCCAGACATTGTAAATTTTTGCTTTTTGGGTGCTGGGTAGTTTTGTTTTCTTAAAATATTTTTGGTATTTGTTATACTTCAATATTCTTGAGCTTCCCTCTCTAGGATGCAGTTAAGTTACTTGGAAATAGTTTAATCTTTTCAGATTAGTTTAATCCTTTTAAGATTTGTTTAGCAGGATCAGAGCAGCACCTAGTCTAGGGCTAATTATTTCCCTCTACCAGGGCAAGACCCTTCTTACTACTTTAGCCAATGCCCCATGGACGATGAGGTTTTCCAGTCTGGTTGGAGGGAACAGGCTCTATTTCTGGCCCAGAGTGAATGACAGGTACTTTTCCTTGTAATCCTTTCAGGTTGTTCTTTCCCAGCTGGTATGGTTTGGATGTTTTATCCCCTCCAGATCTCATGTTGAAATGTGATCCTAAATGCTGGAGGTGGGGCTGAGTGGAAGGTGTTGGTTTGTTGGTTCATAGGGGTGGATACCTCATGAATAGCTTAGTGCCATCACCTTGGTGATGAATGAGTTCTTGCTCTTAGTTCACATGAAAGCTGGTCATTTAAAAGAGTCTGGCATCTTTCTTGCTATCTTTCTCACCATGTGGTATGCCAGGTCCCCCTTTACCATCCACCATGATTGTAAGCTTCCTGAAGCCTAACCAGAAACTAAGCAGATGTTGGTGACGTGCTTGTACAGCATGCAGAACTATGAGCAAAAATAACCCTCTTTTCTTTATAAATTACCCAGTTTCAGGTATTCCTTTATAGCAATACAAACAGACTAACACCAGTGTTGGGTAGTTTTTTTTTTTTTTTTTACATACATGCAATGAATGCATTCATTACTCTCCTGAATACTCAAGGGAGACTTTCACAGGGCTCTGGGGTTCTTTTTCTGTATCTTCTTCTCTTTGGTAGTCTCTCTTATGAATTCTAGCCCCTGTGGATTTCAACGACTCTTCACTCTGCATTCTCAACTCAAAGAGTTTGCTGGATTCTGCATGGGTTGCCCCTCCCTGTGCCCAGGCCTGGAAGGTCTCATAATGCAGTAAAGTGGGGGCAATCGAGGGCTTGCCTGCTTTGTTTCTATTTCTCAGGTATCACTGTTTAGTGTCATGAAAACCTTTGTTTCATATATTTTGTTTGGTTTTTCAGTTGATTCAGGTGAGAGGGTAAATCTACTATTACTCCATCTTGGCCAGAAGTACATATTCTTCTATAGGCTTGACATTATTGAAAGTAAAAAGTTTAAAATTAATTCTGGTTGCTGTGTATAAGGAAAGAACAGAAACAGGAGACCAATGGTCCATGGAGAGAGGATGGACGCTAGGAATTGGCTAGTGACAGTGGAGTTAGAGAAAAGTAGATGCATTGGGGATGTATTTTGGAAATCGTATCAGTTGGCTTGGCCTGTATAACAAAATGCCACAGACTGGGTGGCTTAAGTAACAAAAAATTTATTTCTCACAGTTCTGGAACCTAAGAAGTCCAAGAGGAAAGTGCCAGATGATTCAGTTCCTGGTGAGGATCCTGTTTCTGGTTTGCAGACGACTGCGTTCTTGCTGTATCCTCACATGGAAAAGAGAGTTTTCTCATGTCTCTTCTTAAAATGGCACCAATCCCACCATGACCGCCCTACACTCTTGACCTCATGCAAACCTAATCATCTCCCAAAGGTCCTGCCTCCAAATACCATCACACTGGGGCTAGGGCTTCAACCTAGAATTTTTGGGGGTGTGGATAAAATTCATTCTATTAAAGAAATACATTTATAAGACTGGCTGTTGGAAGAATTGGGCAGGAGTGGGAGTAAGTCTTGGTTTGAGAGAAATGAGAAATCAACACTTTCATACCTCACCTTCCTGTTTACCTCTTAGGTCTTGACTTAAAAATACCCAGCAATACGGTATTTCAAGAATGTGCTTCTTAAAGCTAAATCACATCATTCAGATAATATCTCCTTATTGGAAAGCCGGATGTTCATAAAGCCTTGATAAATAGTTCAGCCGCTTTATGCCTCACGCACTCAAATCATTACACAGTGTATGACTATATAATAAAACCATTGGTCCTTGGGGAAAACATTTACTTTCAAGTCGCCTAGAGACTTTCCAAGTTTCTGCTTTTCAAAGACTGTGTCTGAATTATGCAAAACTTTCCCCATTACCTCCAATTTTCAGGGGTCAATATTCTTATTATGGAAGAAAACACCTGGTGTTTGCTGAAAAAGACTTTGCTATGGAAATCTTTATTAAATTATTAAATTAGATGAATCGGTGGCAGAGTGTTTCTTCTTATCACTCTTTTGGTGAATCTAGTCCAGCCAGAAGAGGCATATCCAAGAGGACCAAGGGACCCTGGTTCTGAGCCAATGATGTTGGACCTGCCACTTGACCCCCACGGCAGCCAACAAATGGATTTGTAGCAGCCTGAGAAGGGGCCTGGCATCTAAGATAGGCTGGGCTATTGGAGCCTCTCTTTACTGATAATTTTTATTTAAGAGATACCTCAGAGGGCTGAAGTTGTGAGAAATCTGGAGTGGTCTTGACACAATAGGTGAAAGTTGTGCTTTTTAGTGCACATAGAAGTCACTCGAGATGCGTATTTAACAAGCCAGTTCCTAGAACTCAGCCCCAGAGATGCAGATTCCATTGTTCTGGCATGGGGCTCAGGCACTGGTACAGTGTTTTCAACCAGTCCCTGAGTCATTCTTATGCATCTGGTCCAAGACTACATTTTTGGCCTTTAAAAAAAAATTAATGTTGTTTCCTATAATCTCATTTGTTAACTTATTTTCAAGGCTGAGCACACTGGCTCATGCCTGTAATCTTAGCACTTTGGGAGTCTGAGGCAGGAGGATCACTTGAGGCCAGGAGTTCAAGACCAGCCTGGGCAACAGAGCAAGATCCCATCTCTACAAAAAAATAGAAAAGATTAGCGTGGTGCTGCATGCCTGTAGTCCCAGCTACTTGGGAATGTGAGGTGGGAGGATTGCTTGCCCAGGAATTTGAAGCTGCAGTGAGCTAGGATCAGGCTACTGCACCCAAGCCTGGGCAACATAGTGAGACACTCTCTTGTATATATATGTGGGGGCGGGCGAAGGGGTGGGGGGAGAGAGAGAGAGAGAGAGAGAGAGAGATGCAAGAATAAGAACTTCTGAATACTTTTAAACCAGATTCACCAACTGTAAACATTTTGCCACATTTGCTTCTCTCTGTCTCATTACACACACACACACACACACACACACACACACACACCATATACATTTTTGTAAACTATCTGAAAGTAGTTTGCACATATCAAGCCCTTTTATTCCTAAATCCTCTAGTATATATTTCCTGAGGATAAGGCTAAGGCTATTCTCTTACACAATCAAAATATGGTGATCAAATTCAGGAAATTTAACAATACTATTGTCTAATCTTCAGTCTGATATCACCAGTTACCCTGATAATGTCCTTTAGATAGCCCAGGGCCCTATCTAGAGAGGAGGGAGACTGAAACTCCCTGAAAACAGCTGAATCACAGAGACTCAAGGCAGACACTCAAGGGCAAGGACCTCCTGCTACTTTTCCTTGGGGCCTCCTTGGATTGAGGGCCAGCATCTCCAAGACTGACCTCTGGGATGTTTCTGTTCCTACTGATGCCCCACTGAGGGTCTTGGGTTCCCCTATATATACGCCTTATTACTTCCATAGCACATTCTCCCCCATCTCCATTGCTTAAGGCAAGCCCACAAGTCTTTATTATTTGCAACTGAGAGTAGGAAAGGAAAGAGAAAATAAATGGAGAGGAAGAGAGTGGGATAAGTAAGTAGTGAAACAGCAAACCAAGCTATTTTGCCCTTATAAACCTAGAAATTGCTAGATGACCTTGGACAAGTTACATAACATTTACAAGCATCAGAACCAACATCAAAATTAAACTGGCTCTTACTGTGTCCTAAGGGTGAGACAAGGGTTTTAAGAACTGAAACTTGGGAGCTATTATGATTGGCAAATGGAAGGATGGGAAAAGTCTACAGATAAGGTTCTGTACTTAAGAATGACCCACTTTGTCATACACGTATATCTACTTTCATATGGATATTTGCACAAGGGTTTCTTTTTTTTTCTTTTTTTAAGAGGGGGTGAAAGAAGGAACTCAGTGCACATGACATTGGTGGGGCTGAAATAAAAAACCTCGATTTAGAAATCTGATACAAAAGCAAAGTCATCGTTTTCAAATCAAAACTTGGCTCTGCTTCATTGGCTTGCCTCGTGCTTCTGCACAGGCTTTCGGGGGAGGCTTCCAGGCACATGTGCCTAGAGGCCATCCTTCTAAGTGTGCACACTGGAGCTGTAAGGGCAAGGGTGGCTGCTACCTCACATTGGCACTGAGAAATATCCGGAGAGTGACTCCTTGGCATGAAATTCAAACACCTTATGTGGTGATCTGGTCCCACTTCAGCCCACTCCTCATCTCCCATCCTCCATCCAGCCAAATTCTACCTCTGTAGCTCCTCCACCTCTCAAGGGCCATCATACTTGCTGTTTTCTCTGCTTGAAAAAACATTCTTTCCGGTCTTTGCCTTCTTAAATCCTACTTCCGTTTCTGTGCTCAGCTTTGAAATAACTTCCTATGTTTCCAAGGAAACCCAAACTTGGGGTAGGTGCTCCTACTTGAAATCCCAGTATCCCATGAATTCTCCTGTCTGAGCATGACTGTGATTGTCCATTCACCTGCCTGGACTCCCAAGTCGATTTTATGGTCTGTGAGATCAAGGACTGTGTTTTCTTCACTGCTGTATTTCTGGCTTATAACACAGCAGTTGATACACAATAGGTGCTCAATAAATATTTATTGCATGAATGAAAGAGAAGCAGGCTCAGGGCTTCTGACAGGTTGCAAATTAAAAATAAAAGAGTAAACTGTGTTTGGTAACATGACACAAACCCACTTGTACCCCCATTTCCACCTCCACCTGTCAGGGAAAACTCAGATTTATTGCATTAACTGGAAGTCTGGAGTTGGTCTTTAACTTATTCCTTACCTTCTCTAGCTAAACATCCAACTGGTCACCAAACCCTAGATAGTCCACATCTTAGGGTAACTTAGGTTCTTTCTCATTTCCATTCTCACTTTTGTTGCCCTCCTCACTTCCTTGTTGGGTCAAGAAATTCCATTGTTCCTCAACCTTCAGCATCTACTTTGTTCTAAAAGCTCCTCATCACAGGATTTAAAACTTTACCAAGATTACCCCACTGGTCTCCCATGATGGAGGTACCCATTCCGGGTTCTTGGCCATTCCTTTGACATATTTACTGCTGCATTCTCTTAATTCATGTTGCTTCCTTAGCAAGGAAGTCCTGTTTTCCCTTCTTTCCGCCCCCCTGCTCCCCCTGCCTATTGAAGTTTTACTTATCTTTCAAGGCTTAGCTCAGACTCCTCTTCTAAGCATTTTAATTCTCCGAATCTAATTTGTTCCTGTGTTCAGATAGCATGTTTAGATAGGGAGGAATGGTGAGTTATCAAAAACGAAGAGGTTCCTGATTTTGAGAAAGCAAGTAGAGTTCAAATAGAGGACAATACCTGTCATAACGTTGGCTCACACTTGTCATACTTGTTCCCATTTACTAAGAACCAGGGATGAGCATTTCACCTGCTTTATCTCTTTTATTCTTCATAATAGCTCTATGGGGGTGGGAAGAGGGGGCTCTTTGAATACCCTTATTCTGAGGATAAAGAAACAGAGGTGCTGGGCATGGTGGCTCATGAGCAGCACTTTGGAAGGCCGAGGCAGGTGGATCGAAGTCAGCAGTTCGAGACCAGCCTGACCAATAGGGAGAGACCCCGTTTCTACTGAAAATACAAAATTAGCCGGGCGTAGTATCAGACGCCTGTAATCCCAGCTACTTGGGAGGCTGAGGCAGGAGAATTGCTTGAACCCTGGAGGAAGAGGTTGAGCCGAGATCGTGCCATTGCACTTCAGCCTGGACAACAAGAGCGAAACTGTCTCAAAAAAAAAAAAAAAAAAAAAGGAAAAAACAAAACAAACAACAACAACAACAAAAAAAACAGGTGATCTGATTTTCCCACAGTCACCCTGTAAGGAAGTGGTGGATCCTTGGTACACCTTAAATCTACTCTGCTTCCCTCCAGAGTTGGAGATGGTAACTTCTGTGCCCTCCTAAAGGAAGGGGCCAGGTCTCTGGCATGGCTAGTGTATGTAGCATGTCATTTTGCACATAATAAATGCTCCATCGGTGTTTTAAATAAATGCATACTTTCTAATTGGTATTGACAGAGTATCATCTTTCATTATCTTCTATTATTAATATTGATAACAATATGGTACATAAATGTGGCCCTTTTGTTTATTTAAATAGAAATTCTACACATGAATGATGAGAAAAATTAAACAGTACAAGAGTGTATAGAATGAAAAGAAAGTTTCATTCCCTTTTAGTCAAGCCGCCTAATCTAAGCCCCAGGGGCAACTGCTGGAAAGAGTTTCTTGTTTATCCTTCCAGAAAAATTTCATGTATAAATCAGCATACGTGAATATAGATTACTTTGAAAAAAAACCCAAATGAAAGCCTACTATACATTGCTCTGAATCTTGCTTTTTTTCATTTAGAAATGATTTCTGGAGAATGTTTCATTTTTGTGCATACAGATCTGTCACATTCACTTTAGTATTGTACAGAATGGATATGCTGTGATTGATTTAATGACAACCGTGTTGATGGACATTTAGATTATTTCTCCTATTTTGAACTTATGAAAATGCTGGAGTATTAGCACTCTTGCATATACTTCTTTGCTCTCATGGTAAGTGATCTGTACCTCTTGCGTGTAAATGTGGACTCTTGTGAGGTAGCTCCGGGCAACTGCTCATGGAGGTTTTTAGAATTTTTTTCGAACAAAGTGTTGGAGGGAGGATGTCAAAATCTTGCACATTTTCAGAACAGGGTCAGATTGGGAGGTTATAAATATGGAAAGATTATGGTGCTTTCTCCCATAAGCAAAACCCATAAATTTAGTATAAGGAAATTTTAAAACATCGGTTGTTTCCCCACAGGAAACCACCTTGGTATTTTTGTTGAAGTCCTTATTGCTTTTGAAACATTACTTTTTGGCATCCCTGCTTTTCTGGGAGCCTCAGCACAGGCTTACCCTGTCTCCTGCACTGGATGGAAGGGAGAAATGAAGCAGTGCAAAGATCAGTGGGTCCCAGGCTCCAGAACTAGCCAGGATTAGTGCTCGGAAAGGAACTGAGTATGAATTCACACAGCCCTTGTCCCAAATGCCAACTCTATTGAGACCCACAGAGATGTCATGCAACTGTCAGAAACTAATGCAGTCTCAACACACATTTCCCAAACCTGGGCAACAACCCATAAATACATGTAGCCTTTTTTTTTTTTCTGAGACAGAGTCTCATTCCATCACCAAGTCTGGAGTGCAGTGGTGCGATCATGGCTCACTGCAGCCTGGACCTCCTGGGCTCAGGTGATCCTCCCGCCTCAGTCTCCCTAGTAGCTGAGACTACAGGTGCACACCATTAAGCCTGGCTAATTTTTAATTTTTTTGTAGAGACAGCATCTCCCTATGTTGCCGAGGTTGGTCTCGAACTCCTGGGCTCAAGCAGTCCTCCCACCTTGGCCTCCCAGAGTGCTGGGATTACAGGTATGAGCCACCGTGCCTGCCATGTAGCCTTAATTCTTCACTTTTATTTCACAAGTGCAAACAGGCAGCGCCAAGAGACTTAGAAGCCTGCTCTAGGTCAATAGCATGTTAAATGTCAGCCGCGCCCTGCTCCAGAAGGATACATCACTAGAGATGGAACTACGATTTACAATGTTCTAATAGGATATGTGGAGAGTAACAGTAAATGGGTCTCAGGGGCCTAATATAGGCTGACACTGTTCATCACTAACGCACTCCGATGGCCACATCAGTAGCCTGGAGGATGACCGTCAGGTGCCTCTTAGATAATATTTCAAGCCTGACAATGATATTACTTGTGTCCTCTTGACATGGCTGCAAAAGCTTCCAGCCACTGCACTGATCAAGGTACTATCTGAGCTGGCAACACTTCCTGTTGAAAGAACCTTTAAATCAAAACTTTCCAGAGGAGGTAGCAGCCTTGGTGGCTGTTGTGAGTCCTTAGGGAAAATGAAACTCCTGGAAGTCAGAACAGAAAAGTAAACACCACATGTTCTCACTCATAAGTGGGAGTTGAACAATGAGAAACACATGGACACAGGGAGGGGACCATCACATACCGGGGCCAACTGGGGGGTTGGGGGTGAGGGGAGAGAGAGCATTAGGTCAAATAGCTAATGCATGCGGGGCTTAAAACCTAGATGATGGGTTGACAGGTGCAGCAAACCATCATGGCACACGTCTACCTATGTAACACGTTCTGCACTTGTATCTACACGTTCTGCACTTGTATCCCAGAACTTAAAGTAAAATTTAAAAAAAAAAGAAAAAAAAAAGAAACTCCTGGAAGTTTCGTGGTCTTTATATGCATATGAGCCTCCTATTTATTTTTCCTTCATTCTGATTGAAGTGCAGGTGGTGTGGTATGTGCTTGAGGGTAAGCTCAGGAAGGAGGAAAATCTGGATTCAAATCTTGGCTCATGACACACTGCGGTGTGACCTGGAGTGAGTTACTTAAATCTCAATGCATCATTAGCCTGGGGCAGGCTCCTGATTCTCTCCATGCTCCGCGCATGTTCATGTGAAAATAAAAGTGAATAGTACTGACTATATTCAATATAATGGCTTTCTAGGATTTTACTTGCTTTAGAAAGTCCCCCGGACTGGGTGGAACTTGAGTTACAGTTTGATTGTTGGGAGCATGGCTCTGGGATTAGGCTGCCTGTGCTTTATCCATGCTGTGGATTCTTCCACTTCCCAGTGTGACCTTGGACAAACCACTTAAAAAGAATTATTCTTATATCTATTTTTTAGACAGGGCATTGCTTTGTCACCCATGCTGGAGTGCAGTGGTCTGATCACGGTTTACTGCAGCCTCGATCTCCCCAGTTCAAGCGATCTCTTCTGCCTCAACCTTCTGAGTAGCTGGGACTACAGGTGCTTGCCACCATGCTCGGCTAATTAAAAAAAGGTTTTTTGTAGAGAAGAGGTCTCTCCATGTTGCCCAGCCTGGTCTCAGACTCCTGGGTTCAAATCTTTTTGCCTCGGCTGCCCAAAGTGCTGAGATTACAGGCATGAGCCAGTGGTCCCAGCCATAGAATTAATTTAATTTAATTTTTAAAAATTATTATTTTTTGAGTTGGAGTTCCACTCTGTTGCCCAGGCTGCAGTGCAGTGGTGCAATCTCAGATTAATTCAACCTCCGCCTCCTGGGTTCAAGCGATTCTCCTGCCTCAGCCTCCCAAGTAGCTGGGATTATAGGTGCCCGCCACCAAGCCTGGCTAATTTTTGTATTTTTAGTAGAGATGGGGTTTCACCATGTTGGCCAGGCTGGTCTCAAACTCCTGATCTTAGGTGATCCACCCACCTTGGCCTCCCAAAGTGCTGGGATATAATTTGTACATAAACAAGTTAATAATTGACCTTTGATCTTCTAATCCCATTCCTTGAGAAAACCAATGTTGTATGTTTTTTCATACCTTTCTCTATGTTCAAAAATGAGTATATGAAACAAACACATCTACATTTTATTCTTAAAACTAAGAAACAAACAAGAAATAGGATTATGTTGTATTCATTGGTCTACAACTTGCTTTCTCTCAAGCTTAACAGAACACCGTGGCCATTCTACAGTCCAAGCTAGTGAGTCTAACATTTGTTATTATTATTATTTTTTAGTAGCAAAAGCATCCACTATATTGATGTATCATAGTTTACTTAACAGCCCTTCACTTAGAGCACATTTAGGGTTGTTTCCAATGTGTGTGTGTGTGTGTGTGTGTGTGTGTGCAAGTGCACATTCTTTCTGACGGTGCTGCCATGAACATCTTTATTCATAATATTAATAGTAGGTCTTCCCTATTGCTCTCCAAGACTCTGCCTCAGTTATCATGGGAGTCCTATGGAGCTAGGGGCAGGCAGTTAACCTTCTTCCCATTTGTGAAATGTTGTAGTGGGTCATATGAAGAGCTGGGCTTTAGTCCAGCTTTGCCACTAACCAACTTGTTGTGTATGTAACTTTGGGCAAATCCCTTCCTCTGTGTGGGTCTCTGTCTTTCTATCTGTCAATGGGAGAATTGGACTGGGTGATCCCAAAGGGTCTTTCCATTTCTACGATCTTCATGGGACTGCAAGTTCCATGAGAAGAGTTCTATTATTTTGTTCAATGCTGTTTCCTGAATATGAATCACATAGTAGACCCTTAATGAATATTTGTTGAACAAACGCATGAATGAATTCTTTGTCTCGTTTAAGGTCATGTAGCTCGGTCACAGCAGATCTGTGTGAGCTCCTGTTTTTTCCCTCTCTATCACACTGCCTCCCACCTCTTAAATATCTTTGCTCTTGACATTTGCATCTCATAACCACATGGTCTTTTTTGCTCATCTACTGATACTCATGTGATGTGTGATTCACTGTCAATGTGTCTTTTACGTATTAGGCCAGGACTCTAATCATAGCGCCACCATTTACTACGTGTCTGGCCTTGAGCAAGTTGCCTGACACTGTTTCTTCCTCTATAAATAGGAATGGAAGTTCAGTACTTATCATGCACATGTGCTTTGAGGTAAATTATCTAAGAGAATAGATGTGAACTGCCCAGCAAAGTGCCTGGTGGATAGTGGGTGCTCAGTAAATAGTTGCAGCTGTGGTTGAGCAGGCATAGCACAAATGATGGGCAATTTGACAAGTGCATATTGGTATCTGTCAGATGTGAGACACTGTCGGAAGTCTTGGGGTGATTGAAAGCTGTGTGATTGAGAATGATGGTTTCCAGCTTCATCCATGTCCCCACAAAGGACATGAACTCATCATTTTTATGGCTGCATAGTATTCCATGGTGTATATGTGCCACATTTTCTTAATCCAGGCTATCATTGTTGGACATTTGGGTTGGTTCCAAGTCTTTGCTATTGTGAATATCGCAAGGACAAAGAACCAAACACCGCATGTTCTCACTCATAGGTGGGAACTGAACAATGAGAACACTTGGACACAGGAAGGGGAACATCACACACTGGGGCCTGTTGTGGGGTGGGAGGAGGGGAGAGGGATAGGATTAGGAGATATACCTAATGTAAATGATGAGTTAATGGGTGCAGCACACCAACATGGCACATGTATACATATGTAACAAACCTGCACATTGTGCACATGTACCCTAGAACTTAAAGTATAATAAAATATATATATATATATATATATAGAAAGCTGTGTGATTAATGTGCCCCATCCTTCTGGTAGCTCATCACAAAGTTCCAGAAACATTTATTTTGTAGTGGAGTTTCATCAAAATAGGTAAGTATATTGCTGCAAATCATATTTCTTGCCTTCCCCTCCTGGGTAGTTACTGGATTAAAATACACACACACACACAAACACACACACACACTCCACAGAGTTTTATGCATTTGACTTAGTTTCTATGTTTTTCTTATTTCAGATGCCTGGACCATTTTCCATGCCATGTGGTTGGTTTTGGAGGGTACCTTAGAAATTGGGGTGGGGGTTTGAAATAGTTGAAGTAGGAAACAGTGAGGGCAGCTGAAGCTTTATTTGCTTCCATTTTCTTCAGAGAAAATCAAAGGGAGTGTGAGACTCAAGGCTTCATAAAATTCTATTGACTCAGAGAATGCCTGGAATGTAGTCAGTGTCCAGAGAAAGAAATGCAAAGGATTATTCGTCTGAGACAAGTGTATCAATTAGGGATTCTTATGTGCAAATTACAAAAGACCAAACTTAATTGGCTTAAATAGCAGATTATTGTTTTATATAGCTGAGATGTTTAGCAGGAGATTTGACCTCAGGTAAGGCCAGAATTAGGGACTCCGGTGATATCAACAAGAGCTTTCTTTAGTATTGGCTTTATTTTCAACTCTTATCTGGAGCCCTCTGGCAGCTCCAGACTCCCCCTTATGGTAGCCAAAAGGCTATGGTAGCTGCAGGCTATATATTCTTCTTTTTTAAAAAAATTATTTATTTAGAGACAAGGTCTTGCTATGTTGCCCATGAAGGACTCAAACCCCTGGGCTCAGGCAACCCTCCTGCCTCAGCCCACGAGATGCTCAGATTACAGGCTTAATCCTGGCGAGGCCCCATCTTCATATTCAACACTATCCAGGGGAAGAGAGAGGGTTTCTTCTGGAGACTCTTCACAAACCTCTGATTGTTTCTGTCTTATTGGCCTGAATTGGGTCTTGGGTCCTTTTCTGAAACAATCATCACTGTTTGGAAGAATGGTTTAAGCCAGTGGTCCTTAACCTTTTTGGCAGAAGGGACTAGTTTTGTGGAAGACAATTTTCCCATGGACCAGGGCAGGGGGATGGTTTCTGGGTGATTCAAGTGCATTACATTTATTGTGTACTTTATTTCTATTATTATTACATTGTAATATATAGTGAAATAATTATGCATCTCACCATAATGTAGAATCAGTGGGAGCCCTGAGCTTGTTTTCCTGCAACTAGACCGTCCCATCTGGGGGTGATGGAAGACAATGACAGATCATCAGGCATTAGATTCTCATAAGGAGGGTGCAACCTAGATCTCCTGCATGTGCAGTTCACAATAGGGTTCGCGCTTCTATGAGAATCTAATGCAGCTGCTGATCTGACAGGAGGTGGTACTCAGGCGGTAATAGGAGCAATGGGGAGCGGTTGTAAATACAGGTAAAACTTGGCTCATTTGCTCTCTGCTCACTTCCTCCTGTGCGACCTGGTTCCTAACAGGCTATAGACCCATACTGGTCTGTGGCCTAGGGGTTGAATCTGGAAAAGTATTAGGAAGGGAAATGGATGCTAGACAGCCAGTACATAATAACTGTCCACCAGAATAATCAACTGTTTATTTATGGACTACCTCCTACACGTCAGAATGGCTCTAAACATTTTACATGCAGCAACTCTTTTAATCCTAATAAAAGCCCTGTGAGGTACGAATATTTTTTTCTTTTTTCTTTTTCTTTTTTTCTTTTTTTTTTTTGTGATGGAGTCTTACTCTGTCGCCCAGGCTGGAGTGCAGTGATGTGATCTTGGCTCACTACAACCTCTGCCTCCTGGGTTCAAGTGATTCTCCTGCCTCAAACTCCCGAGTAGCTGGGATTACAGGCATCTGTCACCATGCCCAGCTAATTTTTGTATTTTTAGTAGAGATGGGGTTTCACCATGTTGGCCAGGCTAGTCTTGAACTTCTGACCTCAAGTGATCCAACCTCCTTGGCCTCCCAAAGTGCTGGGATTACAGGCATGAGCCACTGTCCCCAGCCTCCAATATTTTTTCTGTCCCCAGGTTGAGGCGACAGAGGCAGACAGAGACCAAGTAGGTGGCTCATTTGGCAAGCAGAAGTGAAGGGATGGCAGCCAAGCAGTCTGCATCCTCCAACCCTCTGGTCACAACACTGTGCCATGGTTTTTACCAGACTCAGGCTGGGAACCACAAGAAGTTCTGCTCTACGTAATCATTTCCCTAATACTATTTGCTGTAAACTGTATTTTCCCTTGAGATGCTTTTGAAAGAAGATGATGTTCCCATATTGCCCTAGATCATTCTACTTGGTTGAAAACTTTTGGGTAGTTTTTTTAATACTTTCATGCTTTTAGAATGCATGAGAAAGACAACCACTGTTTGCCTCAAATTACCCTTAAATGGCACTTATCTCTGCTCTATAAATATTTACTATCTGTTGGTGCATTGGATCTATGTTTCTAGTCTTTTGTCTGTAATGTTTTACTAGCAGCATGGCTAGTGTTGTTTTTCTTCACCCAGAGGTTTTGAAGAGGCAGAGTTTGTAGAGGGGGAAGCAGGTTGGGGGGAAGATGTCTATGAATCCCTGCTTTCTGATCTCCTTTCCTTCCCTTATATTTCCTCCTGCCTCTCTCTCTTCCTTTATCTATCTTTCAAACTAACAAATTCCCCCTTTTTATAAAAGTCTAATATGGTTAATTTTTTTTTTTTTTTGAGATGGAGTCTTGCTCTGTTGCCCAGGCTGGGGTGCCGTGGCACGATCTTGGCTCACTACAACCTCTGCCTCCTGGGTTCAAGTGATTCTCCTGCCTCAACCTCCCAAGTAGCTGGGATTACAGGCATGTGCCACCATGCCCAGCTAATTTTTGCATTTTTAGTAGAGACGTGGTTTTGCCATGTTGGCCAGGCTGGTCTTGAACTCCTGACTGAGTGATCTGCCCGCCTCGGCCTTCTAAAGTGCTGGGATTACAGGTGTGAGCCACTGCGGCTGGCTTTAATTTTTTTTTTTTTTTTTTTTTTTTTTTTTAATGTAGAAAGCACAGATGAGAAAAGGTAAGAAAGATCTCACATAGTCCCATCTTCCTCTTATCTTTTTGGTGTGCTGTTTTGCTTTTTGCACAGATACTAGATGACAACAACAAGCATTTCATAGCATTATTTTCCCTTTCAAAAGACAGCTAGAAGGTTTAAAAAAGTTAAGTATTCTTTAGCATCGTCATTTAAAATAGAGTAAATGTGCTTACGTTGCAGATGTGCCATAATTTAACCAATTCCCAGTTTGGGACAATTAAATTTGTTGCTAATATTTTGATGTTAAAACAGCTTTACTCATGAACATTTTTTGGCTAAATCCTTGCCCACGTTATCGGTGACTTCCTTAGTTTGCTGGGCAAGGATGTGTTCCCTTTGGTAAGTCATGCCTGCCTTTCCTCTGTTCACCTTCCAGGTATGGCAGTCTGCAATGTTAGTATGCACAGAAACTCATGGTGCCCTTGTGTGCCATCATCAGTACTCCAGCCCCTGTGGACTTCTGAAGGAGAGGATGCTGTGCTTCTCTTATAGGCCCAGTTCCTTTGTTTCCACATCTAGCTATGCAGAGATTTCCCATTTACACATTTTCAGTTTCAGGAGCAGAGTCTCAGGATGCAGGAACACAGCTGGTATCATTATTGTTTTTCTGCATATTGATAGTGGCAGCGTAATGTGATCCTTTTCCCTTGCGCAATGCTTTAGATAGCGCTCTGGATGTCCAGCTTGGGAAAAGGCCACATGAGACACACAACAAAGATATTTAGTAGGTGATCTCTTTGCTCTGTCATTTCCTGGGGCTGCTATGAATCATGTATTATGTTTGGCACTTTACTGGCTTTTAAAATAAATGTAATCTTTAATGCAACCTGTCAGGTATTTGTTACTTCTGATTTTATTAAAGAATGGCTTAGAGAATTCAAGTTAGTTTTTCTCAGCAAGAGTCTAAAGCCCAGCTTTTCGACGATTTCTTGTTGCCTTTACAGGTATTTAAACTGGTCAGAGAGATAAGTTCTGCACAAATGAAAATTCAAAAACATGGTATAAGGTATCTCTGCCAGACAGGCTTGTGCTCTGATGAAAGGAGGGAGAAAGTGTGGGCTGTGGCAGGCAGGAGGGTGTCTAATGATTATTATGCTTGATATGCAGCACCTTCGTGGGCCAAAGGGCATTTGGTTACATGAGAGTTTTCTTTGGATATAGGAAGTCCAGCAGGTTCACTTGAACCTGCAGGGACAAGGGAGAGCTGCATCCCGAGTCTGAGCCCCATCTAAACTGCAAGCCAGCTGATCAAGTACCAGCTCTAATCCTTACCCCAACAGCGGCTGTCTATTTGGGGAATTTCCTGAGTTTAAGAACCCCAAGCATCTGAGCTACCGAGTGGGCTGGAAACACAAACGTTGTCGTGACACTTGGGGGTATTTTTTTTATAATTGTATATGTCACAATTTCCTACTACCAGATCAAAGAGTCTGAGGGCCAAAGAATTCAGGTGGAGACTTCCCCACAGTACTCAGGGCATACCTGAGGGTCATCTTTCCAGTCTATATTTTTGTACTTTTGAGCCCACACTGTGACATTTAAGGTGAACAACAGCGAGATTCTCAAGTCCCCTGTATGTGCAACGTAAAACATGGAGCAAAAGCATCCCTTACACATGGGACCAGGTAAAACATAAGGGACTCTAGACACTGTGTGTCTGTGCTTTTCCAGGGCTCATGAAAAAAAAGTGGCTCCAAAATTCAAAAGGAAAACACAAAATTAAAGTGAGTAAATGTTTAATTTAATGGTTCCTCAAGATAACATCATAACACTGAATTGATTTATCAGCTTTAGCTCATATATCAACATCACCACGGAATTATGCAAATTGAGGACATGGTTCTGATATACGCATGTCTCAGTTAACACAGTACAGTAATCCCTTGGTATCCAAGGAGGATTGTTGCAGGACCCTCTCATGGATACCAAAGTTTATGGATGCTCGAGTCCCTTATATAAATGGTGTAGTACTGTGCTGTGCAGAATTGAGGACAGCCTATATGGGTGCATTTTGAAATATCTAATTCAATGGTGGAGACGGGGAGGGAGTGAGGTATTCAAAAGGAAGAGTGATGCTGCTTGGAATTAAAGTAAAAACAATGCAGGCCTCAAAAAGTCTTCATAACAACAATGAAGATTGCTTCCTGAGAGTAGACAACAGCTCCAACCCAGTAATTCAGTTAACTTTTGCATTTATGAGTACCTATGAGAAATGTAGCATAACACTTAGTTGGACTGGGACTCCAAACCAGATAAGACAGTGCTCTTGTCAGCAAAGAAGATTCACATTCCTTCCACACAATTCCTCTCTTTCCAGCATCTTTTTTTTTTTGAGATGGAGTCTCGCTGTGGTCACCCAGGCTGGAGTACAGTGGTGCTGTCTCGGCTCACTGCAACCTCCCCCTCCCAGGTTCAAGCGATTCTCCTGCCTCAGCCTCCTGAGTAGCTGGGATTACAGGCACCCACCACCACACCCGGCTAATTTTTATAATTTTAGTAGAGACGAGATTTCACCATATTGGCCAGGCTGGTCTCAAACTCCTGACCTCAGGTGATCCGCCTGCCTCGGCCTCCCAAAGTGCTGGGATTACAGGCGTGAGCCACCGTGCCAGGGCTTCTTTACTGACTTTTAACTCTAGGAATTTATTTAATTTCTGTGAGTGTCTGTCTTCTGGATTTTTGTCTGTGAAATAGAGACGAATACCCATCTTATCAGCATTAAGTGAGATAATGGTGGTAAAGTGCATAGCACTTTCCCTGGCATGTAATATAAGTTATATAAATGATGTTTAAGCTCTCCTCCACCCTACCCCCCAACAAAATGAAACAAAAATGACACGTATTTTGGTTGTAAAAGGATGAGGCTGAATTCATATATCATCCCTGAAAACCTGCCTCAAGATTTTAGAGTTTATTCCTCCCGAGGCAAAAGGCAGCAGATGGAGGTGCTTGCAGCTGATAGCATATAGCTACTTAAATTCTGGCTCCAAGCATCCACTTTCCTGTTTCTGGAAAACTATACTAATGACCCCCAGGTGTCACAAAGGAGCCCTTAGGAATGCCGAAGTCGAGTTAACTGACTGGAACGGGATAATGTACTTGTTAGCAGAAACCAGCAAGGGTTGAGTTCCTTCTGTTTATTCCATTTGAGTCTAGCCCCCAGTTCATGGATCCAAATAATTTTGGATTTCTTTAAACAGAATTGTCGCTAACTGAATTAGGCAGCTTTTAACCTTTTATAAAAACTTCACAAATAGGTTGCTTACTCCTTAATACAACATGGGATGTGTTAAGAGTGCCCTTAACTCTTCTGGTCACCCTTATGCTTCCTCCCTTCCATCAACCCACCCGGTTTCAGCAGATGCTGGAGTGCTTGAAGGTATGCCCAGAGCCCACTCAGATACCTGGGTCCACCCCAAACCCCCAAGGAACTCCCTTCCAATGGGAGAGAATCTCACACAAGGAAATAGTTTTGATGTGGACCCCTTGAGAGGCAGAGTAATGCAGTGTACCAGGTTCAGAGATTTGGGGACAGGAAACCTCAATTCAAATCCTGGCTCTGATATTTTCTAGCTATGTGAACTCTGGCAAGTTTCGACTCTCTTGGAACCTCGGTTTCCTCATTTCTAATCTAAGAATAGTATCTGCTTTTTAGGGTTCTTAGGAGTATTAAATAAGAACATGTTTTTATGAACAGTGTCTGGTGTATAACAATTGCTCAATAAATATTTGCTTTTAAAAACGTTATCTATAGTAGACGTTCAAACAAACCTTTTGGGAGCTCAGCAAGATAAGCAACAAAAACCTTCAGGGGAGGTCAGGAAAGTGACTACATCTGCCTGGAAGCAAAATCCTTTGAGCTGGTCTTTTTCGGTCCATGAGCACGTGACCAAGGAAAGGAAGCTATATTTTCTCGACTGGGAATTTGAATTTGCAGTTGCACATTCCAAAGGCCTTGTACGTTCTTTCCAGTTTGGGAAAAGGAGCAGCTAAGGGCACCCATGGAAACACTTACTAATTGTGTGACCTTAGGCAAGTCCCCCTAACCTCACCAAAGATAAAATTCCCTTATGAGTAAAAGGGGATCACAAAATGGAGATAATAATTCGGGCTACCTGCTATGGATGATTGCTGTGGGATTAGGGAAGATGATGCACGTGATACATTTAGCAGAGTGCCTGGTGCCTAGTAGGTGCCCATTAAAATTTAGCTATGACTGTTCTCTTTAGCTGACACACAAGACTGCCTTGAATGTTCACATTTCCAGAGAAAGGTGCTCAGGAAGATTTCTCAGTGTTCCGCCTGCCAGGTCAGTTTACAGTTCAAAGAATCCCTTTGTTCAAAGGGTGAGCAAATCCAGGCCTCGTGTATCTGCAGCAATGAAACAAGGGAGCTTTCTGCCTGATCTTCTCCCCAAAGGCAGTCTCTCTTTTTAAATGCCTGCACACATGTTATTTATTTATTTTTGGTTAACGTTTAAATTGAGGTTTTGGCTGAAACTCAGCCTGCGCGCACTTGAAAAGCCAACAGGCTCATTGGGCAGCCGATAAAGCTCTCGGGATTTCCCCGCGGGGCTGCGGAGAGTACAGACAGGAAGCCTGGGGACCCAGCGCCTGACCAGAACTTCCTCGGGGGAGGCTGCAGGGGAGCAGGCGCATCCTGCACAGAACGCTCTAGAGCGCGCAGGCCAAAGCACCAGGCTGCTCCTGACACGTGCTGCAAGAGGGTCCCCGACCCGGGGGTCCAGACCCTGCACGCATGATGGGGAAGGTGGAGGCTTCCCCCTCAGCTCCGCGGAGAGAAGCTGACACTGCCAGGCTGGAACCTTCCATTCCGGCCCAGCCTCTTCCTCCCTCGCTGTGCCGAGGAGGGATCTAGAAGGGACTTTCCAGAGAGGGTTAGCGTGCAGGGTGTGGAAATGGAATAAAAGCATATGCAAATAGGCCTTAGCTGCCTTCCTCTACCCCAGCAAATAAGAGTCTCTCCAGAAAGATGCTCTTTCTCCAAGACGCTTGACCGCTCTTCCTTTCCTGGATGGCACCAGCAGGGCCGATTGGAGTGGTAAACCCTGGGCCGGAAGGCATGCCAAAGGGTGGACAGGATGGACAGGAGACAGTAGCACAACGAGGAGGGGGAGAACAGCGGCTGAATTGGAAATGATAAAATAAAATGAAATTTTAGGAGCTCGCTGTGAGTATGAGCTGGGAAAAAATAATCATTGCAAGCTGATTTATTATGTACTTATCTTCTGTTTGAGAGGCAGCAGGCTTTTGTACAGTGGATTATTGCAGAGTAAATGGCACATTAAAGATATAATCAAGATGTTTAAGGCATATTGAAATGACATTAGAATCAAGTAGGTGAGACTTTTGTCATGGTCTAGAAATATAAAAATGTCAGTGACTTGGAGATATTTCCAGTGCTTTAGTAAAGATGTGGCTCCATTTTCAAAAGGGACATATTTTTAACCTTTTGTTATTTTCAGGGTGGGGGGGGATAGAGTGGGGTCAGGAAGTGGTTTAGAATCTCTATGGATGATAAAATAATATGCTTTAAACCTGGAGTTGTAGACTGTGGTCTCTATTTAGCAAGTCATAAACTTTCTTGCAGTGACAATAGCATGAAAATATTGGACAGTAAATATGGTGCTCTTAGGAGGTTTCAGGGTTGGAAGACTATGGCTATTACTTTTTGTTTATTGTGTTCCTATTCTCAATTTCAATCTTGTCTTTGGATAGTAAGAATTTTTTTTAAATTTTCTATTTTTTTAAAAAGAATCTTTTACATACTGAACCTGACTTGTATACTAATTGGCAAACAGTGTCACTTTTCTTTCTTGATGCCTCAATGGGTTTAATTATTGTATTACGGTATTTTCTTGTCATTTGAGACCTTCACATTCAGTGTCCTTTCTTTCTTTTTTTTCTTTTTCTTTTTGAGATGGAGTCTTGCTCCCGGCCTGTCGCCCGGGCTGGAGGGCAGTGGTAAGATCTCGGCTCACTGCAACCTCCGCCTCCTGGGTCCAAGCAATTCTTGTGCCTCAGCCTCGAGAGTAGCTGGGATTACAGATGCGCGCCACAATGCCTGGCTAATTTTTGTATTTTTAGTAGAGACAGGGTTTCGCCACGTTGGCCAGGCTGGTCTTGAACTCCTGACCTCAGGTGATCCGCCCGCTTCGGCCTCCCAAAGTGCAGTGTCCTTTATTTTATTTGTGTGCCCTGGTTCTGCTTTGATTTTGCCCCAAACCCTTCTGAGTGTAGCGCTTTACTGACACTTTATCCCCGTTATTAACAATGGGTTTTTGGACAGAACTGGCTTCTCTTTATTTGTTGTTTTTAAAATCATACTGCTGTCCTTATGCATGGTACTCCTTGGAACAGATAAGCAGCCATACAAGAAGCTCTTTGAGAGAGAGAAGGTGGACTCTGGGGGTCGTGCCGGTTGTTTGGAGTTGTTGGACTGTTAGCTTGTGGAGTGGGTGATGTTTCATCTTCAGGATTCTGTGAGGCCAGGCCTGGGATGCGGGGAGGAGCTGACTGGATGGCTCCTGGTGATGCATTCCTGGGCCCTCTTCTCATCTCTGAATTCCTAGAGTCCCACTTTCTCCAAAGGCCCTGCGGGAATCAGACGCATGCACTTCTTCAGTTCTGTGTAGTTTTAGGTTCTCAGTGGAGGCCTTTGGGCTCAACTTGTAGTAAATATTTGTTTTCTGTGGCTGTCAGCAATCTATAGTCTTGGGTGTGGTCCCTAAAAGCCAGCTTTTGGGCAATTTTTGAACTGCAATGGGGATTCCTCCTTCTGGTTGTTCTACAATCTGGCAAACATTTCTTATTTTGTTCTGGGCTTTAGTCTTATTTAATAACAAGAGAAAATCTTCTATTTTTAACAATAACATGAATTATTTTTATGACTTACACTTTGTAAAGCATTTTTGTCATTTCATGTAATTCTTTCATAAAATTTGTAAGGTTGGTAGAAACAGTAGAATTAGCACATAATGGGAACTTATTAAATATTTGTTAAATGAATGAATTAAATCCATTTGACTGCTAAGGAAATTGAAACTCAAAGAGATCAAGTGATTGATTTAAGGCTCCACTTTCCAGTAGGGACTCACATCTGATTTTTCCCATTCCAGACTGACTCTGATATAATATCTTACATACTATTTGTTACTCTTTCTCCAAGATCTTAGAAAGGTCTTTTGATTCTCTAAGAAAAGATAATAGGACAATGCAAATGCATGGATACACCATCAAAGGGGTGGCTGAGGGCTGTCTACCTCTTTGTATAGTTCTTTCCTAGGTTCCTGACTCCGCTAAAAACTCATATCCTTAAAGATATGACTATTTAGATACATTCCTTGTTGGAGATAAGAACACAAGTTCATTGCTGAATCATGGTGTATATATACAAAAAAAAGAGTGCACAAGTTCATGCTGAGAAAAATGACTATCTTGAATTTTTAATATTTTTTGGAAGTTTGAGCATAAAACTCTGCACATCTCAGGGGAAGTTAATTTCAGAGTTTTGGATGCGGAGCTGAGTATTTTCTCTAGCTTTGTCTCTTGGGGTACTGGAGGGAGTCATGCACTGCCTCCATTTTGGGGTAATCTTGGTGTGTAGCAATCAGCACTCATCTGGCCTACAGTCGTCATTATCAGCTGCCCCCACTGCTGGAGGAAATGTCACCCATATCAGTTCAGACATTAAAATAGTAAGAAAAGAGCCAGTTGTTCTAGCCAAACCCAGAATTAGGCTTAAGGTCGCCACTATGTACCAATAACATCCATCAGCTCGCCAGAGACTTCCTTCAACCGGGGACACCAGGAACAGAGAGAAGGAAGAAAAATTTCCCTGTTAAATCTAAAGCAAATTAGAGAGGGATGCCAAATGGGTGTTCCCCACAAGGGCCTTTCCCTTTGACTTCTGTAACTCGAGATTCAAAGTTTTGGCTCTGGATTATCTCCCAGAAGAAAGCTGCAAAAACAACTGTGGTTACTTCTTTACTAAACTGATCCTCTTTGCTGCTCCAGTGTGCAATTATATTGCCACACAGATAGTCTCAAACCTGTCAGTCTTTTTTGCAATTGTTTTTGTGTCTCATTGAGAAAGGACTTCCTCAAGTGAAGATTGTAAAGATTTATTTTTATATTTATCTTTGAAACTTCTATAGTTTTTATTGCCATCACATTGTTCATTTGCATTTAGTTCTGTCATCCATCTGAAGTATATTTTTGTGTATGATATAAGACAGATCTGATGTTAATGTTTTCCTCTTTAGGTACTAGTTTTTCCTCTACTTTTTTTAAAAACTAAAATTTTAGCATTAGGATCGTTTTAGACTTATAGAAGCATTGCATAGACAGCACAGAGAGTTCTCGTACACTCCGCTCTTCTGCTTTTTGATTTCTTCCTCTGCTTTGAAAGGACATTTTTACCTGGTCCTAAATTACAGCATGTACACAGATATCTTTCTAGAATCTCATTTTTATTCTATTGGTGATTTGCTATTTCTGCTCCAATGTCACATGTTTAATTATTATTTCTAGAGATTTCATAGCTTTTGCTAGGAAACCTGAGATCTCACAGGGCTTTTAAGAAGTCAAATTCAGCCTTCAGGCAAGTGAAATAATATCAACCCTGTAAGTTGTTGCTGCTGAGGTAACCTGCCAGGAAGTAACACAGCTGCTACACAGGGAAGGGAGATGATCACTGGTCACCCGCCCTTTTCTCTGGGCACAAGTCTTGGACACAATAGCAAGGACCAGGCTTTGGAGCAGAGTTTCTTCACCTTAGCGCTAGTAACATTTTAGGACTGAAAGTTCTTTACTATTGGGGGGTGCTGACCTGTGCATTGTAAGGTGTTTATCTGCATCTCTGGCCTCAACCCACTAGATGCCCCCCAACTCATGACACCTTGAAATGACAACCAACTCATGGCAATCAAAAATATTTTCGGACACTGCAAATATTCCTAGGAAGGTTAAGCCTCCCCTTCCACTCCCCCTGCCCCTCCAGTTGAGAACCACTGCTCTGGAGCCAGCCTGAGTGTTAATCTTGGCTCTACTGTTTAGTAACTGTGTGCCTTCACTTTGTCAATGAAAAACAGCCAAATTCTGTAAAGTATTTGAAGACATTTATTCTGAGCCAAATTTGAGTGACCATGGCCCATGACACAGCCCTCAGGAGGTCCTGAGAACATGGGCCCAAGGTGGCCCAGGTGCATATTGATTTCATACATTTTAGAGAGGCATGAGACATCAATCAAATACATTTAAAAAATACATTAGTTTGGTCCAGAAAGGTGGGATAACTCAGAGCAGGGGCTTCCAGGCTATAGGTAAATGTAAACATTTTCTGGTTGACGGTTGAGTTTGTCTAAAGACCTGCGATCAACAGAAAGTAATGGCTGGGTTAAGATGAAGGATTGTGGAACCCAAGTTCTTATTTGCAGAGGAAGCCTTTAAGTACTAGGCTTTACAGAGAATAGGTTGTAAAATTTTCTCTTTTCTCCTCTCCCTCTCCCTCTCCCTCTTCCCCTCCCCCTCGCCCTCCCTCTCCCTCTCCCTCTCCTCTCTTTAAGACAGAGTCTCGCTCTGCTGCCCAGGCTGGAATGCAGTGGCACAACCTCGGCTCACTGCAACCTCCACCTCCCAGGTTTAAGCAATTCTCCTGCCTCAGCCTCCCGAGTAGCTGGGACACCACCGAGTAGCTGGCGGGCACCACCATGCATGGCTCATTATTGTATTTTTAGTAGAGACAGAGTTTCACCATGTTGGCCAGGCTGGTCTCGAAATCCTGACCTTAGATGATCTGCCCACCTCAGCCTCCAAAAGTGCTGGGATTACAGGCATGAGCCATGGTGTCTGGCCCATAAGATATTTCTTATCAGACTTATAGTCAGTGTTGATGTTAATGCCGGAGAGGTATAATGAGGCATGTTCGAACCCCACTTCCCATCATGGCCCGAAATAATCTCTCAGGTTACATTTTAAAAGAGCCTTAGCTGAGGAGGAAGTCCATTCAGATGGTTGGGGTGGGGGGTGCTTCAAATTTTGTTTTTGGTTTACAATTTCCTCCTGTGTAAAATGCTAACGATAATATTGCCTATCTCCTGGCATGGTCACAAAGGCCAAATGAGCTAATTAATCACAGGAAATGCTCAGAACAGACTCTGGTAGGAAAGACCTGAGCTCAATGTTAACCATTACATTATTAAAAAAAATCCTTTACATTTGGTCTCACTCCTGATTATCCCATAGACTTCCCGTTTTTCCTACACCTCCATATCTTCTCCGCCGTGGAGCAAAATGTTTAAATCACAACAATATGCACCAAAACATTACAAGTCTATGTTAATGAAATGGAACTCTATTTTCAGGGCCCTGTAACTGCTAATTAATCAACTCCCATGATAAAGTCATCTGAGCTGTGTGTGAATTTTATTTGCAGCTGCAGAACAGCAATTCGTTAGTTAACAGGCCTTTAATTGACAATCCAGCTCTTTGGAGCAGGAGAAAGGCCCAGAAATGATTTTCTGAGCAAGATGGTAATGACAGTGGGGAAGATAAAAATCTGGATAAGGAGAAGACTGAGGATTTACTTGACTCATTAACTTGATGGCTTTGGGAATGCCGTGTTCATTTACCGTTAAAACACACCATCATCTTGCAATTCAAAGGGGGATGAATGAAGACTCGTCTTCTAGCAATTCATGTTACTTAGTCACCCAGAAATTTTTTTTTATTTTGCTTTTTGTAGCAGCAGATATTGTAAAACCATTACGTTTGTTATTAACCTTGCCTGAGAGCCTTTCTCCCGGGGATGATTATTGCTATGCGTTAAGAGCTGGTTGAGGATGGCAGGTGTGGGTTGTCTCTGCCTTTGTCCTAAAGGCTCAATTCCTTCTTCTAGTGAAACCAGGACTTGGTTTGATGAAGAGAAGGAAGTGCCTTGGACTGAGCATTGGGGACTGTAGTCAGGCTCATTGGTTTGATGGCCTTGGTGATGCTCACTTAATGCACTTAGTCAATACAGCAGAGTGGTTGGAAGCCTGGGTTCTGGAGGCAGCATGATTAAGTTGAAAACCTAGTTTCTTAACTTGCCAGCTGTGTGGCCTTTCTGAACCTTCAGAAAGGCTGCTGAATCTTCAGAAAGGCCTTTCTGAACCTTCAGAAAGGCTGCTGAATCTTCAGAAAGGCCTTTCTGAACCTTCAGAAAGGCTGCTGAATCTTCAGAAAGGCCTTTCTGAACCTTCAGAAAGGCTGCTGAACCTTTCTGAGCCTAATTTTTTTCATTTATAAAATGATGTTGATCATAGTACCTACCTCACAGTTTTGTTAGGAATTTTTAGTGAAAGAATTCATTTAGCCTCACTCCTAATAAGCATTTAATACATCTTAACTACAAAGATAACTGTTATTATTCATTTGCGAGCTTTCCATGAGCCAGGCATTGTAAGGATAGGGCACACATTCAGGTCAAATAAGACATTTTGGGCTTCCGAAGAGTTTATTCCCTGGAGATTGGAAGGAGAGAATTGTTTCCACAGAGGTAAGCATCTAAGGCTGTGGACGTGGGGAGGGAACTGGAGAAGCTCTTTGGGAGGTGGTGACCTTTATGGAGGGACTTGTGCCCAGAGACTGGTACCTGAGTAACTACAAAGGGAATGGACCCCAGATATAGGCAGAGCCCATACATATAGAGACAGAAAGTCAAGACCATAGAAACAGGGGTGAAACTTAGAATATTCTCCCCATCCCCAAATAGAAAACAGTTAAATGTATAGGCTGGAAGACCAGAGAGAAATGTATTGCCTGTTTCTGCTTAGTGAATCTAGCCATCAGTTTCTGCGACTTTAAGCATGTTTTATGCCAGGCGTCTGATTCCCAGCTGACTGGGCCCCAGAGCCTAGAGGTGCCCAGGACAAGGTGTATGGGTTGCAATTATTTGTTTGGCTGTTTGTGTTTAGTAACGTTTCTTTTCACCTTGCAGGAAGTCACCTCATGGTTATAAGGGGAATTTTTTTTACAGAAAGGGCTAGCAAAGTTCAGTACTGGAGGATCACCTTACAGCTTCTTCTTGGTAAACATTTGTTGGCCCAAAAATGTTTCCATGCTAGCTCCAGCTTTCCTCCTAAGGCGGTGCGGAGATCTAAATGAGATAATTATGCAGACTATTTGAAAATTTTTTTAAAAAATAAAGTGCTACGTTAGGTACTACCTAATTTTTTTTTATAGCTAGCATATAAAGGAATTTGGATGTATCTCCTTTACACCTTTTGAGAATGAACTGAAAGACCAGGATTAATTTAGCTTTGAAAGGATATCGAATTTATAAAGTTATACTAGGTAAGTCTCTCTTAAAAGCCACGCATATTGAAAACCCATTCCTTTATTCTAACTCTGTATAGCAAGAGCAAAGTGCCACAGTAGTATTTTTTGGGGTGAGAGCTGGCAAAGTATATTTATAACAACTTTTGGGTTCCTTTATAAATTTCTCTCATATGGTGGGAAAAATACATAAAAGGAAAGGGGGTGGATTCTTAAAAATGGAAGCAAATAGTTTCTCTGTCACAATGCACTATGACCAAATGAGGTATGGGATTTCTTTTCATAGGACAAGTTATACATTTGCCCAACATAGTTACACAATAGGACTCTGTCTTAAAAGAGAATTCAGTTTTTTATTGATCTAATGCAACTACAGTTTTCCTGGGCTGTGCGCTGGGGAAATGATAATAATGGATGGAGCAGTCATGCTGACAAATGTAAATGGTCAGTGGTTAAAAGACCTTCATATTGCTCTTTTGTTTCCGTGTTTTCTGACTGCAAATCTCATGAAGTTGACAAAATGGCTCATAGTGCAAAGTACGTCCTGGTAAATAGGAGGCAATTACTTTGCTGTGTTGCTCTGTTCTGTTCCCCATTCTGGCTGGGGAATGGCTCCGACTGTGCAGTTTAAGTTTATTTTGGCCTGGCTGCTTTGGCGGCACAGGAACAAACTAGTGCCTCACTGGAGATATAGATTCCGAAGAACTGGAGGTTTGAGGGTCTGGGTGACCAGGGACAGGTGGGGGCTGGGGGCAGCAAGGGGACCAATGGCTTACTATTCAGATCGTCACCACCCTGATGTCCAGCTTTCCATGCAATGCAGTGACTGGGAGCTTGTGGGAGGTCATCTGAAAGATACTGTGGTCTTCCGAAACAGAATATGTCAGTCAGGCAGAGGATGGGAAGATGACTGAGGACGGGAGGGGAACTTTCAGAGGGCAGAGAGAAGGAGTGGTTAATCATAATAAAAACATAGAATTTGTTATTATAAAATAATTACTCAAGAAGTGTTTTCTAATTGTCTACCATGTACCATGCACTGCTGTTGTGGGACGGGGTAAAAAGAGGCGGAAAATGTGATATCTACCTTTGAGAATTTCACAGTCTCACAGGACTTGCACCTATGGGTGCAAGACCCTGCAGGATCACATGTTAAATTGCGTGATTGGATGACAGATGTGTGGGATGATTTTTTACCCTCCTCCCAGCTGTTTTCCACACCCAACCAAAATATCTAAAAAATACAGCCTGGATCACATTCCTTCTGTGTTTCCTCTGTCTTTAGTTAAGGTCAACTCCATATTTCTCAGCAAGGCCAACATGAATCGGCTCTTGCCTTTCTGGACCTTCCTCTCCTCATGCCATCCCTAGTCTCGTTATTGACCTCAGTAGAGGAGTCTCTCTCCGTCCTCACAAGTGTGCCTGGTCACATCCTATTTGTGACCATTTGGACATTCTGTTCCCTGTGCCTGGAACTCCCTTTTACCTGGTCTTTGCCAGACCATGCTCTACTTATTCTTCAGGGTTTCTCCTTAAATGTCATTTCTTTCCAACTACCAGGTGCTTCATAGAATCTTGAGCTTTTCCACTGGTCGCATTTATCACATTTGGGCTCACTTATCTGTGTGATTATCAGTGAGATTTCAGTCTCTCCTGTTTTGTGATCTCCATGGACCATGCTGGTCTTGTCTGTGCTGCAACCCCAGGATCTAGCACAGGCCCGACACATGCAGCAGGTGCTCTGTAAGTCAGTGATGGGTGAATGGATGAGCAAGGAGAGGTTCCACTGGGTCAGTGCAGTTGTCCTTTCGAAGCACTTTGTTGCTCCTCCTGGAGCCCTTGGTGTGTTGAACTTAGCATCCTGTTTGTCTACCCTCACATCCTCATGAGCTTCCAGAGGGCAGGGATTGAATCATCATCATCTTTTCATCTGGTTCACATAGGAACTCAGTGCAGGTTGTAGGATGAAGGAAAGAATAAACTGTGTACGAATGGAGCGGGCCTTATCTGGGTTTTAAAGCTTGCCTGGGGAGGAAGGTGGAGAAAAAGTGAATTCAAGGATCCAAAATAGCAGTGGGAGCCAGGATGCAAAACAAGAGTAGGGTTTTGTTTTGTTTTAAAGCTGAAAATCTGCATTAGAAAAATACCGGATAGTCACCAGACACAGCATGACAGGATGTACTCATGCTACAAAGATGGGAGGGTTGAGTGGGGGGAGGCTTGGAATTTCCCCAGCTGAACTTTATACCTTGAACAATGTCCATCTTTCAGAGCTTGCTGCTCTCCTCAGGAGTTTTATCCATTCAACACATTTTTATCAAGCACCTATTCCATGGGGAAGATATGCCTCCCCTCAAAGAGCACGAAAATTGGCCCTTAGGAGGTGAAAAAAAACTCTATGTGTAAAGCACAAATATACATACAGTATATATAGACATATAATATATCTGTAGTGTTAACATTTCATAGTGGGGGGATTAGAAAAAAAAAAGTCTGAAAAGGTTCCTTAGAAGGATGATAATGAAAAAAAGATTGAGAAACTGACCTACTCTGTGCCAGGCATTCTTCTGGTTAAAGGGCCTACTCCCATGAAGCTTTCACTCTTACCAGGCAGAAAGACAGTAAACAAATAAGTAACTGTAAACTAATAATAAATTGTATGAGGCAGAAAAGCAGGCAAGGGGCTGGAACGTTTGGGGGATGGGTGGGGCATGTCTGTGTTTCCTTTAGGTAGAGTGGGTGAGGGATGGACTCTGATGAGGTGAGGTTTGAGAAGAGTCTGGAAGAAGTGACAGGTGAACAGTAGAAATATTTTGGGAAAGAGCATTCCAGGAAAAGGTAACAGCTTGGTGCAATTAAGAACAGCAAGGAGGCCAGGTGGGCAGGAGTGGATGGATGAGGGAAGGATGGTAGAAAATGCGATTGGAGGTAGAGGCAGGGGCCAGATGACATGGGCCTTGTAGGCCATGCTGAGGGGTTTGGGTTTTGTTCTCTGTGTGATGTAAAGTTGCTGGAGAGCTTTATGCAGGGGAGTGACATGATTTGATTTATCTCTCCTTTTTTTTTTTTGAGACAGAGTCTTGCTCTGTCTCCCAGGCTGGAGTGCAATGGCATGATCTCGGCTCACTGCAACCTCCGCCTCCCAGGATCAAGCAATTCTTCCTGCCTCAGCCTCCCGAGTAGCTGGGATTATAGGCACCCTCCATCATGCCCAGCTAATTTTTGTATTTTTGTAGAGACAGGGTTTCACCATGTTGGCCAGGCTGGTCTTGAACTCCTGACTTCAGATGATCTGCCTGACTGGGTTTCCCAGAGTGCTGGGATTACAGGCGTGAGCCACTGTGCCTGGCCTCTTTTTTTTTTTTTTAAATACTTTAAGTTCTGGGATACACGTACAGATGGTGCAGGTTTGTTACATAGGTATGCATGTGCCATGGTGGTTTGCTGCACCCAGTAATCTGTCGTCTAGGTTTTAAGCCCCACATGCATGAGGTATTTGTCCTAATGCTCTCCCTCCCCTTCCCCCCACCCTCTGACAGGCCCCAGTATGTGATGTTCCCCTCCCTGTGTCCATGTGTTCTCATTGTTCAACTCCTACTTCTGAGTTATCTTTTAATAAGATCCCTCTGACTGCTATTTGGAGGGTGGACTGCAGAGGCAGGAGTGGAATCAGGAGACCTCACTGTTGCAGATCTCCTAGGTGGGAGCTGATGGTGGCTTGGGTGAGGGTAAACAGTTAGATTCTACGTGTACTGTGAAGGCAGAGCTTGCAGGACCTACAGAGGGATCGAATGAAAGTTCTCCTTTCTACCAGCTGCTGGCCTCTCTTGTGAAGGCCAGGCTGAGTACATGTTTATCTAGCATTCTGCAGTTACTTATTTTTCATCTGTATACCTTGCCACCTTATCTAGTCTTTGAATTCCTTTAGGGAAGAAACCATTTTTGTTTATGTCTCCAAGAGCCAGACAGTGGGGCCGAATGGTCAAAAGTGTTAGT
Organism: Homo sapiens; assembly: GCF_000001405.40. Taxonomy (NCBI): domain Eukaryota; kingdom Metazoa; phylum Chordata; class Mammalia; order Primates; family Hominidae; genus Homo; species Homo sapiens. Next base: position 160,479,582 of record NC_000005.10, read on the forward strand.
TGTATGTGCTAGGTGGATGTTTTAACTGCTTAGCTACTGCTCTTCCTCCTCCTTCTCTTCTTTTTGCTTCTCCTCATCTTTTTTAATCGAGTGAGGATGGCAATGGCATTTCTTTATGGCTTTTGAGAGTGAAGTGAGATTTGTGTGAAAGTGCCTTGTTGGCTGGTTGTGGTGTCTCACGCCTGTAATACCAGCACTTTGGGAGGCCGAGGTGGGTGGATTGCTTGAATCCAGGAATTTGAGACCAGCCTGGGCAACAGAGCAAAACCACCTAAGTTGGAGCACTTTTCCCCTTCCATGTCTGGTTTTCCTTCATGTGAAAGGGAAGGCAACGCTTACTTTAAAAAGTGGAAACTCTCAAATAATTTACATTGTATTCTAAGTGGTAAAAGGCCACATTGAGGGTGATGGAGAAGCCATTACATGTCACTTGAGGGAAGTGAGTGTCTCTAGTGAATCATTATGAGTAAACGGATTTGGTGCTGCAGCATGAGCAATACAAAACGTTTATATAGTAATCACCAAATTGTGTGGATCCAACCAGAATAAAAAAATGCCTGAGCTTTGGCTTAGGGCCATGGCTGAACGGGAGCATGAAGCCTGGCACAGAACAGAAGGAATGAAAGGCATGGATGTAGCACAGCGATAGACATAAATAGATGCAAGTTTAAGCAGAGATGAAAATGCGTGGCTGCCGCTTTTTCCCTCTGCACTCACGGCAGGCTCAGAGCTGGAATTAGAACACTGGCAACCAAACTCTAGAGCCTGTTGTCTAAGCATTACACTTTGCTTTCTCCAGATATACCCAAATGTTACCCCAGAATCCTTCTATCTGCAGATTAATTCCCCCTGCAGATTGTGGGGTTCAGGTTTATTTTACAGTGCCATTCATTTGTTCACCCACTCATTCATTTGTCCACGAATTAAAAACTACTTTTCTGCATCTGCCATGTGCCAGGCACAGTTAGGTGCCAGGGATCCAGTCGTGAATAAAACAATCACGGCTTGGGGCTACAGTTAGTGGAAGCAACACTTCTTGTTTAGGACTGTCAGTGGTGGGAGGACCCAGGATTTGTGTGATTTGCCACAAATTTAGTGGTCCCCTTTTCTGCATTGAACCAGAAAATCTTCTAATTGGTGAAGAAAATCAGCAACAATCTGAAAAATAAAATATGGCACCCTATGCTTCACCCTGGACCAGAAATTGGGCCACCTGCCATCATTTTCTGACCAGGCTGATTTAGCTATTTGACCTTCGGCCTCAATTATAACTCATGTTCAAACAGTGGTTTCTCATAGATTAGTTTACTTTGCTCCTTCCAATACCTGATTGGTGAGAGAGGACCATTTCTGAGGAGGTCTCTGATGTGTAGAGAGGTTATATGACCTGCCTAGTTCCCATAGCTGGTAGGAGACAAGCTAGGGCTAAAACCCAGTTTTAACTTCTATCACCTTTTTTTTTTTTTTTTTTTTTGAGACAGTCTCACTTTGTTACCCAGGCTGGAGTGCAGTGGCACGATCTCAGCTCACTACAACCTCCACCTCCCAGGTTCAAGCATTCCTCCTGCCTCAGCCTCCTGAGTAGCTGGGACTACAAGTGCGTGCCATCATGCTCAGCTAATTTTTGTATTTTTAGTAGAGATGGGGTTTCACCATGTTGGCCAGGCTGGTCTCAAACTCCTGACCTTATGATCCCCTCACCTCTGCCACCCAAAGTGCTGGGAGTACAGACATGAGCCACCGTGCCCAGCCTATCACCTTGTTTTTATTATCTCATCATGTTGTCATCTTAATGTTTTTAACTTTTCAGTTTCCCCATCTTTAAAATAAGGAAATTAAACTGTGTGGTTTGTAAAAGTAAGTTCCCTCCCTCCCTTCCCTTCTCTCCCTCCCTCCCTTCCCTCTCTCCCTCCCTCCCTTCCTTTTCTCCCTCCCTCCTGTTCCTGGACCAAACTGAGGGTCAGGCTGCTGTTTCTCACAGCCCAATAACGAGATGCAGATGAACTGGGAAGGAAGAGAGTTTTTATTTCTGTAACCAGTTACAGGGAGAAGGCCCAGAAATTATCACTAGACCAACTCAAAATTACAAAGTTTTCTAAGCTATATGTCTACATGTAAGTGTGCGTTCATCTAAAGACATTAGTGATTAATTTCTTTTAATCTGTAACTAAGGTCTGAGTCCTGAAGACCTTCCTCTAGAGCCTCAGTAAATTTACTTAATCTAAATGGGTCCAGGTGCTGGGGTGATTACTTATCTTGTCCCCTGCTAAATCATGGAGGTTTGGGGAGTTCCTTTAGGCCCCCAATAAACCTGTTTGTGGAGGCCTGGGGAGTTTCTTCAGACCCCCATTAAAACTTGTTTAATCCTAAATGGGTCCTGTTAAGAATTCCTTCGTTATTTTGTCATGCTTTAGTGTCCAGGCAAAACTCTTGGTGGGCTTTTGTTGCATTCCAGACTTTGTATAAGGGCACTGGCTCAATCAACTTTTAATGTTTAACCTAGCTGTCAGTCAGTGCTGGGACAGTTGTGATGGAAGCCTGCATAACTGAGACCTAGCCTCCCTCCCTTCCTCCCCTCCCCGCCTCCCTCCCTCCCTTTCTTCCTTCCTTCCATCCTTCCATCCATCCATCACTGGAGTGCCTACTATGATCAAGACATCATGCTAGAAGCTGGAAATAATGTTACACAAAACACATGCACACACCCCATTAAGAAAGTTAAAAAGCCACCCAAAGAATGGGAGAAAATATTTGCAAATTATACATGTGGGACTTGTATCTAGAATATATACAGAACCCTTACAACTCAATAATAAAAATACAAACAACTCAATTACAAAATTGACAAAAAAATCTGAATAGACATTTCTCCAAAGAAGCTATATAAATGGCCAGTAAGCACATGAAGAGATACTCAACATCATTAGCCATCAGGGAAATGCAAATCAAAACCGTAGTGAGATACCACTTCACACCTACTAGGATAACTATACTCAAAAGATAGACATTAACAAGTATTGGCAAGATGTGGAGAAACTGGAACCCTCATACACTGCTGGTGGAATTGTAAAATAGTGTGGCCGCTTTGGAAAACAGTCTGGCCATTCATCAACTGATAGCCATAGAGTTAACATATGACACAGAAATTCCACACTTAGGTATACGTCTGTGAAAGGAAAATAGATCTCAGAACTCCCAAAATCACTAAGCCAAAGGGAAGTCAAACTGGGAACTGTGTGAGGCAAACCTGCCTCCCATTTTATTCCTACGTAAGCTAGCTACAAAGATAAAAAAGCTACATACCTCCCTCACAATTTGCCCACTAGGAAATTCCTTGTGGACAAAGGACAGACAGAATTCAGTCATTCTTTTGCTCATGTGAGACCAATGCATATCTGATTGCTTCTTCTGCCCTATTATTTCACTAAGCCAGACTAAGGAATAAGTGACTATTCCTCTACCCTCCTCTCACATGTAAATTGTGTATTCAGTAAAAGGCTAACCAGAGACAAAAAAATGCAACAGTTTGTCTTGTATCTACCTATGATCTGGAAGCCCCCACCCCTGCTTCTAGTTGTCCCAGCTCTCCAGACTGAACCAATGTACATCTTACATATACTGATTGATGTCTCATGTTTCCCTATAATGTATAAAACCAAGCTGTGCCCCGACCACCTTGGGCACAATGTTGTCAGGACCTTCTGAGGCTGTGTGACAGGCATGTTCTTAACCTTGGCAAAATAAACTTCCTAAATGGATTCAGGTCTGTCTCAGATACTTTTGGGTTCACACATCCATGAGAAATGCAAACATATGTCCATACAAAACTTGTACATGGGTATTCATTCATAGAAGCATCAAATAGGCAAAAGGTAGCAACAACCCAAATGCCCATCAGCTGATGAATGGATAAATGAAATGTGGTAGATCCTAACGATGGAATATTATTCATCCATAGGAAGGATGTACTGATACGCATTAAAACATGGATATATCCTGAAAGCTAAGTGAAAGAAGCCAGTCACAAAAGGCCGCTGATTATATGATTTCATTTATATAAGATGTCCAGCATATATATAGACAGAACGTAGATCAGTGATTCCCCAGGGGTGAGGGAGGGGAATGGAGATTGACTGTTAATGGTTATGGGATCTATTTTGGGGATGATGAAAATGTTCTGGAATTGATTATGATGGTTGTACAACTCTGCAAAATACTAAAAACCAATGCATTTTTTACTTTAAATAGGTAAATTTTCTGGTGTGTGAGCTATATAGCTATAGCTCAATAAGGCTATTATATACTTATTTTATTTTATTATTATTTTTTAGAGACAGAGTCTCGCTTTGTCACCCAGCCTGGAGTGCAGTTGTGCAATCTTAGCTCACTGCAACCTCTGCCTCCTGGGTTCAAGTGATTCTTCTGCCTCAGCCTCCCAAGTAGCTGGGACTACAGGTGTGCGCCACCATGCCTGGCGAATTTTTGTATTTTTGTTAGAGACGGGGTTTCACCATGTTAGCCAAGTGAAACTTGAACTCCTGACCTCAGGTGATCTGCCTGCCTCAGCCTCCCAAAGTTCCGAGATTACAGGTGTGAGTCACCACATCTCGCCTATATACATATTTAAAAAACACTAGCATGGTCTCTATGCTTATGGAAAACAGTCTTGTTGGAGAGATAATTTTAATCAAATAATTATACAAAATTATCTAACAATTACAAATTACGGTGAAGGAAAGAATCCCATATTATGAAAGAGACTAGCTGGAGGCTGATGGTGAGGGAGTGGTAGGTAAACATTCAAGTGCTCTTACAGAGATCCCCAAGTAACAGTGGCTTAAATAAGGTAAATGTTCCATTCTTGCTGATCTATCAGTGCAGGTGTAAGCAGTCTAGGGTGTATAAGGAAGCCTCACACTTTTGGGGCTCTTCTGGCATGCTGCTCTGCTGTTCCCTGGGGGGCTGCACTCATTTGCATGGTCCACAGTGGCTCTCTACCATGTCTACAGTCCAAGCCTGAGAAGAGGGAGGGAAACAGTAAAAAACTCTCCACTCCTGCTCATATCCAGCACTTTGTCACACCAGGTGAGGAAACAAAGTCAGATGTCCATGTGTTCAGATACCACTTAAGGGTTCTATTAGTATAGAAGGAGGAGAGAATATATATTGGGCAAACAATCAGCAATCTCTGCCATAGATGGCCTCTCTGAGGAAGTGACATTGAAAGCAAGAACATCAGGATAAGTTGATGTTAAAGAGAGGAACGAGTTTTCCAGGCCAGAGGGATGGCATATGGAAGGGTCATGAGGCAGGAAAGGCCAGCTACCATGTTTAATGATGCTTAATGATGTGTGTGTCTACCATACACATCCCCTACAGATTAGTTTTTGTTTTGACAGGGTCTCTCTCTGTGGCCCAGACTGGAGTGCAGTGGTGCAATCATAGCTCACTGCAACCTCCAATTCCCAGGCTCAAGCGATCCTCCCACCACAGGCCATCATGCATGGCTCATTTTTTATTTTTAGTAGAGACAAATTCTCCATGTTGCCCAGGCTAGTCCTGAACTCCTGGGCTCAAGAGATCCACCCACATCAGCCTTCCAGACTGCTGGCCTGGTCTCCTCCAGATGTTTATAACTCATGAGTGCCAGGACTAGACCTGGTACTAGGAAGCAGCTGCATTGGATTTACCAGGCTTTTCACTCTTGTATTTTACAGGGCTGGGACAGGCCTGGACTGCAAGGAGGGGTCTTTGCACCATCTCTGAAAAGCCGATGTGTATCCTCAGCTTTGAGAACTGAATTCCATGGGTTGTGTCAGTGTCAGACCTCTGAAATTCAGTTCTTCAGCTGGGATATCTCTGTCATCGTGGGCTTGAGGACCTGGAGAGAGTAGATCCTGAAGAACTTTTTCAGTCTGCTGAAGAGCTTGGAAGACTGGAGACAGAAGGCAGAGTCTCAGGCTCTGAAGGTATAAGGAGTGTGAGTTCCTGTGAGAAACACTCATTTGATTGTGAAAAGACTTGAATTCTATGCTAAGCAGGGTTCCAAGTAGCTAAATGAATGATCTCAGCAAGTCTCTCTTGCTGCTGCTGCTACTCGTTTACATTTATTGATTACTTACGATGATTCAGGTACTGTTGTAAGTGCTTTACATGCTGTTATACGAGACTCTTGGGAGAAATCACTTTAATGAAGCTTGAGACACATGGCATTGCCATGCAATGATTTTTCCCCCCTCTTCACGGGATCAGAGGGAACTAATAGAATGTGACAATGATTCTTTAGCAGGGACTGCTGAGGCTTCTGGTTCCTTTTTAAGATCTGCAGTGAAAGAAGATGAGAAACATGGATATGCCCTTCTTTTGGTCCCCCTCTTCCTTTATTTGATCTCTACTTCCTTCTATAAATATATTAGGGCTACATTGTCCCTTTGTATTTCAAACAAGGCAAAAAGAGGTTGTAATTACACTTTACTGCAATCCTCAGTTTCTCCAGGGAACAGGAATGCAAAGGCTTTGAAGGCCTCTCTATTTGCTGACATGGTCAGCTGGGTGCCATGGGCCAAGTCCTTCTGTTGCCCTCCTCTGTCACCAAGTAAGCTAGGTCCTTTCTGAGGCTCAGGTTTGCTGTGATGATGATCACTTTTAGGCAGAAGGTTAGAGGCCTCATGAGTGCTATATGGACTTTATTAGGCTTTAGATTTGATGGGGAATAAGGGATGTGATTTGTCTTTTGGGAACTCATCTTTGATTCATCATTGTCTCTTGGTATCTTGGAATTTCCATGTCATTACAGTCTACAGAATGAAAGAGTAACCTGTCCCAGAGGAGAGGCAGGTGAAAGACTCCACAGCATGCTCATTCTCATTCTGTCTTCTCAGTGACACCGAGGTTTACTGAGTGCCCACTATGTGCCAAGCACTGTGCTCAGGGCTTTCTTTGTATGCATGATCTCAGTGAATCTCACCAAGCCTCATCTGGAAAACGGGGACAAATTAACAACAGGATGGCAAATTGAAAAACACGTAACCATGTTCTACAGATGGAAAGGGGTGCTTGGTTATTATGAAGGCCCCCTCGCAAGCGTGTGGGACATGGGTGTGTTCTCTGGGTTGTACTGATCAGATCAAGGACCTCCCCCACCCTTCTCACACTCTGCCCACTTCCGCCCTTTGCTTATCAGACCCTTAGCCAGTGACTCATTCCAGAACCAGAACCTTGGTGAAATCTCAACCGACACCAGAGATCGGTGTCTTCAGTCCTAGACTGATGGAGAAAATCCAGAATATATACTAGAAGCTCCAAATGCTCTGGGTTTCAGCTCCTCTGTGCTGTGGACACTGACTTTGGCTCAGAACTCCGATTTAGTACAAAAGGCTCATTTTTATTTCAGGGGCACTCTTCCTAAAGCAAACCTAATAAATGAAATATGGAATTCACAGATACACACACACATTAAAAAATTAACCTAGTGTATCTGTGAGGAGTAGGCAGAAATTCACTGTATAAAAGAATGCTTCATTTCATAGAGAATTTGTGTTAAGATTCCATTAGATAGTACATTTCTCAAAGATTTTTGAGGTTGTATTTGCTTTACCAAAACTTGGTTTATGTAAGTGGAAAAAGCATGTTGCAAAATAACTTGGTGTCTATGATTCAGTTTATGTAAAATAATAAATGTATGTAGGAATACGTGTGTTGAAAGATGTACATCAATTTGCTAACAATGGTTATCTCTGACGTGGTGGGATTTGAGATGTGTTTTTCTTTTTGGTTGTATTTTTCTCTATTGTTTGACTTAACACAGAACATGTTTGGTTACAACAATAAAGTTATTGAAGACAATATAACACCCAATTGTGATGAGTCCAGACAGTACTCATGCTGTGCATTTATTAGACAGTATGCCATAGAGGTGGGTCATGGAGGAGTGGAGAGAGAGCCCTGATTTGTTGTCCCATGAAGAAGATAGGCACAGGGTAATATGTAGTGTGATTCTTTTTTTTTTTGCACGAGGAGAAGTGTGTGTGTATCCGTGTAAGTGTATGGATATCCAGTGGGTAGTGGGTGTTAAGATTGCAAGTGATTTTTTTCCCCTCTCCCTTAATCATGCTTTTCTGCCTAAATAAAAAAAGAACTCTCTCCAAAAATCCATCCATGTGTGCCAGTGGTTTTTAAATGTGTTTCTTGGAGCAGCAGCATCAGTATCACCTGTGACTTTTTTTTTTTTTTTTTTGAGTCACTCTGTCACCCAGGCTGGAGTGCAGTGGCATGATCTTGGCTCACTGCAACCTCCGCCTCCTGGGTTCAAGCAATTCTCTTGCCTCAGCCTCCCAAGTAGCTGGGATTACAGGCGCCTGCTACCATGCCTGGGTAATTTTTATATTTTTAGTAGAGACGGGATTTCACCATGTTGGCCAAGCTGGTCTTAAACTCCTGACTGCAGGTGATTCGCCCACCTTGGCCTCCCAAAGTGTTGGGATTACAGGCATGAGCCACCACGCTTGGCCTGGGAATGACTTTTGGATTAGCTAACCAACCTGTGAACTTTTTAGAAATGTAAATTTTCAGGCCCCACTCAAGACCTCCTGAATAGAAAACTCTAGGGGTAGGGCCCAGCAATTTCTGTTTTACCAACCCTTTGGCTGACTTTTATGCACACTAAAGTTTTAGTACTGATAGGGTCAATCAAGGGACATCTGCATTCCCCTGGAACTGAAATATAGCTGACATTGACATGAAAGATGCTGGCCCACTCCTACAAGTATGCATGCAAGTATTCCGCAAAACTTATTTCTGAGAGATGAACAGCAGGACCCCAAAACTTCAAGATGGTTACAAGTGATATTTCCACCGGTGAATAGTAGATTTCTAGGTTTTTAATGTGCAAACTTTAGGTGCATAAAACCGCTTGAAGAAGTTGTCAATTAAGGCAGGTCATGCCCCTGACCCACAGACTAGGCATTTCCAAAGTATCTGTCATTTTAACCATCACTCACTGAATGTCATCAAGGAGGTCCTAGGACGACACTTAGAGCAACTATTCCAGGCTTTTTCAAATGCTGTTTTCCCCCTCCGTACTATTATGTTTCTTCTTCCCAATTCATCCTTTCTCTTCCTGTTGTGATTGATGGGGTCTCAGAAGCAGATTAGCCATCCTTTCGGCTCTGTGCTTGGGAGAGAATAGCTCACATGCTGCTAGAGAGGTGCCTTGGGAGTAATAATAATGATAATGGAAGTATTGATTTGCCATCCTCTGATAACAAAGGAAGGTCATGATTTATCAGCTCACATTAATGGGATGAGGTGGAAAGTTGGACACACTACCTCACAGTCTGCCTTTCCCTTGTGCTAGGTTGCTGGGATTCACTGATTTAGGGACACAGTGGTTTCCTAAGTCCTGCCAGCAGTCAAACCTTTGTTAGTTAAAATGGAAATTTCTTTTTTTCATATTTTCTCACATCTAGACTCTTGCCCTCTTTTCTAATAATATTTCAGAGAGGCAGCTCCCAGTTTGGGTGTCCAGGTGGTCAGAGAGTCTGGAAAAATGCTCTGGGGGCAGGAAACCAGGGTACAAGCCATCTTGTCTAGTTCCTCTTTGCTCTTCTTAGCACTAAGGTGATTTCACAACAGTTTTTTAAGGATGTTCTGCTCCTATCTCCTGCGGAAGCCCTTCCAAGTAGAAGAGTTAATTTTGATTATTCCTGGGAAAGTGCAGAAAATATAATTACAACTTTATTGGATATTTACAAGATACACAAGGTATCTTGTAATAATGAAAGATTTCTCTATTTTCTATATCTGAAAACTGAGGCTCAGGGAGGTTACATAATTTGCTTAAATTTCACACACAACATGTTAAGTGTCACAGCTAGGATGTTAATCAGGACTGCACAGTAAGAACCTATGTTCCTTTCACTAAAGTTTGTACTGTGTTAGGATTTACAATTTGTAAAGCACTTTAACACACATTAGTATATTTGCTGAACACCACATTCTTCCGTGAAATAGCTCTTCTTTTTTTTTTTCTCTTTGAGACAGAGTCTTGCTCTGTCACCCAGGCTGCAGTGCAGTGGTGTGGTCTCAGCTCACTGCAACCTCCGCCTCCTGGGTTCAAGCAATTCTCCCTGCCTCAGCCTCCCGAGTAGCTGAGATTACAGGTGCCCACCACCACGCCTGGCTAATTTTTGTATTTTTTACTAGACAGGGTTTCGCTATGTTGGCCAGGCTGGTCTCGAACTCCTGACCTCAAGTGATCTGGCTGCCTTAGCCTCCCAAAGTCCTGGGATTACAGGCGTGAGCCACTGTGCCTGGCCATAGCTCTTTTCATAATCCTAATTTTAGAGATAGGAAAGTGGAATTTTCAAAAGATTTTGCAACGTATCTGTGCCCCGTGCCATATAGCTGGTAACTGGTGACGTGGAGCCTCAAAACCAAAATCCCTATAGCAAAAAGATCATTTTTACTTAAAAAATGTATACAAATATACATGAACTTAGAAGGAAGGAAAGAAAAAAAATCTTTTGCCTCTGTTTCTGCAGTGTGACTGAAAACAGAAGAGCATGCATTGAGGCCCACTCTGACTTATTCCTCCACCTGTGCCTTTGGTCAGCAGGAGTGAGCCCCCGTCCATGACCAATTCCACCCCAAGGACACAGTTATACTTTAAAATATGTGACAATTGAGAAGCCATATGTGCTTTTTCTTTGGGTCCTGCAATGCTCCTAAGACTGGTCAGATTCCACTGTCTCTGATCAGCACATGTTTATTTATTTATTTATTTATTTTATTTCTGAGACAGTCTCTCTCTGTCACCCAGGCTGGAGTGTAACGGTGCGATCTCGGCTCACTGCAACCTCTGCCTCCCGAATTCAAGCAATTCTCCTGCCTCAGCCTCCTGAGTAGCTAGAACTACAGGCATGCACCACCATGCCTGACTAGTTTTTGTATTTTTAGTGGAGATGGGGTTTTGCCTTGTTGGCCCGGCTGCTCTGGAACTCTTGACCTCAAGTGATTCACCTGCCTCAGCCTCCCAAAGTGCTGGGATTACAGTTGTGAGCCACCACACCTGGCCATATTTCCTTATTTTAAAACTTATTTTTCTTCTTATATATGTAATATGAATTTATGGCAAATAAGTTTGAAAATATGGGAAAGTATAAAAGAGAAAATTTGAAGTTATTAAAATTTTTAAATTATGAAATTATGATTTTTTTTACTGGAAATTTAGAGAATTCAGAAAATCATAGGAGAAAAAAGTTATCTATACACTTATAGATTACCATTTTGGGTTATTTCTTTTCATTTTCACTTTTTTTTCTTTTACACGATTGGGATTATCTTTAATTTGTGTATCTGTGTTCTGTGTTCTGTTGTTTAACATTTTATAGTATGCTTTTCTTCATGTCCTTGCATGGTCTTTTTATTTATTTTAAATGGGTGCATATGCAGTTCATGGGCTGGATGCGCCTTTGTTTACATGATCATTTCCTTATTATCAGACATTCTGAACCTGGGTCTCCTGACTCTAAATCTGCTGCTATTTTTTGTCCCCACATATCTGTCTCTATTTCCTTTAGCTTCTTGTTTGCATTTATTTGAGAATTAATTGTGATGATTTTAGGAGTGTAAAAAACAGTATAAATAAATGTGTCTTGTATTACTACATAACGGTGCTAGTGTTGAGGATTTACTATGTGCCAATCTCTATTTCAATACTTTGAACAGCTTCTCATTAAAGCCCCCGCCTCCCACAACAACAGTAGATAGTTATTATTCCCATTATATAGATGATATCACAGACATACACAGAGGGTAAGTATCATAGCACATTCATTTGTGTCTAGCAAAACTTCAGCTTACAGAGCCATATACAAATAGGCATTTATTTGTTCTTAGCCAGTCTGAATATGAGCAACTACTACTAGCATTTGGGTTAGAGTCTCAGTGACATCAAGGCTGTTGTCACTGCAGAAATTTTCTCCTGTGCCTCTTGGTTTTAAAGTGGCTGCAAAAGCCATAGATATCACATCCTGATTCAGGGGAGGAAGAGAGAGAAACAGATGGTGTGGACTGGTCACATCCGCTCCTTTTATCAAGAAAGCACATTTTCTTTCCAGAACCCCCTTCATCTCCCCAGCAGAATTCCACTCATGCATTATTGTGTTTTTCATGACCACTGCCAACTCCAGAAGAGACTGGGAAAATGAATGTTTTAACTTTTTCAGCCTCTGGAGTGGAAGAGAGGTTTGGGAATGACTTTTTTCTTTTTCTTTTTTTGACACAGAGTCTCACTCTGTCACCCAGGCTAGAGTGCAGTGGCATGATCTTAACTCACTGCAGCCTCCACCTCCTGGGTTCAAGTGACTCTCGTGCCTCAGCCTCCCAAGTAGCTGGGAATACAGGCATGTGTCACCATGGCTGGCTAATTTTTGTATTTTTAGTAGAGGCAGGATTTCACCATGCTGGTCAGGCTGGTCTTGACTCCTGATGTCAAGTGATCCACCTGCCTCTGCCTCCCAAAGTGCTGGGATTACAGGCTTGAGCCACTGCACCTGGCCTGGGAATCACTTTTGCTCTGGATTAAGTTATGTCCCCCAGAATTCATATGTTGAAGCCCTAACCCCCCAGTGTGACTGTATCTAGAGATAGGGTCTAGGAGGTCATTATGGTAAAATGAGGTCATAAGGGTGGGGCCCTAAGACCCATAGGACTATGGCCTTATAGGAAGAGGAAGATTCAATCTCTCTCTCTCTCTCTCTCCTACCCCATCGCCACCCCCACCCCCCATGGTGACACAGTGAGAAGGCACCAAACTTGACCATGTTGGCATCCTAATCTCAGACGTCTAGCTTCCAAACTGTGAGAAAACAAATTTGTTTTTTAAGCCACCCATTCTATGGTATTTTGTTATGGTAGTACAAGCTGACCAAGACAAATAGCCACCACAAGATATCAGCGCTGGTCAAGTGTTGGTCTTATTTTTCCTAGCAGCCAATTTCATACAGGGGCCAACCATTGGCTAAGAATTGGTGTATATCACATCTCTGGCTTGGATTATGGTTGGAAGTGGCCCAGTGCCTGTCAAACCTCATCTCTCACTGAATATAACACCATCTAATACATGCCAACATTTTCATCAATATTACTGTCACCACAAAGTGCCATTAAAATAGAAGTGGTTTCATACATTATTTATCTGCAGCGTGTCTACTGAGTCATTCTTTTGCTGGAGAGCTGTCTCCTTGGCATTTATAAACTTGGTAACAAATCTGCAGCTCACTGGATTCCTATCTTCAGGCTGTGACAGGGAAGAGGAGGCTCCATGAACTGTTTGGGCTGAAAGTAGTTGCTGTATCTCTTCCACCAGCCCAGAACACATTTATTAAGTGCCTGGTTGCACGTGATCTGAACGAGGGGCTACACAGTGGACATTCTGAAAATGATTGGCTGTAACCCACTTTCTTTTGGTTAGAGGGGGTTCTAAAAGGATCCATTATTTATTAGTGATTTTCAGTTGTGATTATTTTTAAATCAGAAATTCAAAATGGCAATTCTAATCAGTGGGAATACATTAATGAATAAAATAGTCATTACTGTCTTCATGGAATTGACGTTCTAGTAAAGAGGATATTTCATATATAAAACTAGATTTCTGGCTGTTTGAAGTACCAAAAGAACTGACAACTCTGGGCTGCCTTTTTTTCGTGACAACTATCACCTGGATCCAGGGAGCCACTTTATTTATTTATTTATTTATGTATTTATTTATTTATTGAGAAGGATTCTTGCTCTGTTGCCCAGGCTGGAGTGCAGTGGCATGATCTCGGCTCACTGCAACCTCCGCTTCCCTGGTTCAAGTGATTCTCCTGCCTTAGCCTCCCGAGTAGCTGGGATCATAGGCGTGCACCATCATGCCCAGCTAATTTTTGTATTTTTAGTAGAGATGGTTGGTAGACCACCACCAACCCATGTTGGCCAGGGTGGTCTTAAACTCCTGACCTCAGGTGATCAGCCTGTCTTGGCCTCCCAAAGTGCTGGGATTACAGGTGTGAGCCACCACACTCGGCTGGTGGAGCTACTTTTAGATGGGGTATGAGAACTGTCATTTGTCACACTCCTCATCACTCCTATTGTCTCATTTGATCCACATGGAATCTCAATGGAGTACATAACACTATTATTATCATTATTACTGCCACTTGCAGAGAAAGAAACTGAGGGTCAAAGAGGTGAAGTGACTGGCCAAGGTTTTCTAACTGTAGAAGATGGAGTGTGATATGAACCCACTCCTATGCAACTTCAGAGGCTGAAGTCTTTGCCACTATGCAGAGTGGTAATTCAGGAGGCAGGAACACAAAAATATCACTAAGCAAAAACATTCAACCCATATAAGATCAAATTAGAGCAGTGTATCAGCAGGAAACAGATGGCATCCTCAAATTAGGATAACTCAAGCAGAGTTTCATAAAGAAACTATTTACAAAGGCGTGGGCAGAGTGTAGGGAAACTGCAAGGCATAGTGCAGAACCCTAGATTAGTAATAGTAGGGCTCCATTACCACTCCTAAGCCTTTAGGGGCAGATGAGGGGGTGGGTTACTGAAACTGGGGAGACAGAACTGTGGGGAGGACTGCCTTATTTGAGCTAACATCTTTTGCAATGAAATGCAGCCAACACTTGGGGACTCCACAGGGAGGGAACTTGGAGAATAAATACCCCAAGCTCGTGCTCCAAGTTGTCTCTACTCCTTCCCTTTCTTTTCCTGCCAGTGCCAAACCCAATTGGAAGTCAGAGGGCAATGAACCTTTGATGCCTTCCTACAGGTCAGCCTCTGGGAGCACAAAGTAGGGCAGAGAAGAGTGGAGAATGGCCCAGGAGACAAACTGAACACCCAGCACAGGGCGCAAGTCAAAGTCAAGAAGACCATGCTAGGGGACGAGGGAGAGTGGGGAATCAGAATATACCACCTCAAAATATGTTCTGTAGCAGAAGGATTATTTTGAGCTGAAGGCATTTGAGATTCAACAGATGCAGAAAGAAGGTTTCCCTAAGCATCCCTTATCTGACTAAAAGCAGAAACTTCTGAGAAATGAAGACTGCCGTAAATCCCTTTTCCTGGGGAAGTTTTATGGCCTTGAAGGAGATGGAAGGCTGCACCGAAATGGACCTGCATAAACAAACTTTGCAAAGATAGCTCTTATCTTCCTTGAGTTTCCCCCTATATTTACCTTCTACAGTTTTGGGAAGCCTAAACCCCAAACCCCCTTTCCCGTGTCTTGTCACATCTCTACAAATGTATCAACCTTTGTTGAAATGACTTAGAAGCCTCCAAGCCTTGCCACTTTTTTGGGCGTGTTTTCTCTAATTTATGAACCACCTCCACGGGCCACATAAACTTATAAAATCACACAAAGTTTGTATGCTCTTCCTCCTCCTGTTAATCTGTCTTTTGACAGTTTACTTTGCAGGTGCGGACACTCAGCCTCCAAAGGTAGAGGAAACATCCCCCCTTTTACAGCAGTGATGATGAGTAGGGGAAGAAATAAAGATAAGGATGAGTCCAGCTTTGATGGGGCTGGGAAAGCAACTCCTTTTCCTTCTCACTCTTTCTTACTCTCATTCCTGTGAGGCCACCTTGTCTACTAGAAAAATGATTGATTCCGCATCAGAGATTCCTCAAGTTTGCAACAAAGGACTTGATACCTCTGTTTCGATGACTTTTCAGTTGGACAGATGGCTGAACTACTGAACTATGCAGGCTGGTGTCTTCCAGTTTTTTCGAGGAATGGTAGAGGGCATTAAATTCTACGTTCAGAAAGCGACATTGTAAAACCTCCAAGACAGGTCTGCCTGTTTTTCAAGTTCTCTAAAATCGATTCAGCTCAATCCTTGTCAAATACCATATATCCTGCTAAACGGAGCTATGTATTACCCACCACCAAAAACCATTTGCTTGCTTACTTTCAGAATTTGCCATTTCTGAAATCAACTGGACCATGGCTTTAGATCTTTAGGGAAGTAGGTTTTCATCAGTGAATTTCAATCATCTTTACAGTGACATTTCCCACAGCCCACCCCAGAGACAGTGATATGAATACCACTGTCAGCATAAGTAACAGTAACAAATTCAGGAGCACTTTAGTTAACACTTTAACAATTCAAATAGTCTAGAAACCTAGTCTACCTGGTTCAGAAACAGTGTGCTTCTGAGAATACATGGGGTGAGAGGACAGAGGCACATAGCATTGTTGAATGAGAACATTCACAAGAGCCTGGTATCATAGTTAATTTAGAAATTAGTTGTGACACCATTATTTATGTCTCCATGAGCATTTCCCATTCTTTTGCTTTTCTTTCTTTTTTTTTTTTTTTTTTCTGGAATGGAGTCTTGCTCTGTCTCCCAAGCTGGAGTGCAGTGGCCTGATTTCGGCTCACTGCAACCTCCGCCTCCTGGGTTCAAGTGATTCTCGTGCCTCAGCCTCCCAAGTAGCTGGGACTACAGGTGTGCACCACCATGCCCGGCTAATTTTTTGTATTTTTCATAGAGACAGGGTTTCACCCTGTTGGCCAGGCTGGTCTCATACTCCTGACCTCTAGTTATCCATCCGCCTTGGCCTCCCAAAATGCTGGGATTACAGGTGTGAGCCACTGCACCTGGCCCCAGTTCTTTTTCTTAGATAATGGAACCCCAATATTGTTCAGAGAGTAGGCAAGCCATGTGCCTCAAAGGAAGCTGAGCTTCGCAGCCCCAGAGATCAAATTGTTTGTCCCATCCAGGTTTGGTGCCCTCAGTCTCCACCAATGCTTGCATTCGCAGGACATGTGATGCAGTTCTGACCAGTAGGCTATGAGGAGTCTTCTGGGACTGTGTCTAGCACAGTGGTTCCCCCTTACCCACGGGAGGGACATTCCAAGACTCCCACTGGATGTGTGAAACCGAGAATAGTACTGAAACTGACTGCCATCAGTCAGAACACGTTTCTGTTAACATCTTCCTTCCACACATGTAACGCCTTTTCCATCTTAACTAAGCACTTATCACACACTGTGTCTGTAACTTTTGCAGTCTGAGGTGTGACAGTAAAACTAGCATGAATTTCTTTTTCCTTCCTCACAATTTCACGGATAGAAGATTCATTCATACTGTAGATATTAGCAGCATCAGCAAACGATTTCATTGCTTATTGAGAACTTTCACCTTTTCACATAAAAGAAGCACTTTAGGCTTCCCTGGCATATTTAAATTGCCATCACTACTCCTTTTGCGCTTTGGGGCCATTATTAAGTAAAATAAGGGTTACTTGAACCCAAGCACTGGGATACTGATACTGTGACAGTAGATCTGATAACAAGATCTGACTAAGTGATTAGCGGGTGGGTAGCATAGACAGCGTGGAGATGCTGGATAAAGGGATGATTCGCATCCTGGGTGGGATGATGTGGGATAGTGCAAGGTTTCATCATGCTACTCAGAACAATGCGTGATTGAAAACTTATAAACTGCTTATGTCTGGAATTTTTCATTTAGTATTTTTGGGCCCTGGGTGACCATGGGTAACTGAAACTGAGGAAAGCAAAACTGTGGATGAGGGGAGATCATTGTATAGATCTTTCTTGCTGCTAGAAAGAGTCGCATTGGAAGAAATAGTTGCCTCTTTTTCTGCTGGACATTATCGTAGCAGCTTGTGGTATTTTGAACTGTGGCAACTAGGAAATGATGGACAGGGAACCAGATCTCCTGTTGAAAATGGGAGAGTGCAAAGATGCCGTATGACACCCATGAACCACTGAGTTCACCAACCCAAGTTCTATCCTCCCTCAGGTTTTCTAATGTGAGACAATAGGTTTCTTATTTGCTGGAGCCAGTAGACACAGGGGCCTGGATCCTGATGTGTCATACAGAGTCATGAAATTCAGGAGTCAGAGGGGAAGGAGAAGGGTAACTAATAATTTTAACAGATTATTTTTCTATTTTTTGATTAAAAATATACAAATGTAAAAATTCAATCAAGATGGAAGTGTTAAGAATGGGAACTGAAGTCTATAATTCTCCACCTCCTACCTACATATGAATGTAATGTTAAAAAAATAGGATCAGAGTAGACATAGCTAACAGTAAAGCTCAGTTCTTTGTACAAATACATGTCAGTCTACCCCATTCTTTTAAATAATATCTATAATATTCCAAAGTATAGATATACCATAATTTTTTCAATCTAATACAGGTGGTACTTTTAAAAATGTTCATCCAGATCGGTGCGGTGGCTAATGCCTGTAATCTCAGCATTTGGTGGGGCTGAGGCTGGAGGATCACTTGAGGTCAGGAGTTCAAGACCAGCCTGGGCAGCAGAGCGAAACCCTATATCTACAAAAAATTAAAAAAAAAAAATTAACTGGGCATGGTAGGGCAAGCCTATAGTCCCAGCTACTTGGGAAACATGAGCCCTGGAGGTGGGGTCTGTAGTAAGCTGTGGTCACGCTACTGCACTCCAGCCTGGGCAACAGAATGAGACTCTGTCTCAAAACAAACAAACAAACACTGTGATCCTTGGGTAAATATGTTCATGAGCCCTCAATCTCTGCCCTCAGTTATTTTCAGCAAGTCTCAGTGTCATTCAGAGAACATGCTCAGGGAGCAGCTATGTTGCACAGTGGATGGGACATGGGATTTGGGGTCAGGCAGATTGGGGCTGGGATTCATACTCCCACATACTAGCTGTGTTATCTTGGAAAGTGATTAAACCCCTTATGTCTCAGTTGTCTCATCCCTAAAAAAAGATAATAAAACCTACCTCTTAATATTGTTGTAAGAGTTAGAAATAACATATTAAAGTATCCTTTACCCAGAAAAGTTATTCAATGAACAACAGCTATTGTTTTAGGAAAGGAGCTGCCTTTGTGAAATAGTTTAACTATCGACTAGTTAAACTAGCGAAATAGTTTAACTATCGACTAGTTAAGCTAGCGAAATAGTTTAACTATCGACTAGTTAAGCTAGCGAAATAGTTTAACTATCGACTAGTTAAGCTAGCGAAATAGTTTAACTATCGACTAGTTAAGCTAGCGAAATAGTTTAACTATCGACTAGTTAAGCTAGCGAAATAGTTTAACTATCGACTAGTTAAGCTAGCGAAATAGTTTAACTATCGACTAGTTAAGCTAGCGAAATAGTTTAACTATCGACTAGTTAAGCTAGCGAAATAGTTTAACTATCTTTGGTTCTTCTCACCGTGAACACAGTGGACAAATATGCATGTGTACTTGTTAGTCTAAGATGATTACTTTTTTTCTTCTTTTTTTTAAAGACAGTTTGACTATATTGCCCAGGCACCCAGGCTGGTCTCGAATGCCCAGGCTCAAGTGATCCTCCAGTTCCAGCTTCCGGAATAGCTGGGATTACAGGCACAAACCAGTGTGCTCAGCAAACATAATTTCTTGAAATTACTCAGCAATTGTTCCCTAAATGGTGCAAGGTAGTATATGGAAACTAATCATCTAAATTCATCTTTGTGAATCCTGTAAAGAAGATAAACATTTAATCCCCATTTCATGGACTGCAGAGTTTGAGCAATTTATCAAATAGGCCAGAAATAGACATTATTCATGGTAAGAAGATCTCAATAGGCTGGAATGATGGGTCAAATTAAACAAGGTGAACTATTTTAAGGAAAAATGTAAAATTTATCTGTTTAGTTATGTTTCTTTTTTTGCATGACGCAGAATGGGAGAAATGTCACTTAATAGCAGGTATAAAAAAGGCTTAAGAGTTTTAGGTGGCTGAAGTTCAGTGTGAAGCCATAGTGTGATCCAGCTGTCTAAAGAAGCAAATATAATCTTTGTCCTCATAAAGACAAGTAAGAAACTCAAAACGAGGAAGATAATGACTCCACTTAGTTTGCTTTTGTTAGACCACATGCTCTAACAGTGGGGATGGCAAGTAACTGGCATGTGGGCTGAGGATTGTTGCTCGAATGCCCATGACAGATACCACTAATTAACCATATTCCACTGGGTTTAGATGTAGCCTCTGAACCTCTATCAACACAGTCTTTAAGGCAGCCAATAGTTTTTGAATGAAGTTGGCATGCAAGATGAAACCTACAGGTAACCAATGGACTGTAGGCTATTCTTACCATCTCCTTCCAAGGGGGCAGCTAGTGCTTATATCATGTATTCCAACCTTTTACCAGCCACAAAAGATTGAATAGGACCCAAGGGTTGTCAGTCTACAGGCTACTTTGAAGAGCTTTATTTAAACTGAAACAAGCTTACCTCACTCTGATTCCCTCTTTGGGGAGTTTGAACTTGGGAAAAGAAGGCAAATCAGAAGGTTGGTGGCAGGCCTCGAAGCTGAACTCTTAATGGAGACCATGCTGTCGTAGAGGCCAAAAGGGAGCAGAAGGAAATCAGAAAACAGAAACAAGAATGAGGAAGCAGAAGCTATGAGGTAGAGAAAATCTACAAATGGAGAGGGGATATGGAATTGGTTGGTGGCAGCAGAAATAGCAGATGAGGCGGAGAGAGCTGAGGATGAACAGAGCCCCGCTGCTAAGGGACTAACAAGAGCTCTTGTCCTCTGGGTAGAGATCCAGGTGTACTGCTATCTCTACTCCTCCCTAGAGGCCTCATTTGCCTGGGGTCCAATCAATCTGGCCATGAATTTGAGATTCTTTTTTTTCTTACATCCACTATAACCACCTCCTATCGCTTGAGGTAGCCTGAGGAAAATCTTTGTTCCTTGTCGTCAAACATGTCTACTCAAGGTTCCTTGTCTAGTTTTGGGTGTCATATTGGTGAACTGGAGCAGGTCCCCAGGAGAGAGATTAGAAGGGTAAAGAGGCCAGGGAGCTCTCACACAGAAAGAGTTTTCAAAGGGATGAGGAGTACTTACCAAGAACAGTGACCCTTAGAGTGTAATCACCAAGCAGCAGCAGTGGCATCTTAGAGATGTAAATTTCTGGGCCCACCCCGGACCTACAGAAATTGTGGGGGTAAGGCCCTGGACTACGTGGTTTAACAAGACCT
Source organism: Homo sapiens (assembly GCF_000001405.40). NCBI lineage: Eukaryota > Metazoa > Chordata > Mammalia > Primates > Hominidae > Homo > Homo sapiens. Next base: position 160,500,608 of record NC_000005.10, read on the forward strand.
CCATGTCTGATGCATGCTTAAGTTTGAGAGCCACTGGTCTAGAGAAGAGAAGACCCAGGCAGATTATGAGGATGATCTCCAGTTAACTGAAGGAGTCAGGAGGATGAGGTGTGATATGATATCCTAGAGGGCAGCACCAGAACTTTGGCTGGAAAAAATGGGAGACAGATTTTAGAACAATAGAAAGAAGACTTCACAAACAGTTAAGGCTGGTTTGAGAAAGATTTGTGCCTGGTGGGTAGTGAGCTGCTTGTTTCTGGGGGAGTTTAAGAAAGGATTGCATGACCAACAGTTGGTAGATATTGCAGAGGTCTGTGAAGTACACAGGAGAAGAGGACACTGAAAGAGGAAGCGTGCATTAGGAAGGCTCTGCAAATCAGGAACAGCAATTGAGGACTGGCATCCAAGAGCTCTCTCATTGCTATGGTAACAGTGGGGGTGGGGGTGGTAACAAGCTAATTGTGTTTATAAACCTCAGCTGGGGCTTGTTTCTGAGCACTTTCTTGAGTTAAAGGTGATTCCAGGATCCTGGTCTCTGCCATGCAACAAATCCTAACTCCTGGGACCAGGATCCTATTTTGAAATTGCTTATATTCCTATCTCTAGATTCTAGCTCCTCATTAGACTCTCTTGAGTAGGGTAGAAATTCCAATATGGGGAAACAGGTGGAGGAAATCTGATGATCAACCCAAACATCTCAGGACAGGAAGCTGCATCTAGAGTAATGAATACTAATTTCAAACCTATATATTGCATTCGGTGGGTAAAAGTGTGAGCGGTAGAAACAGAAGGCTGGATATCATCAACTGAAGAATGAGGAGGTTCATAAATTTGGAAAGGAGAGCTTTATTTCTCATAAAGGATTGCAGCCTGCAGGGTTGCCATTCTGACAGGGTGGGAAGCATAGCCTCTGGTCAGAAGCCCAAAACAGATACTCTGAGGGTGGGGCAAATGGAATAGAAATTTATGCTGAGCAGAGTGGTCGAATATACATATTCAATAAGCTATCAGAGGAATCATGAATATTTATGAAGGAGAAATATGCACACGTGCAATTGAGCTTCATCCCCCTGCTTGTGTCCCATGTACAAAAAATGACGGTGTTAGCATGATCTAAGGGTGGAGTTTTTGGCCCTTTGACATCAAAAGGTGAAGTAGACAGGAACACCCTTACTGTGCATTCTTTGTAGATTGGCCAGAACCACCCTGTGGTCGGTGGTCTCTTATCGGGCAAAAAAGGAGAGGCAGCATTAGGCGGTAGACTGATACCAGTGGTGGAGTCTTTTGAAAGGGCTGTTTTCTTTTTAAAATATTTTTAAATTTATTTTTTTATTTTCAATAGGTTTTTGGGGAACAGGTGGTGTTTGGTTACGTGAATGAGTTCTTTAGTGGTGATTTGTCAGATTTTGGTGCACCCATCACCAAGCAGTGTACCCTGTACCCAATGTGTAGTCTTTTATCCCTCGCCACCCCACCCTTTCCCCGAGTCCCCAAAGTCCAATGTATCATTCTTATGCCTTTTGTTGTTCTCATAGCTTAGCTCCCATATATGAGTGGGAACGACAATGTTTGGTTTTCCATTCCTGAGTTACTTCACTTCATCCAGGTTGCTGCAAGTGCCATTATTTCATTCCCTTTTATGGCTGAGTTGTATTCCATGGTGTGTGTGTGTGTGGCTGTTTGAGTGTGTGTGTATATATATATATACACACACACACCATATTTTCTTTGTCCATTTCTTGTTTGTTGATGGGCATTTGGGCTGGTTCCATATTTTTGCAATTGCAAATTGTGCTGCTATAAACATGTGTGTGCGAGTATCTTTTTCATATAATGACTTCTTTTCCTCTGGGTAGATACCCAGTAGTGAGATTGCTGGATCAGAAGGTAGATCTACTTTTGGTTCTTTAAGGAATCTCCACACTATTTTCCATAGTGGTTGTACATAGTTTACATTCCCACCAACAGTGTAAAAATGTTCCCTTTTCACCGCATCCACACTAACATCTATTATTTTTCTGATTTTTTGATTATGGCCATTCTTGCAAGAGTGAGGTGGTATCTCACTGTGGTTTTGATTTACATTGCCCTGATCATTAGTGATGTTGAGCATTTTTCCATATGCTTCTTGGCCATTTGTATATCTTTTTTTGAGAATTGTCTATTCATGTCCTTAGCCCACTTTTTAATGGGATTGTTTGTTTTTTTCTTGTTAATTTGTTTGAGTTTGTATCAGTCTGTTTTCACGCTGCTGATAAAGACATACCTGAGACTGGGAGGAAAGAGGTTTAATTGATCTTAAAGTTCCACATGGCTGGGGAGGCATCAGAATCATGGCAGGAGGTGAAAGGCACTTCTTACATGGTGGCAGCAAGAGAAAAATGAGGAAGAAGCAAAAGTGGAAACCCCTGATAAACCCATCAGATCTCATGAGACTTATTCACTATCATGAGAATAGCATGGGAAAGACTGGCTCCCATGATTCAATTACCTTTCCCTGGGTCGCTCCCACAACGCGGGGGAATTCTGGGAGATACAATTCAAGTTGAGATTTGGGTGGGTATACAGCCAAACCATATCAGAGTTCTTTGTAGATTCTGGCTATTAGTCCTTTGTAAGATGTATAGATTGCGAAGATTTTCTCGCACTCTGTGGGTTGTCTGTTAGCTCTGCTGATTATTTCTTTTGCTTTGCAGAAGCTCTTTAGATTAATTAAGTCCTATCTATTTATTTTTGTTTTTGTTGCATTTGCTTTTGGGTCCTTGGTCATGAAGTCTGAAAGGGCTACTTTCTGTTAAGCCCTTAGGGAAGAAAGGCTAATGATGGTTAATGAGGGAGGGGGTATAATGATGTGTATCTGAGTCTCCTATCCTGTCATGGCTGAGAACTCAGTCTTCAAGTTTACTCTGGGATCCCCTTGGCCAAGAGATGGTCCATTCAGTCAGTTGGTGGGGAAGGGGGGGGCTTTGAATTTTACTTTTAGTTTATGATATATAGTTGCATGACCTTGAGCAAGTTGCTTTTCTCTGCCTTATTTTCCTTGTCTCTTAAGATGAGACTCACATTAGTTGCTACCTTAGTGGATTGTTTTCGGATTGAGACAATAGCACTGTGCCCAGTACATGTTAAGCACTCAATATATTTAAACTATTATCATTGCTATTGTTGTTTTATCTCAATGAACTTCTAAAGTGCCTCTAAGGAGGGTAGAATAGATATTATTAACCCCATTTTACAGCCTCAGAAACTGAAGCAAAGGATATTTAAGACTCATTATGACATCATACTGCTTCACTATTGCTGGCAGGATAAAACTAGGACTTAGTTTTCCTAACTTCACGTGGACCGGACAAGGGACAGGTTCTGTACGTGTGTTCTAGAAAGGGGGACAGAATTTATTTTTTGAAAAGGCAATATAAGCACATAAGTAAAATTCTGCAAGAAGGTGTGCAGTGAAAAATAAACCTCCTTCCTATCCCCCTCATCTCCAGTTCTTTGGTCCCTTCCTGTTGACAGATCCTGTGCATCTTTCAGGAGCTGTTTCATGCATACACAAGCCTAGTGTGGGTGTGTGTGTGTGTGTGTGTGTGTGTGTGTATCCCAGGGGACTGTTTCTACAAAAGGCCCCTTCCTGCTCCTGTCCCTGATCCAGGTGTGTGTGTGTGGTGTATATGTGTTTGGGGTGTGAGGGGTGTGTCTGTGCGCATGTGTGTGTATGGTGTATGTGTGTGGGGTGTAAGGTGTGTGTGTGTGGTGTATGTGTGTGGGGTGTAAGGGTTGTGTGTGTGTGGGTGTGTGTGTGGAGCCTGTGTGTGTATGTGTGTGTGGGGTGTGAGGGTGTGTGTGTGGGGTGTGAGGGTGTGTGTGTGGGGTGTGAGGTGTGTGTATGTGCACATGTGTGTGTATGGTGTACGTGTGTGTAGGGTGTAAGGTATGTGTGTGGTGTATGTGTATGTGGGGTGTAAGGGGTGTGTGGGGTGTGTGTGTATGTGTGTGGAGTCTGTGTGTGTGTGTGGGGTGTGAGAGGTGTGCGTGTGCGGTGTGCGTATGTGTGTGTGAGGTGTGAGGGGTGTATGTGTGTGTGAGGGGTGTGTGTATGTGTGTGGTATGTGGGGTGTGTGTGTGAGACATGTGTATTTGTGTGTGTGGTGTGTGTGGGGTGTGAGGGGTGGGTGTGGTGTATGTCTGTGTGTGGGGTGTGAAGGGTGTGTGTGTTAGGTGTATGTGTGTGTGGTGTATGTATGTGTGGGGTGTGATGGGTGTGTGTGTGGTGTATGTGTGTGAGGGGTGTGTGTATGTGTGTGGTGTCAGTGTGTGTGTGGTGTCTGTATGTGTGGGGTGTGAGGGGTGTACGTGGGGTGTGTGTGGTGTATTTGTGTATGAGGTGTGAGGGGTGTGTGTGTGTGGTGTGCGTGAGGGGTGTATGTGTATGTGTGCATGTGGTGTGTGTGTGGTTTATGTGTGTGTGGGGTGTGTGTGGGGTGTGAGGGGTGTGTGTGCATGCATGTGTGTGTATGGTGTACTTGTGTGGGATGTGTGTGTGTGGGGTGTGTGTGTGGGGTATGTATGGGTGTGTGGGGTATATGTGTGTGTATGTGTGTGTGGGGTATGTATGGCAGGCCCAGTCCAGTGCTGTTTCCCTGCTTTCTTAGACCCTTTTCTCAGAACCTTGGAGTTCCTGACTGTGTGAGAAGGCATAGGCACGTGGCCTGGTGGTGTGAACACTGGGCCACTGTCCCTTTTCTTCCCCTGGCTTTTATCTCCTTCTTAAGATGCTGTCATTTTCCCAGCGGTCCTGACCTTCCTGGGGAATACTGATGGGGAATCCCAGGTCCCAAACTGCCGACTGTCAGGCCTGGAGCACAGGACAGGTCCCAGGGGTGCAGGTCACAGGCCCAGGGACCCTGTCTCTTTGGCTCTTCCCTTCTCTCCTGGGGCCTCTGCTCACCTGGCTTCTGGGGAAGTGTCAGACGTGTTCAGCTTCAGTAATCCTGCCACTTTCCCAGCCATGAGGAAAAATCTATGTGTTTATTATTATTATTGTTACTACTACTATTTAACATCTAGAAGCTTTTCCCTGACAAACAAAGAGTGGCCTTGGCTGCCTGCTACCTTGGCCAGGAGATAAGGGACAGGGCAGGCTGAGAACACAAGTCCTTTTTGGGGTCTGCTTGGCGTGTGGTGAAGCCAGGGGAAGAGAAGGGACAGTGGCCCAGTGTTAACACCACCAGGCCACCTGCCTGTGCCTTCTCACACAGAGTCAGGAACTCCAAAGTTCTGAGAAAAGGATCTAAGAAAGCAGGGAAACAGCGCTGGCCTGGGCCTGCCATACATACCCCCCCCACACATACACACACACATACCAGCAGTGAAGGCAGTGGAGAAGAGACCACCTCCTGTCAGAGCCAGTCCTCACAAGCGTGTACGCATCACAGTGGAGTTCTGGGCTCCCCGGCTGCTGGTTCCTCCAGCTTCCGCCTCTGGTTTCCCTCTTCCCTGGCCTGGGAACGTAGAAGGGTGCAGGGTGAAAGACTTGGTCTTCTACCGCATGGATTCTCTGAGCTGCCCCAGCAGGACCGTGACTCTCTGAAGCCTGAAACGATTTGAACAGCCCCCTGTCGGGCAGCTCCTCACTGGCTGATGTGGGCTTGAACATGTCAGTCATGGAGAACTCACCACTTCCTGAATCTCTCCATTGCAGTCTTGGATGGTTCTAGAGAGAGGAGCAGAACTGGAATATGTGGCTACAGCTATGTGAATTGACAGCTTCTGGGCTTTGAACCGCAAATTCCTCTTTCACTTAAAAATCCTTTGGGCTCTTGCCCTTTGTGTCTCTAACTCTTGGGACGTTTTTCTTAGGGACAGGCTTCCAGTGTCCCATCTAACACTTGGGTGAGCTGGGCCCGTTGTTCGTGGGAAGGGGTGTAAGTGTAGGGGAAATCCATTTGTCACAAGAGAGAATCAGGTAGGGGAGGGACAAGGTGACTTCTGAGGTTCTGTTCTTATGCATCTGGACTCCCACCTTCCCTCATTCTATGAAGAAGCTGGAGAGTCCGTCATTCTTGGACCTTTCCCTCAGTGCAAGGAAAACAAGTTGGAGAAGTGACAGTGTCCTGGGATGAGCCCAGCAGCTTTCTTTCCTTTCTCACTCAGCCTCTGTCTCTCTCCCCACAACCGTTTCCTGCCTGGGGCGGTACAGCCAGCAGCCAGTGCGCCTGAGCCCTGTTATTTAAAATTCAGCCGTCACCATGGCAACCTGCATCTTGCTCCATTTCAACCAGAGATACAAAGAAGCAGTGAAAGGGAAAGTTTAATAATGTTTTCTTTTTTTTCTTTTTTTATGAATCTCACTGACTGTCCATCTTTTTGTGAAATAGAAATGTTTCATTTTAGTGGCATTATCAAAATGTCATTCGTTTTCAGACCCCGTGGCTTCTGGAGGGTCAAAGTCATCACTTGCTTTCTAGGGCTGCCGCTGTCACCCCGTTTCCCCCTTCAGAATGGATGATGAGTGTTATTCCGCATTTAGGCTTTTTGAAAGATTTGAGGTTGGACTAAGTTTAGAGAGTGTTTATGGCTTTATTCTCCCTTCCCTTTCCCTGGTATCAAATCTCAGAGTCACGGCAAGGTAAAAAAAGCTAGAAGAGTCTTTAAAGATCACTGACTCTGGGGTGCCATTTTTGTTTCAGTGTGTGTAGTACCTCCTCCCCAGCATTCTGAGAGTGCTTCCTCATTACTGTCATGGAGCTTGGCCTCTGGGTGGTGTTTCTGTGATTCATGTGGAGCCAAGAATTTCCCGTAACCACTGTGACTGGCTCATGAATGAGTATACGGCCCAAAAGGTATGGCTGAGCTGCAGTTCTGGGTCTGAGAGAGAGCCTCTTTATTTTTCTGCTGAGGGGATGAAAGCCTGGAGCTGCCAGAGACCCTCACAGAGAAGGAACTTGCCTACAAGTGGAGTGAACACAAAGGGAAGCAGAACTGATGGATGGAGAAGAGAAACCAGGCTTGGATGACGTTGCTTGATATCTTAGATCGAGGCAACCCTGAATCCATGGCTTTGCAGTTTCATGAGCAATATATTCCATTTTTTTACTTTAAGCCAGCTTCAGCTGGGGTTTCTGACAGCAGAACGCCACGACTTTGATGTTACATACCTCAAGCTCCTTCTTTTACAAATGAAAGCATGGAGACCCAGTGCAGGGAGGTAGCATCCAAGGTCACACAGAGAGGCAGCTCTGAAGGTCAGGTCTCCTGGTGTCTTCAAAGCCTTTCTGTCTGCTGTCCTTCGGTCCTCTGTTTTCAGGCAGATTCTGTTACCTTTGCAGGAACAAAAGCTGAGCCTATGGATGCTCATGATCAAAAAGTATAATTACGGTGAAGACCCTTGCTCAGCTACTCATCCCAGGGTGAGGGTGAGCATTTGGGGTGATGTCCAAGGAAAGTGTCCACCCTCGGCTTGTACAAGGAAAGTGCTCACAGTTGGCTCTGCATAGCCCTGTGGACAGACCCTAGGTACACTTTGCCTGTTTTCTTCATTGAGACAAGATCTGTTTGTTCAGTCTGCAAACAAATGTCACACATTCAACCAACACTTACAATTTTATTAATTTAATTGAACAGCATTAATTGAGGGCCTCCTATGTGCTAATCACTGTTTTGGGGGCACAGATTCAATGGTCAATAAAGGGAGGCTCAGTGCCTAAGCTCATGGAGCTTATATAATTTACTGTGGACATGAAAATAACCAGAGATACATAAAACTAAGGACTGTGAAAAAGTCTTATGCTTGGAAATTTCCCCATACCATGAGAGCATAAGACGAGGGCCCATCTCATTTTCAGAGTTGGAAGGAGCCTTGAGCTGATATGGGCAGAAGGAGCAGGAGTTAGATGAGCAAAGGGAGGTGTGGTTGGGGACTAGGGGACTGAACCTTCAAAGCTGGGAAAAGGGGAAGGCAGGACTTTGAATTAATTCATGCCAGTGTTGACAGGGGGCACCATCTGCCAATGTCCTTCTCTTTTGCCACTTTAAGTCTTTCTGTTCCTGCCCTATAGATTCTCTGAGCCCCCTTATTCCCATGACTCCCTAAGTCAGTTATATAATCTATTTTCCAGCCCAGGACCTTGGATGCCTAAGTTAAGATCTGTTTCGTGCTAAAGACTAGATAGTAGCGTTTTTGTGTGTGAGACTAAACATCATTCCCATGATAACGAGGTCTGCTTTTAAAGAGAAAGATGTGGGTTGCCTTTATCCTTCCTGAAAAGTGCTATAACTTCTCAAATCTAACTTCCGTTTGATTTGCTGTCTGCTGGTGAATGTGACTGTAGTAAAGTTTATTGCCACTAGAGGGCAGGAACACCAAGGCAAAGGACTGAGAAGCGTGAGACCAGGGCTATGAAGTCTGCAGGCACACCCAGATAAGCCGATAGGGTTTGCACTGGTGTGGGACGTGTCAAATTCCAAGCCCAAACTCTGCGTGTCTGAATTCAGATACATCGTCTACACACTCAGATGATTTCATTCTGCATACTGTAATCACTATAGATGCTGGTGCCAGCAAAGAAAGAATAAAAAAGGACTTTTGGTGGGGGAGGTTCCTGCTGTTTATAAAACAACGAAATAATGTGTTGAATTTCACCTTAAAGAGTCCTTTAAAATGTTCCCAGGAGTCAGAGGACCCCAATGTTGGTTCTTAATGTGCTGTGTGACCTTGCTTAAGAAATGAAACTCCTCTGGGCCTAAATTGCCCCTTTGTAAAAGGATAACATGGTGATGTGAAAAGACTCTTCTGATTCAAAGAAGAGAAGTGGTAAAGATGATTGAGACTGGAGAACTGCCCACTTAGATGCCTATTTGTGATTTGTGTGATTTCTAATTCTGGGGGCTCTTCATACTGAGGGAGCTTTATTTTCCTGACTCATACATTTTTTTTTTTCATTTCAGCAGTTGAGTATACTTTAACAGAAAGGAATGAAGAGCTAAGGGTGGAATTTTGGCAGGTGGTGAAGGAGGTACTGTTGGTTCTTTCAAATCGCACCATGACAGTCAGTATTCTCTTTGCCTTTGATGAGGATGAGACTGATATGGGAGACTTGGTGAATATCTGTGAGAGTTACGTGTCTCCCTGAAACTCAGATTAAACCCTCCATTATCCTGGAATCCAGAGCCTTATTGTACTAGCTCATGAACCTGTCAGCTTGAGAATAAGTAGGGTGGAAACAGGACTGCTCTGGGAATGAGGGATGATATATAATGTTTTTCCTGCCGCATCATTCTAGAATGATGGACTATCTCTACGAGGCTAGGCCCCAACAAGAGGTGGAGCTTCTGCCTAAAGCCACCATCTTTTTCGAAGAGTGTCCCCCCAGGTGACTAGGTCTCTAAGGACCTAAGCTCCCTTTGGTACTCCTCTTGCTGCCTCAAGCTGGGGAAAGATGGTGGTTTGGGCTCTACCTCCATGTATTTGGGCATGAAACATCATGAAGACAACAAACCAAAACAAAGCAAAACAAGCCACAACACAAATCCTATATAAAAACCTCCTTTCTCTGGCAGTCCCAGTTTCTGGGGTTCACATTCCCAGAGAAGTTAGTCCCAAAAGACAGAGGGAGAGAGGTCAGCAGGAGTGAGATGAGGCTCTGCTTGGATTCCCCTTCCTCTCCAGACCTTTGTGGACCACCCTCCAGCTCTCTGTGGTCTTTCTCTCCCATTCCACAGCTGCCTGATTGACGGTGAAGGGCTGCTCCATGCTGCTGCTGCCATTCTCACTTAGCAAGAGATTATAAATGCCTTCAGTCTCAATTAATATAGATTAGCACCATTTTCCCCCCTCTACAGATTATTTTAATGGAAGTTCATTTTTTTGTCGGGTGGTATCAGCACCACCATTTTTTTTTTTTTTTTTTGTTCTTTTTGAGACAGAGTCTCACTCTTGTTGCCCAGGCTGGAATGCAATGGTGCGATCTCAGCTCACTGCAACCTCCACCTCCTGGGTTCAGGCGATTCTCCTGCCTCAGCCTCCCAAGTAGCTGGGATTATAGGCCAGTGCCACCACGCCCAGCTAATTTGTGTATTTTTAGTAGAGACGGAGTTTCACCATGTTGGCCAGGCTGGTCTCGACCTCCTGACCTCAGGTGGTCCACCCACTTTGGCCTTCCAAAGTGCTGGGACTATAGGCGTGAGCCACCGCGCCCAGCAGCACCACCATTTGTAATGATTGCAGAGTGTTCCGTTGTGACAGCTCCACGATTTCCTTAACCGTCTGCTCCCCACTGATGCTGCGTGGCCTCTCTGCATCTTGTCACGGGTAAAATCACAAGATCTTAGGGATCATCCTCTCTGGACAGGCTTTTCGTTTTACAGAGAAGGGAGATGGCTTTGAGCTGATGGCAGACTAGGACTAGAATCCAGGTTTTTGGATTTCCCACCCGCTGCCCTTTTCACTCTGCCAGGCTTATTGAGTGTAGGCATAAAGGAAAGACAAAGGGACCTCACAATCCTATGTGCTAGACAATTTACAGACAATGAACACAAATGTCCCCTTACACATTTTTGTATTCTCTTCCATGCTTCTACTAGTAAGTGTCCAAAATACTGTCCCCCGCTGATTGCCTGTTGGACACATTTGGTCTGACCCTCCTTCCTGTGCCCCAAAGCAGCATTTAAAACCCCTCCATACCCTTTCCCAGTTCTGTCCCCTCTCTGCATCCCCCAGGGATTAAATTTCCCAAGGGCAATTGCCACACAGAGGCAGCAACCCAGTCACAAGATGGCTAAATATAACTGTGCAGACTGCAAATAAGCCTCCGGGATCATCTGCTCCTTTGTTTAGCTTATTATCCTCCCAAATCAAACTCCAGAGGAGGCTCGCGCATCGTCCATGTTGGGCAGGACCCGTTGGGTGGATGTTTGTGTCCGACAGGAAAAACCAAACAAACGCAACTCTGCTGTGAGCCGAGTCATTCCTCTTCCCCAGTGGAGCAGGACTTGCTTTTTAGATAAAGCCAACAATCCCCAGGTTTTGATTTCCAAAGCAAATCACTGAGAATCACATCAATATTGGGAACAGATGCAACAGTCTGGCCGACCAGCTGTGTGCAGCCGAGCAGCCAGGGATGTGGAACCAGGAACAAAGAGGTGCTGGCACTGGAATGTGCTTCATCTCTGCTGTCTCTGCCTCCCTAAGGGAGAAATGGACCATGTGGTGGGCAGGGGCATCCAGGGTTCTGGGCTGTGCAGGCAAACCAGAACTGGAGATACGGAGACAGTCACCCCCAGAGACACACGTTTGCAGGTGGCAATTCTGATCCATTAGTGATGTCTGATGTGGACCCAGGTCTGGTGTAACAGGCGTGCTCTATATTTCATCTGTGTTTTAGACAAAACCAGTATCAGTACGTAGGATTTCATAGAGGGTAGGGTGGAGCTGGGTCTCCACGAAGCTCCAGGCTTAACTGAAGCCCAAAGCTGTCCCTCAAGGAGGACTGTTTTTTCCCAGAGACTGGAGGTCTACTATGAATCTTGGATGGTAGTGGGGACAAGGAACAGGGAACAACCTGTACTTGGAAAGGACCTGGAGTTTGATTTCTATCATGAAAGGGCACTGATGATGTCCATTGCTCATCAAATGGATACTTTTCAATATTTATCCTAAATAAATCCTTATCAGCACTTGATGCTACTGGCCAGTTCTTCCCTCCATTGGTTGAGATATGATTCTGCCTTTTCTTCTGTCTCTCTTGTCTCTCCTTTGTTTCTCTAGAGGTTCCATCCTCCTCTGCCATTAAATATCAGGATTCCTTCATGCTTGGCCCCAGGCCCACTTCTTCTTCCACCCGGTATTCTTTCTCTGGGCGATCTCTTCCAGCCCATTGCTTCCATTCCCACCCCCATGCATATACTTCTTTTATATCTTGAGCCATGCATACCTCTCAGCTCCAGTGGCCTCTCTGCCACCTTGACTTGGATGTCTCTAACTCACCCTGTTGGAAAATGAGTCTGTGATCTTCCATCTGTGCCTCACCTACCTGAATCTCTTCTAGTGTTTCCAGACTCAGAGGACGACGCCACCATTCACTTAAATAAGCCAGAAATCTCACCTGAATACCTCTCTGTCTGTTTCCATGTCTAATCCATCATCTAGCCTTGAGGATTTTACTTCATATTTATTTTTGAATCTGTCCACTTTTTCCTTTCACAATTACTATCCTAGTTCAAGCTACTATCACTTCTTGCCTGGACTACAAATGGGTCCAAACCTCCTAATTCTTTTTCTTAAATTCATTCCAGCTCCCAAGGTCTTTGTCAAAAGGTAGATTGAATTATCTCTCTCCCTCACCCCTGTGTCTCCACTCTGACACTTGCTTCTAGTTTCCTGTGGTACAGGTTGAGTATCCTTTATCCAAAATGCCTGAGACAAGAGGTGTTTAATATTTCACATTTTTTGGATTTTGGAATATTTGCATTATATACTTACCTGGTTGAACATACCTAATCCAAAAATCTAAAATCTGAAATGCTCCAATGAGCATTTCCTTTGAGTGTCATGTTGCCACGCAACAACTTTCAGATTTCAAAGCATTTTGCATTTTCCCATTTGGGATGCTCAACCTGTACTTCAGGACAGCTAAAACCCTGACATTCACGTGGTGCTCCCACTTTCATAGCACTTTTGCTTTTTGTGATCTCATTTAGTTCTCAACTAGCCCGTGAGTGAGTCACTGTCATCACATTTTAAGGATCTTATCTGTTTTCCTTGAAAACGGTGGCTGAGAGGTGAAGTAGCACTTCTAAGGTCATCCAAGTGATTAGTGAGACAGCCTGATTCTTCTGACTCTTCAAACTAACCTCATTTGTTTTTCCTTGCTAAAAAGAAGATTTTTGATTACATAGATGCTCTTCAGTGTCCCTTCTAGCACTCACAGTCTGTGATTCTGTGGTTTGCAGGGTCCACTGGGAAGCTGCAAAACCATTTCAAAGAGAACTTTACAGGTGAGGTGGAGAGAAAAGGTTCAAAGTCAAATTCATCTTTCTTCAGACTGAGCTTTGGATCTGAAATGCAGGGACAACAGATCAATTCTCTCTCTCTTGTGGCTTCTTCTACTTTGGACTCTCCATGACTGTGAATGGAGTTTGGGTCAGAGCTTGATGGTTACAGGAGAAGGACTGAGGGGTTTTAGTCTTGCTGGGGAAAAGACTGAACTTGGGAGGAATGGAAACCCTCAGTGTTTTGACACAGTGGATAATGAGTACTGAAAACAATCCACTGTGAATGAACCCTTGTGACAACTTGAAATAAAAGCAGGTAAGCCATAGGAATGAAGAATTTGAAGGAAGAAAGAATCAAAGCAATGAACAACCAGTAATTCCAGATTTCCAAATATGATCTGTACAGCTGACATCTGAGAACAGACCAGAAGTTTGTGTATCTAATATAGATTGCTGCATCTTTTGTTAGTATGTATGAATTAAAGACTCTTCAAGCGGCAGAAGATTGCTACTGAACTGAATGAACAAGAAGGATTCTTTTTGATGAGTTGGCCTTTCTCTGTGAACTTTTCATTAGGCTATAAACAAAAATACAGACATTTCCTTATCACAGACATAAATATGATAAATGGCCAATCTATGGACCATGTAGAGCAGAGATGATAAATAAGGTTTATTTCCCATGGTATCTCTGATTGTTTGCTCAGTGTCTTGAATACTAGGAACAGAAAGATGTGAAAGCCAAATGTGGTCTTAGTGGGAAACTGTGTGATAATCGATTAATAATGTCTGTCATGGCTGAGGAGTGACACAGTGGGAGTGCGAGTACTGATCTGGAACAGTGCTACTCAAAGTGTGGTCTGCAGATGGGTTTAAGTGTGCAAAATATGTGTTACCCATGATGAAATGAGTACAGAAATGAAAAATAAGTATTTAGAAACATTTATAGCAATTTGACATTGCTGTCACATCCAAGCATATAATTTTGGTATTTTATAAAGTATTTTTCTGTGATGGGTTGAAAATAAAAATAAAACTCAGCCCTTGACCAGCGGTAGCTTGGAAAGCACTGACGTATAGGACTGTGTTTGGTTCCTGTGAAAGACTTTGAAATGCCCTGGACTTGGGGAGCTTAGGAATGCATTCACAGGGAATCATTCACTGAGCATGGGTGTTTGCCAGTTTTCACCCTTTTACTTGGTGGAAGGATTAAGATAACTACTCAGAGATTGCCAAAAATACCTTCCCTGCCTCTACCTGTTCCCACTTTTGATTTATCCTATAAAGGCTGCATTAAGATGGATTCCTTCCATTAGTGTGTCAGTGAGGCCAACAAAGAGGTTGTGCCATTAAAAGTACTGAAGGGTGATCACAAAGAAGTGCCCAACATCCATGGTTGAACTGGCCCGGGTGGCCACTGGGGTCATGCATTAATTCACCCATTCATTTGCCAGTTCACGCATACTCATTCATTCTGGCATTCAACAACTCTTTTTGGAATGCCAGCAATGTGTGTCACAGTGCGAGGTACTGGGGATATGATGATGACCAAGAGAGACAGGTTCTTTGCCTTCATGAAAATGACAGTCTAGGAGGGGAGACAGATATTAAATCAATAATGTATATAAGTAGTGATATAAATCCTGGTAGGTGCTCCAGTGGGGAAGCATTGGTTGCTCTGAGATCAGTTAGCGGGGGTCTTATCTTAGCCAGGGCATCTTGGAAGGGCCCCTGAAGTGACAGTCTGTCAGTGTGCCTCGTCCATGGTGAGTGACCAGAGAAAAAAGACTGGATGGTCGGGTGGGAGGAGGGAGAGCATCGGGATAAATAGCTAAGCATGTGGGGCTTAATACCTAGGTGATAGGTTGTTAGGTGAGGTAAAACACCATGGCACATGTTTACCTATGTAACAAACCTGCACATCCTGCACATATATCACGGAACCTAGAATAAAATAAAATAAACTTTTTTAAAAAAGAAGAAAAAAAAAAAAACTCGAGATGATCCTGGAGAGGTGGACAAGGGAATGATGGTGCCAGACCTTGCAGGCTGCAGGAGGAGTGGTAGGGAGCCCGATGAAGTCACAAGTATGGTGCAGGCATGGTCCCTGCTCTCAGAGGCCATCAGTCTGGGAGAAAGTTACCTAAGCAAGTAGCTGTGATATAATGTGATCTGGGTTTTACAAAGGTGCACATACAGGAGGGAAACAATAAGGTTAGGGAACAGAAATGATTTAACAAAAGAAATTTCACCTTGTCACTCTCCTGCTTGGAACGCTTTTGCAGCTGCATGTTGTTTTTGGAATACAGACCCAATCTTTTCACGAGGCCTGCACATCACCCCCACCCTCCCCCAGGGATGCTTCTTTCATCAGGCTCTTCTACAGCTTTCTCTGCTCCCACTGTCCTAATTGGTCCTTCTTTTTAAATTTTTTTAATTTTAAAAATTATTATTATTATTTTTTCTCATCCTGTCTTATGGTGCTGATTGATTGGTCTTTTTTTTTTTAGACGGAGTCTGGCTCTGTCGCCAGCCTGGAGTGCAGCAGTGTGATCTCGGCTCACTGCAACCTCTGCCTCCCGGGTTCAAATGATTCTCCTGTCTCAGCATCCTGAGAAGCTGGGATTACAGGTGCGTGTAACCAAGCCTGGCTAATTTTTGTATTTTTAGTAAAGATGAGGTTTCACCATGTTGGCCAGGATGGTCTCGATCTCTTAACCTTGTGATCCAACCGCCTCGGCCTCCCAAAGTGCTGAGATTACAGACGTGAGCCACCACACCCGGCCTGATTGGTCTTTCTTTAGGACTCCAGGTACCACACATTTTCTTCCTATCTTGTGGCCTTTGTACATGTTATTTGTTTGTTTGGAATGTTCTCTTTATGCCCCCACTCTGCCCTTGTTTGTCTCTATAATTCTCTAGTTTTCCATGTCTTAGTTTAAATATCCCTAGCTCCCTAGAGAACCCTGTACTTCTCCCTCACAGTGCTTAGAACAAGTATAATTATTTATTTGCATGATTGATTTAATGTCTATCTCCCCTGATGCAGTAAGTACTTGATGCATATTGAATGAGTGAATGAGGAGACAGCTGGCCTGGCCTGAGGGAGTTAGCAGTACTGGTGTGAGAGACAGTGGATATGGGGTGTGGCTAGGGCCAGGCATGGAGAATGGGGTACGACAAGTCCCAGAACACAGCCATTCCCTCTCCATTGACTTTTCGTCTCTCCCAAGCATGTGTGAACTGAGCCGCAACATGACGGGAGCCTCTGAAAGGACACTTTCAAGGGATTAGCAATGCCAGTCCTTAGCTCTTTAGGGAAAGCAAACATCCAGGGTTGATAAGCTGTGCTTAGTCCTATCTCTTTGAATTATAGGAAAATCCTTCAACCTTAAAATTGCTCGGGGCCAAAGAGCCTCTTTTGGAATATGTTGCTCTGCAGGATGACACACATGCTGGAAGGCTGGTAGCTGGGACAGTGGTCAGGCATGGCTGGCCTCCCTCTCATTCTCCTCTATCTTGAATGGATAAGGCCTTACTGGCCTTAAGGCTTTGTTTAAGAACCAGGATGCACAGTGTCTGTAAACATTCCTGTGTTAGTCATCTAATGCTGTGTAACAGCTTATTCCAAAATTTAGGTGCTTAAAATCATCATTTAATAGCTCTTACAGTTTCTGCAGGTCAGGAATTCAGAGTGCCGGGGGCAGGACTTGTCTCTGTCCCACAGTGCCTGGGGCCTCTGTGGCTTGAATGCTGGGTGCTTGGAATCCTCTTCAGGCTTCATCACTGATGGATCTGGCGGTCAATGCTGTTGCTGGCTGGGGGCCTCAATGGCCTGTTGGCCAGAACACCTAAGTGCGGCTTCTGTGTGTGCCTGGGCTTCCTCACAACATGGTGGTTGGATCCCAAGGACAAGCATCTCAAGGAAGAGCCAAGTGAAAGCCATGTCCTTTTTAGAACCTAGTTCTGGAAGACACGCAGCCTCCCTTTTGCCCTGTTTTATTTGTTAGAAAGGAATCACCAAATCCTCCCCATATTCAAAGGGAGAGGAAATTAGAATCCACCTTTTACAGGCATGTTTTAAATATGCCACATTCCTTTAAACAAAAGCACAGAGAGGATCTTGGAATAGTGATAGCAGTTCAAATGTGAAAGAAACAATGGTTTCAGAGCAAAAATGTCTCTTCTGCGATCTTGGATGACTCTACCCTGGACAGCGTTTTGCCAGCTGGCCCTGGCCTCCCACCTCCCTTTAGGGAGATGCATTGTCCTCTGAAAAGATTCTCTACCCTTGCTTAAATAAATGTAGGGCAATCTAACTTTAGCCTGTGTGTGTGTATATGTGTGTGTGTGTGTGTCTGTGTGTGTGGTGGGGGCCAGGGTTCCTCCTGCCATCCATAGTTCACCTGAAATACTGCACACGATGCAGTCGCTGTCTGGAACATTCGGCAGATTCTTAAAGTTAAATTTGTGGTATTTTAGAACTGCCCAAAGAGAAAAATAAATAAATAAATAAGCCATGCTAATAGTGAAGAGTTATAGTTAAGGGAAGGTTCTTTGACTGAACTAGTTTAAATGTTAATTTTATTACTCAAGAGGGCACTTTGGAACTCCCTGTCATTATGGAACAATTAAACTGTAGTTCCTTATTAATTTTAAATGCCTTCCTAGGGTAATTAGTGGCATATAATGTGAATTGCATCCCATTAATGAATAGATTTTTGAATCTGAGTGGGCAAAGTCTTTTATTTGGCTATCCAACAAGACAAGGCCTATGAAAGGAACAAGTTTGGGCCCTTTGAGAATAGAGGGCCTCCCCACACCTCTCTGAGTCCAGGATGAACCCTGGCAATCCCCTAAATAAAACATGCAGTCATTAAACTTTCAGGAAGGTGTGATGGTTCTGGCTGCCTCCTTAGACATGAAGTTGGCAGGCAGAAAATGGATAGTTTTTTGGAACAAGGATTTGGAAACTAAAACAGGAGATTGAGGTTCTGAAGTCCTAGTAGCAGATCATCACTTGAGGATTTATTTTTTTTTTGGTTACTTTAAAGTGACATTTATGAAGCACCTAGTGGATACCTGGCACTTTCCTAGGCAATGGGTCTATTATTTAATTCTCAACACTACTTCATGAGATTGGTATTATTATTTCCATTTTACAGACAATGAAAACATGTCTCAAACTTAGAAATATAAGATGATATAGATCTTGACCCTAAGCTCAGGTCCGGCCCAGTCCAGAGCCTGAATTTCAACTGCTTCATCACTGCCTCTTGGTTGGGCCATATCTTTATTCATGTCTTCAGTTGCTCTGATTTTATTTTAATGCTCTTTTTGTTTGTATATTCCTTAGCTAATAAAACAGAATACCAGTGTTAAGAGATTTTTAGGGACTATAATGTGATCCCTTCATTTTATCAGTGAGAAAACTGAGGTCCAGGGATGAGGATGGACCATCTAAACCAGAGAGAGAGTAGTGACTCTTATTCTAGGCATGGCTCAGGGATGAGGGAGACGTGGCTGCTAGCAGTTCCCCAATTCCAGCTCTGTCTGCACAATCCTCAAATCCTGACCCCGAAATCTAACTCCGGCTTCCTGGGCAGGCTTCTTACCATGAGTGTCACCAGCTCTGAGAATCTAGTTAGGCCAACGTTCCTCTTGTGGGCAAACCATAGCCAACTCTGTCTTGTCCACTTGCAACTTAAATGACACCAGCCTGTGAAATACAAATTGTATTGGCACAAGCCTCCACCTTCTTGATTGACAGCACTGACCCCCTCACAGTGTTCTTTGGATTTCCAAGGCTTGTTGCAGGAGCACCCATGGCCAGTCTGTCAGCTGTGGCCTCTACGTGGCCTCCTCCTTCCTCTCTTCTGGCTCCCACCTGATAGAGTCCACAGCCTGGCAGGCCATCTGCTGAAGCCGCCCTGAGGCCCACCCCAAGAATACTGCTGGCTTTCCATGCCAAAGGACTCTCTCTGGACACCGCTAATGCTTTCAGTTTCTTATGGGCAGAGCATTGCTGGGTTATGTGGTGCCAATCAGTGCCCTGAGCTTCTGGCCTTTACCCCTCACCTAGAATATCACCAGGATGCTCATGACCATCAGTTTCTGGCCTTTACTCCTTCAAACACAGGAGCTCAAACCTATCCCAGGAATAGATGGGAAGCAGATGCAACCCCATATCTTCCACTCTCCTCTGTTCTCCTCTTTGACCCTTTTCCCCAATCCACACTCCTCCCTCCATCCTTACAGAACAAAGGCATTTATTGATTCATCAAATTTGTTCACGGAGCACCTGCTACTTGCCAGGCCTTCTGCTGTGTGCTTAGGGTACAGTTGAAACAGTCATTGTTAGTTGCCAATATTCCTCTTTCTCTCTTTTTGATAGAACATCAATTTTGTTTGGGGCAAGAATTTGTCAGACCTCAGTGAAGAGTCATTTATGATTGTTCTAAATGGATCAGGATAACACCACTCCCTCATCACCCCCACCACCCCAGCTAGTAGGCTTGAGATCCTGAACTGGATGAAATGTGAGAGGAGGCTGGGTGCTTTTGATAAAAAGTGCAGACAGGGAAGGGGGCCTGGGTGGCACTGCCCTCTTTCCTCTTTTCCTGCTTTGAATGGGGAGTTGATGTTTGGAGCTTGAGGGCCCAGAGCATCAAGCCTGAGTAGGAGGAGACGACAAGAGGATGGCAGAGCAGAAATGCAGGAAAAGCCTGGATCCTGATGGCTTGGTTGCACTCCCAGACCAACCCTGAGGTTGCCTTTCCTCTGGGCTTCTCACTTAGAAAAGAACAAGCACAGACTGGTTTAAGCCAATCTCTTCATCTGTCATTTCCAAGTTCTCCTGACAGCAGGATGGTGATACATTCACACAGTGATATGATGTGAGTGATACAGGCACAGCCCCTGCCCCCATTAAGTTCACACATCAATGAATACCGGAGATGTTGGGAAGGGCACTGAGTTGCCAACTCAGGCAATGCCTGGCACAAACTTGCTCATTCACTTTTGCCTTCTTTGCACACTGTGTCTTTGCTTGATATAATTCAATTCCATCTCTATCTGCTTTTACTTTAACTTCTAATTTCCTAGTGTAAATATGAGCCAGGAAGAGTGGATCAAGGAGGCAGCTGCTCCTCGGGGCCTGGCTGGTCTGCGGCATGGTAGATTGTGAGCTCATTTAGAGAACAGTCTGGATCGATAATGATTTCAGTTACACCGCAGGCTAAGTGTTTGAAGCCAGTGACTCCGGGAAGGGTGATGGATCCATTAGGAATGCTTGGGCAAAGGGTAGAGACTCTTTCCTTCCCTCTTCTGCTGCAAGGGGAGAAGTAATTTCTCTGTTTGGCTGTAAGGTTGCTAGGTCAGTCAGCCTGGAGAATGGTTGATTCACAGCTCAGGTTTTCTCTCAGGGGCGGGAAGTTTTGCCAACAGAGAGGCTGTGGAGGGTGATAGTTAAGAGCTCCAGCTCTGAGAATCCAGGCTCTTCCCTTTTGCATGCTGTGTGACCTTGGGCAAGTTACTCAGCCTGGCTGAGCCTCTATTCCTTTATTTGTGCTCTGTGGATAATCACAGTAGATAAGGCTTCTGTTGACTCTTAATAGGTCTTTTGTAAATCTTCTGGGAAGTGTAATCACAAAGGAGTGGAACAGTGAGGAAGTGAATTTGTGGAATGCATAGAAATGAAAACATCCAAACAGCTGGGAGTGTAACATAAATAAAGGTACTGTATTAGTCTGTTCTCATGTTGCTATAAAGAACTGCCTGAGACTGGGTAATTTATAAAGGAAAGAGGGTTAATTGACTCACAGTTCCCAGTGGCTTTGAAGGCCTTGGGAAACTTACAATCAAGGCAGAAGGGGAAGCAAACACATACTTCACATGATGATAGGAAGGAGAGGTGCTGAGCCAAGATGGAAAAGTCCTTTATAAAACCATTAGATCTCATGAGAGCTCACTCACTATCACCAGAACAGCAGCATGGGGGTAATTGCCCCCATGATTCAATTACCTCCCACCAAGTCCTTCCTATGACATGTGGGGATTATGGGAACTCCAGTTCAAGATGAGATTTGGGTGGGGACACAGCCAAACCATATCAAGTACAGAAACAACACAAAACAACATAAAAACACAAACAAAACCCAAGATATGTTGGAAAGGGGTACCTAGAATGCTCCCAGGAGGTGTGGGGAAGAACTCAGTTCTGTCTCTTTGCCTAATTCTTTTTTTAAAAAATTAACTTAACTTTTAAAAATAGAGACAGAGTCTCTCTATGTAGCCCAGGCTGGTCTTGAACTCTTGGGCTCAAGGGATCCTCCTGCCTCGGCCTCCCAAGGTGCTAGGATTATAGGCGTGAGCTACCACGCCCAGACTTCCTTACCTAATTCTTTATCCATTGGCACTGCCAAGATCCTACCCTGTGCCCTATTTAAAAAGAACTAAAACACCCCCCCTAAATATAGCAGTACTAATAAATATTTTACATGATATTCAAAGTTTTTGTATTTTCTATGGGGGAAATAGGTATCTCTGCTGATGGTGAATGTGTATCTTAATAAAACAGGGGTTTGATTTGACATCTGAATCAAGAGCCCTAAAAATGATCCTATCCTTTGATTTAGCGATTCTATTTTCAGGAAATGATTCTAAGAAAATATAAATCTGGATATGGGAAAATTTAATTAACATGGTTTTTACACAGCATTGAAAATTAGAGAGAAACTGTCCAATAATTTCTTAAATAAATTCTAGTGAATCGGTACAGTGGAATACCATGTTACCATTTACAAAATGTGAAACGATATTGAAAACTTGAGAAGAGGTTCAAGACAAATGCAGACATGATTCATGAAGACTCCGGATTTCTAGTAATACTACTGGGGTTGAAACGTGCTTCTACTGCTTCCTAGCTGTGTGATGTTGGAATGAATTACATAACCTCTCTGTGTCCAAGATTTTTCATCTGAAAAATAGGGTTTACAGATAATGGTTACTTCATGGGTTTGGCACATGGTAAGTGCCTTGTCTGCCATTAAGTGAAACTGTGAGGACACATTTCCAAAAAAAGAAAAAAAAAGAAAAGAAAAATTTATAAGTGAGAGAAAAAAAAATATAAAAATATTAAGAACATTTATTTGTTTATTCTCTCTCTCTCTCTCTCTCTCTCTCTCTCTCTATATATATATATATATATATATTTTTTTTTTTTTTAAGAGGCAGCATTTCACTATGTTGCCCAGGCTGGTCTTGAACTCCTGGGTGCAGGTGGTCCTCCTGCCTTAGTATCCTGAGTAGCGGGGACTCCAGGTGCATGTTACCATGCCCAGCTGTATACAAACTTATTGAGTACCCCCTATGTGCCAGGCTCTGTGACACAACGGTGAACAAAAGAAGCACAAATCTATACATTTGGAGGGCTTATAGTGCAGAGAAGAAGTTCTCATAAAAATTGCTGGGGGTCACTAAGCCCAGCTAGCTAATTTTTAATTTTCTGTAGAGACAAGGTCTTGCCATGTTGCCCAGGCTGGTCTTGAACTCCTGGGCTCAAGCAATGCTCCTATCTCAGCCTCCCAGTGTGCTGGGATTACAGGCATGAGCCACCACACCCAGCCCTGAGGTGGATTTTTTTTTCAATAGAGAAAATCTAAGAGGTAATACCAGTAGGCAAATGCTTAAATGGATTACAGACTGGAAAACAAGATGGCAGCAAACCAAGATACATTTTTTTGGTCAACAAATGATGTTGGAAAATGCCTGGAAAACATGAGTGAAAATGTGAACAGACAATCATTAGAACGAATTATTCAGCGGGAAGTTTGCCACACAATTGGATGAAACTACAAGATATTATTACTGTATCTGGAAAAGGTTATGTTTCAAAGATGAAGTGCACAAAGAACTCCTTTTTCATGAGCCACCAAAGAAAGGACTACCAGAGAAGGTATTTTCTCAACTGTAAATGACCTCTTTAATTAAAACAATATGTTATTGAAAAAAAATTGCTGGGGGTGTCTTTTAAAAATGCTGACGTGTGGACCCACCCTTAGAAGTCTGGATTCTGCAGTTGTGGGCGTAGGTCCAGGAGTCTTCATGTCGTACATGCACCAGAGGGTTCTGCTGTAGGCCTTTTGAGACTGCACTGGTGAATATATGCAATAACCAATATATGGTTATTGCTGATTGGAGAGGGATTAGTAGTGACTTTAATTTTTTTTTATTCCTTATGTTTTGTAAATTTCTACTCTAAGTAAGATTTTTTTTAATAATTAGAAAAAAGTAAACATTTTATATGTTTAAATATGCAGCATCTATGCCCCTCCTGTCTGCCTTCCCCTATGCCCAGCACAATTCTCATTTCTTGCACAGTAACAGAAGAACATCACACAGACTTCAGATTAGGAAACGCCTCTGGAATGGATGATGGGGGCTGTGATTCTCAGATAGCTGTAAAATCACAAAGAGAAGGTAGAAAATTTCTTGCCCAAATCATCTGCTTTTGTTTGAATGTGCTCCAGCCCTGTCTCTCTTAGGCAAATAAACCTCTTTAAAGATGCATTTCATTTGCTTTCTTTTTCTTGCAAATTCTCTTGACCTTGAGATGTATCCAGTGGCTCTGGTAATTGGTGCAGTTTCCAGAGTCATTTGTATGGACATTGTGTAATGCAGACGTACAGGGAGAAATCTCCACAGTCATCCTGTGCTTGTATCAGGTGAATTTGTATTTTATGGTTTTTGGTCAGATTGATTTTTGTGAAACACCCTGGGGTGTTTGCAAATATGAAAGTTCTTGTAGTTCTGGTTGCTTGTTTGTATTTACAGGAAGAATAAAAAGAAGATGAGAAAATTGCTCTCTGTGCTGACAAACTCCTTCTTCCCCACGAGTGTGGAAAGGAAGGAGATGAAGGGCTTCCAACAGGAGGGAAAATTAGAGGCAGTGAGATCAGAGATCAGGGTGAAAAGCTGCCTGTGAAGGCTAATTCAAACCAGGAAGCATTGTCAGGCATGGGCAGCAAGTTCATGAACACTGGGTAGGTCTCACCAAATAAACAGGTTATGATGAACAAAACTGCTGTGATTAAAGTCTTTAAAATCCCTAAACTCTGTGATGAATGGGCTCTCTGGTCCTGCCTTGAGTTTATTCTGAGGCACCATGTCCATTTTGGGCTGGTCTTTTACATAGAATGAATATCTGCTAATTTGGTTATACAAATTGAAAACTATATCTTTTCCAATCCCAAACTCAACCAAATGAAACCAAACAAAACTAGAACACCTATCTTTCTGCATGGGTTAGTTCTGATGCCTGAAGTACTTTTAGTGTAAAGGTAGGTTCAGTAAGTATGTAGCATGTGTAGCATTACTTCTTCCTTCTGAGCCCATGACAGACATTACTAATCAATTACAGTGCTCTCTACTGCTGAGGCCAGCTGTCAGCACATTCACTTTCCCCATCAAACAACCTTGATGCCTGGATTTCTTAGCATTGTCGTCATCCCTTTTGGAATCACAGTTGGTAAATACAAAGCATCTTCACTGCTATTCTTACTGCAATTCCTCTCTGTTTTATCCTTGACAAATGCCAATAAGAAGTCACAGCACTCACAATCTCCTCAGATGTGACTTTAGAATCTTCCTCAGAAACAGTTTTCCACACAGCTTCTACCAATAGATGGGATCTTGTATGGAACAGGAAAGGTATTTGCTATCCCTGGGGTATCTGAAAATTAGGAAGCAAGACATCTACCATTAACCCCTTTGTGACTTAGTTCATCAGATTAGTGTCACCAGAGAATAGAGGGGAAAAGGTCAGGTGTGTACTCTGCAGTCTGATATTTATGACCCTTCATGGTTTGGCTTCAGTTTCTATTTCTAATCAAACAGCTTATGTCTGCTCAGACAAGCCTTTCCATTTGCTTCCATATGTCTTGTCTTTTTCCATTTTTAGGTCCTCTGCTCACTCAGCTTCCCCCACCTGGAACACCCTCCCTCCTCTCCACCTACCCAATTTTTGCCATTCTCCAAGGCTTAGCTCATGGTCTGTTGGTTTCACTGAGTCTTTTCTAAGTACTAGGAATGATTTGTCTGTGGTCTAAGTTCCCACGGCATTTACAATTTATTCAACTCACTTGGCATCAAACTTCTTCCCCTGAAATGTTTGTTCCTTCTCAATGCCTACGGGTTTTAATTTTTTAACCACTAGACTATAAACCTTGCCATCAGGGTCCAGGCTTTCATCTTCCTTTGTGTTGAATGTATACTTTGGGCAAGAGCCCTTCATTTCTCCAGGGGTGATGGGAAGAGGAGCTGCAAATGGAGGGAAGAATGAACCTCCATTTTATTTGCCCTGCACTCTGGTTGAAGCCCATCTCTGTTTCCATTTGAGACCTTTTAAGTAGAATTCAAAACATAGACTAGGATGTTCGAGGGTTTTTCTAAGAAAAGCTAATGCAGCATAAAGAGATACTCAGAGAGAGGATGTAGACAGTGCTAAAGTTTGGAACCACCAACACCTGCTAATGGGATGGAGTACTGAATACATTACAGTTTCCTTTGGTTGTTCCTGCTTTAGTAGGAAGTTATGAAGATATTTAATATTCAAAATCATTTTATCCACAGTCCTGGCCTTGGGGAAATATTGCATTTTATCAAATCAGCTAGCTGCCCTGCTCAGAATCAGACATCAGATGGAGCAAGTAGAGCTTATTTTTATATTTGAAATATTTCTTAGTAAGCTAAAAAAATAAAGCTTCACTGCTACATAAAGTGATATAGGTTTTATCATTCAAAGCACAGAGTAGAGATATTGGAAAGCAGGCTTAATACTTGCTTCCTGAGTTCTTTCTATATATTTCTAAATTATGTAATGATGGTTTATCCTAAACTATTTTTCTAAATCATAATGTCGTCATATTTTTATTTATATTTTATTTAGCGAATAGAGTCATAACAAATGAACACATTAATAAAAATATTCAATGAAAAATTGGTATGCAACTCACTGAGCACACAAATTATCAGTTTCCACACAAAAGATGAGTTACTAAGAACAGAAAGTTCAATGGAGAGACTGAAACCCAAAGGGTCAACAATAGGCTGAGGCAGACATCCGGGCCAAAGTGACTCAGTGAGTTTGGGTCACAGGTGCATACTCCACTTGTTATATGACCTGTTTGTGTAAGTTCATACTTGGCTTTGAGCCACTATTGTCTGTAGAAGGTATAGCTGCCCTGCTGATGCTGTACAGGCTCTTGCTCTTGTGCTGAGAGAGAGAGAGAGAGAGAGAGAGAGAGAGAGAGAGAGAGAGAGTACCAGAGCTGTCCTTCTTGCAGATAGAGGGAGGCTAGGGCTCGACGTGGCTCTGTGCAAGCGCTGGCACCCAGAGAGAGAGAGTGAAGCTACTGACCCCTGTACGGGAGAGTTATCATCTGGCAGATGGACAGGGGGAAGCCAGAAACCAGCTTGCGCCCAGAGAGAGAAAGAGTTAAGCTGCTGATCCTGAAGGCAAGGGAGAGCCAGCCGTGCAGCTGTGCGTGGGAGTGGCCGGAGCAAGTAGCCGAAAATGAACGGTGTGTGAGAGCTAGTGTGAGTAAGCTGCTGATGAGAGAGCTGCTGAATAAAACCATATTCACCTGCCTATGGTCCCCCAAATGTTCTTTTAGCTATTCGCCCATCCACCCACTCCCCTCGGACCTCAGCTGGGGCTGGAACCTGACCCTAAGTGTGACATTTGGCATAGTTGTGGACCTGACACCAGGGAACATTTACCCTGTTATAACTACCTGCTACTGGAAACAGAGATAAATTACAGGCCCAAGATGGTTTGAGATGGGAATTACAGAGCTAGGTGATGAGGGTAGGTCAAGGGCAATACATCTGAGTTCTTCCCCTGTGGCAGAGCATTATTAACTAAAGTTTCCACCATGCCCTGTGTAAGTGGGAGAAGGAAAAACAATAGTCTCTGGGATTTCTAGGAGACTTAGAAAACAACTTTGCATAAATCCTCTTATGAATCAGTGAGATAATTTCTTGGGGGTATATGCCAGGAGTAGGATTGCTGAGTAGTAGGGTAAGCTACCACTTACCCTAGGGCAAGGTAAGGTAGGATACATGGTAAGCACCAAGAAAGTACCCTCCAGAATGACCTTTTGTTTCCATCCCCAGGAAGGTCCCATTTCCCCATATCCTTACAAAAAGTCTGATGGGTCCAAAGAGGTTTCTCGCTGTCATTTTAATTTTCATTTCTTTGATTACTAGGTGGGTTGAGCAGAGGATTTCCTTCCATGAAACTATAAGTACCCCTCAAACCATGGCATAATCATCTGTGCATCCCTGGCCTCTATTACCCAGTAGAACCTTATTAAATATCTTGTTGAATTGCATGTAATTTAGATCAATGACGGGCCCTTTCCTCAGTAGAGGATTCAGCTGTTCCAAAAACACGGTCCTTGACAATTTTAAAAGTTGGAAGCAGCTGTGTCTAGCTAAAGTCTGCCAGAATGACACAGTGATAGTGACCAGAGTATTCATTTGTTTTTCTAAAATCAAAGAACTGGTGAACCTCAGGGAATCAAAGAGGAATAGTTGGCTGGACCCATGAAGTAAAGTGTCTGATTCCTCCCTTGCTTTTGTCCACAGTGTAATATGTTATCTGCTGCTCACTCTTATTTGATCTGTTTGAAATCCTTGCCAATGGCCATCCATGGGAAATCTTCCAGTCCATCCCCATCCTGTCCCCTCTTTACTTCAGTGGTTTTAGGCACGTTGGGGTCATGCATCCCATTAAGAATCCAATGCAAGGTATGGACCTTCTCTCCTGAAAACTTATGTATGTACAAAATTTTGCACATAATCTCAGTGGACACCTGATGGCTGATGTGACAATCATTTGTTTATTTATGAACTCATTTATCTATTCACTGGCTCATTCACTTATTCACTCATTTGTTATTAAATGCTGAGGTCCAGGTTTGTTAGATGTTGGAGACTCATGAACAATGGTTCCTGCCCTCAGTAGCTTTAGTTTACTGGGGTAAATAGGTAAACAAACCAGTCTAGTATGTGGTGTTGGGCAATATTGTAGAGGTGGAGGTACTGAGGGAAGACAGAGGAGAAGCAACAAACCTGGGGGTGTCATGGGAGGCTTGGAGGAAGTGATTTCTGAGCTGAGCGCCAAGAAGAAGCACTTTCGACAAAGCAACTTGACTTTTTTCACATTAACTTATTTTTAAGTGATTACTATGGACATTGAAAGACCCTTAACCCTAGGAAAATCTCTGAAGGTCCACCTCAATCATATCAAACAAATTAGAGTTATATATATATATATATGACATATATGTACTTTTTATTGTAGTAATATATATATAAAACACAAAATGCACCATTTTTTTTTTTTTGAGACAGAGTTTTGCTCTGTTGCCCAGGCTGGAGTGCAGTGGTGTGATCTCAGCTCACTGCAACCTCTGCCTCTCAGGTTCAAGTGACTTTCCTGCCTCAGCCTCCCTAGTAGCTGGGATTACAGGCATCTGCCACCATGCCTGGCTAATTTTTTTATTTTTAGTAGAGATGGGGTTTCACCATGTTGGCCAGGCTGGTCTCAAACTTCTGACCTCAGGTGATCCACCTGCCTCAGCCTCCCAAAGTGCTGGGATTACAGGCATGAGCCACTGTGCCCAGCCTCATTTTAAACATTTTTAAGTGTACAATTCAGTAGCATGAAATACTTTCACAATATTGTGCAACCATGACCAGTATCCATTTCCAGAACTTTTTCATCACCCCAAACAGAAACACTGTTCCCATTAAACAGTAACTCCTTATTTTCCTCTTCTCCCAGTCCTTGATGACCTCTATTCTATTTTCTCTCTGTGAATTTGCCTATTCTAGGTATATCATATAAATGGAATCCTGCAATATTCTTTCATGTTTGGCTTACTTCAGTTAGCATCTTGTTTTTGAAGTTCATTCATGTTTTAGCATATATCAGAATCTGATTCCTTTTTATGGCTGAATAATATTCCATTGTATTTATATACCACATTTTAAAATTGATTAATCTGTTGATAAACACTTAGATTCACCTTTTGGTTATTGTGGGTAATGCTGCTATGAACAATGGTGTACAAGAATCTGAGTCTCTTCTTTTAATTCTTTGGGGTATACATTTGGAGTGGAATTGCTACGTCTTATGGTAATTCTTTTTTTCTTGTTCTTTTTTTAAATAGTGGTAAGAAGATGATGTGAGACCTACCCTCTTAACAAATTTTTAAGTGTGCAATACAGTATTGTTAACTATACGTGCAATGTTGTATAGCAGGTCCCTAGAACTAATTCATTTTGCATAACTGAAACTGAACAGCAACTCCCCATTCTCCCCTCCCTCCTGCCCCTGGCAACTGCTATTCTATTCTCTGCTTCTGTGAGTTTGACCATTTTTGGTATCTCCTGTAAAGACAATCATGCAGTATTTTTTCTTCTATGACTGGCCTATTTCACTTAGCATAATGTATGTCCTCAAGGTTTATCATATTGTCACATATGCCAGGATTTCCTTCTTTTTGTTAAAGGCTGAATAATATTCATATATATACCAAATTCTCTTTATCCATTCATCTGTTGATGGGCATTCAGATGTTCCCACATTCTGGCTATTGTGAATAGTGCTAAAATAAACACGGAATGCAGATATCTCTTAGAAACCCTAATTTCAGTTCTTTTGTTTGTATACCCCGAAATGGTATTGCTGGATCATGTGGTAGTTCTATTTTTAATTTTTTGAGGAACATCCACATAATTTTCCGTAATGGTTGTGCTAATCTACATTCCCAACAGCCATATACAAGAGCTCCCTTCTCTCCATATCCTTGCCAACACTGATCTTTTGTTTTTTTGATAATAGACATCCTAACATATGTCAGGTGATATCTCATTGTGGTTTTGGTTTGTAGTTTCTTGATGATGAGTGATGTTGGGCAATTTTTTATGTATCTGTAGGCCATTTGTACATCTTCTTTGGGGAAATGCCTATTAAAGTCTTTTGCCCAGTTTAAAATTATTTGTTTTTCTGCTGTTGAGTTTTAGGAGTTCCTGATATATTTCAGATATTAATGCCTTAGCAGATATATGGTTTGCAAATATTTCCTCCCATTCTGTAGATTCCCTTTTCACTCCATTGATTCTGTCTTTGGCTGTGCAGAAGTTTCTTGTAGTCCCAGTTGTTTTGCTTTCATTGCTTGTGCTTTTGATGTCATATCCAAGACATTATTGCCAAGATCAATGTCACGAAGATTTCCCTCAATGTTTTCTTCTAGGAGTTTTACAGTTTCAGGTCTTATGTTTAAATCTTTAATCCATTTTGAGTTGATTTTTGTGTATGGCATAAGATAAGTGTCTATTTCTTTCTTTGGCATGTGGATATCCAGTTCTCCCAACACCATTCATTGAAGAGATTGCCCTTTCCCCCATTGTATATTCTTAGCACTCTTGTTGAAGCTCAGTTGAAATATGGCAATTTTATGTTTAACTTTTTGAGGATATGTGTGTCTGTGTGTGTGTATATATATTGTATTTTATATATATATATATGAAATGTATATATGTCAGTAGAAATATTTGACAGGATTTCAAATTGGGCCTTATAAATTACTTGGTTACTTAATATTACTTAATTTATGATTGCTTATTTTAATTTCAATCTTATAAGATTCTTATGTTTTTATTTTGGTAATCATCTAGCGGAGTGGTTCTCATATTTAAGCATGTATCAGAATCCCTTGCAGGGCTTGTTCAAACAGATAATTAGATAATTGTCCATCCCTATAGTTTCTGATTCAGTAGATCTGAGGTATGGCCCAAAAGTTTTCATTTCTAATATGTTCTTGGGTGATGCTGATGTTGCTCTTCTTGGGGGCATATTTTAAGAACCATTGACCTTGAGAATACTTGGGAATTCTTGAGGTGAGAATATAACTTAACAACTGTTTTCAAAAGTAATGAAAATGTTATGAATACTAGGCCTAATAATTGCTGAAGTTGACATGTTATGCTTTATAGACAAACATTTATCAGTTACAATTTTGCAGTTTTAGTTTTATATTTTGTAATCAATTTCTTCAGGTCTCAAATGGTTTTATAGGTACCCTCTCAAACTTAATCACTGTGCCCAAAGTATTGATGGAGAAAATGGCCTTGCACAACATCTATAGATTTGCATTAAAAAGAAAAAAGACTGGATAGTATCCCCTTGTGTGAATGCACCATAGGAATTTCATTAATCACTTCCAATCAGTAAACCATATTATTTACATGGTTTTCCTTCTATAAGCAGAGCTTTTTTGAACATCCCTCTACCCCTGGGGTTCATACTTCTAGCTGCTTGTTAGAATTACCATTACTATACTTGGACCTCACTGCCAGAGGCTCTGATTTTATTGGTCTGAGTGCTGCAGGCATGAATATGTTTTTTTTTCAGGAATTCTTGGCAGCTTTTTCATGGCACTGTTTTTTTATTATTATACTTTAAGTTCTAGGGTACATGTGCACAACGTGCAGGTTTGTTACATATGTATACATGTTCTGTGTTGGTTTGCTGCACCCAATAACTCATCATTTACCTTAGGTATTTCTCCTAATGCTATCCCTCCCCTATCCTCCCACCCCACGACAGGCCCCAGTGTGTGATGTTCCCCACCCTGTGTCCAAGTGTTCTCATTGTTCAATTCCCACCTATGAGTGAGAACATGCGGTGTTTGGTTTTCTGTCCTTGTGATAGTTTGCTCAGAATGACGGTTTCCAGCTTCATCCGTGTTGCTACAAGGGACATGAACTCATCCTTTTTTATGGCTGCATAGTATTCCATGGTGTATATGTGCCACATTTTCTTAATCCAGTCTATCGTTGATGGACATTTGGGTTGGTTCCAAGTCTTTGCTATTGTGAATAGTGCCGCAATAAACATATGTGTGCATGTGTCTTTATAGTCACATGATTTATAATCCTTTGGGTATATACCCAGTAATGGGATGGCTGGGTCAAATGGTATTTCTAGTTCTAGATCCTTGAGGAATCACCATATTGTCTTCCACAACTAGTTGAACTAGTTTACACTCCCACCAAAAGTGTAAAAGTGTTCCTGTTTCTCCACATCCTCTCCAGCATCTGTTGTTTCCTGACTTTTTAATGATCGCATTCTAACTGGTGTGAGATGGTATCTCATTGTGGTTTTGATTTGCATTTCTCTGATGACCAGTGATGTTGAGCATTTTTTCATGTGTCTGTTGGCTGCATAAATGTCTTCTTTTGAAAAGTGTTCATATCCTTTGCCCAGTTTTCGATGGGTGGTTTAATTTTTTCTTGTAAATTTATTTAAGTTCTTTGTAGATTCTGGGTAGTAGCTCTTTGTCAGATGAGTAGACTGCAAAAATTTTCTCCCATTCTGTAGGTAGGCATGAATATATTTTTTTAAAAGATTCTCAGGTGATTTGAATGTGCAGCCAGGTTTGAGGACCACTGTTCTACATGCATCTTTGGCCACTTGTGCTGCATCTTGTCTACTCTGGGACATTGCCTTGAGATCTGAAGCTAAGTGAGAAGACTTATCATTGTCTTTTTAAAAAGTGACCCTTCCACAAGTCAAGACATACTATGTTGTAAGATCATTAGCAGCCTCAGAAAATGTCCCATTAGTTTCTTTTTCTCTAAGACACGCACACACACATACCCTTCTCTGGCAAAGATGCTTGTCTTTTAATTGCCAGGAAGATGAGAAAAAAGAACATTAAAAAGACAAGCTTTATTGAGGGGATCAGGATGGAAGCTCATTCCTTATCTTTAATAGAGTCTCAGGGTTTGTTGTTTTCATTATTTAAATTCTAGCATTGAAGAAATATGTATTGAAGTTCAGTGTTAAACCATTAGGACATATTAATAGGGGAAAAGAAAAATACATAAGTCTATTTTCTGTTTAATGAGGAATAATGAGAATCAAGTCTATCGTAATCAATGGAAGTGTTCAAGTGCTAATGTTACATTTTTGAGTTTGAGAAAATGAATGACTAGTAACAGATGCAGAGGTTTTGTCTCTGTTGTATGTGACTCTATGATCCAAGGCAAAGAAACAAGGATGATGTTCAAAATGTATAACAGCTGGTGTGGCATGGTCACTGGGGCTGGCTGGTACACAGCTCTGGTCCATGTTGACAGAACACCAGCCCTCCAGATACATTTGATGTAGGGGTGTCAAAGTTCTTCTGCTCTCATAAAATCATCCCACTTGCCTGTCATATTGCCTTGGATTCACCACTCTCTTTAGTAGAGATTTTATCATTCCTGGGAGGTAAATACAGATACACCTTTAAGGAGGGTATGTGTGTGAGGCCTTCATTTCTCAGTAGCTTTTGCCCTCAGCCTTGATGACTTTGTAATCTATAACATAAACGGATTCTTCCTTTGAAAATTTCACTGATGGATTGGAAGCAGGAGAGGTCAGTGTTGATGGGGACATGGGAAGAGGACTTGGAGATCAGTCTGGTCTATTTTGTTTTGTTTTGTTTTTTAAATCATTTTGTTAAATCATTTTGTTAACCTTACCAAATAATACTAGGTCTGGATGGAGCTGTATAGATGACCTGTTCCACTTGCCCCAATTTACGTATGAGGAAGCTGAGCCCAGAGAGGGAAAGTGATGGGGCTAAGGCCACAGCTATTTAGTTTGGCTGTGTGGAAAGAACTTCAGTGTCAACACTGGCTTCAAGGTCTGGCTGTGTTCCTGATAGCGTGCGGCTCTTCTGTTTTCCTCCAGACTTACATTTCTCATCTGCAAAGTGGGGAATACCTTTCAAAAAAAATTTAAAACATGATTCATAGAAAAGATGATGAAGATATGTCAAAGATTTTATTCAGCTCATGAATGAATGAATGATTCAGTAAGCAAGAGGAGGTGGTTCAATAAGAGAATTTGAGGAACAGATATTTATATAGTAAATCAGTCAAAGGAATGGGGAAATGGATTTGCTAAAAGATAAAAAGTTGGTCAATGTTTTATAGGGCAATGAAATTGTAGTCTTTTGGACAGAAATTTACAAGTTAACATTATTTCCCCCAATGTCTGTTTTCTGGTCAAGTAGTGAATGGTAAAATCAAATAAAGTCACAGATAATTAAATAATCCTCATCCTCTGGTGAGCCTGTTAATAACATTGAAGGGGTATGCATTGATCATCTTATTTTATTTCCAAGTTTTATTAATAGATAATTTTTCTTAATAAGAACTAGAGGAGATGATGAAAAAAATCTGTCTAAAGTATTCCCCAAATGTTACAATTTTGCAGGACAATGTGTTCCTGGACTTTTGTAGGCACTTGATTCTTCCAGAGTCCATCCATCTACATTTCTCCTATGTACACATTGCAGGAGAAAGGTGGCCTTGGAAGGAAAGAATCTCTTTCTTTCCATCCTCTTAATGCTAATCAGCCAATATGCTAAGTATTTGAAATCCCAGGCCCAGGAGGAGCCTATTCTTTGCTTGAAGCAAAGAAATAGATCCTTGTCAGTTCAGCTGAGAATGTGTTGAAATAAATCAATGACTTAAAGTTTTTGGAGCAGAAGGCCTGTTGAATTGTGGATTGGGCAGTGGCAGTTGTCCTCTTGTGTTTTGCAGGGAGGGTAGCAGTGCCTGCAATCATTTCACTTCCTTTCTTTTCTCACCTCAGTGTCAAAATACAGTCATGCGCCTTGTCTCCAAATTTAGGCCTTGACCATTAGGTCTGGTCAGTGCTGAATCAGCCCCAGTCAAGGTTCTCTTTGGACCACCTATTTCTGAATTTGCCTCTGTTTGCATTTCAAACATTTTAATTATTTGATTAAGAAATAGGCTGATCCTTGTCCTTGGACTGGCAGTGATCCCACTGAAACAGTTTGGAAATACCTAGTTTATTTGTATCTCTCACAGCTTGTATTCCCAAGCTGAACTCATTCTGTTCTCTCTCACATACCTGCAGAGATGTTAGGACAGAGAGTGCCATAAATTAACCCTTAGCTTTTAGCAAGGCTGCCTTTGGTCATGTTGTGAATGTTTGGGGAATACGTTCCTTCCTGTGCCTTTGATCCCAGGCAGCCCCCACCCTGGGTCTTGTATCTTCTGCACATCCCATCAGAAATGGGTGAGACACACTCCATTCATTCATGCCAAGGAATAAATGACTGGCAGATTATAATTTGCGAACCATCCCAGAAATTCAATTTTTAAGAAATATATTTTTTCATAAGAAAAGTTTTATTATTAAAGGCTTAGAAAATACAGAAATGTATTAAGAAGCAAATTTAAATCACCTATAATACTACTATTCAGAGATAATAAATGATGTTAATATTTTGCTGTATTTGTTTTCAGATACACACATACTTTAAAAATTCAAGACTATGCTGTTTCATTAACATTTTAATTGTGATTGAAGCTAGCTCTAAGGGTGAAATTTCACATAGGGGGTTGAAGAGATACTTTTGGGTAGGGGGAGCGGGGAGGAAGTAAATGGGAATGGGAGTGAGAATTGGGAGTGTACGGATGCCCATGAACTAACACCCTGGAGGTAGTTCCAGAGAAATGATTCTATCCAGAGAAATGATTCTCTGGCCCCGGGTTGGGCTAGCAGAGAAGGTACCTTAGAGAGAGAAGGTTTATTTTGTTATGTTTTGTTTTGCTGCGTATGCAGGGAGCAGGTGAATCTAAGGCATTGCCTTTCCAGTTTGAGAATGTACTCTAGCCTTCCCCAACTTTGCACATGGCAGCACTGCCCACCTGGTGACGCAAACTACTTTGCCTTGCCTTTTACATTCTGAAGGTTCTGTCAGAGGCATGCAAACCAGAGCGACTCCATCTTGAATAAGGGCTGGGTAACATGAGGCTGAGACCTGCTGGGCTGCCTTCTCAGGAGGTTAGATATTCTTAGTCACAGGATATTTACAGTTAAGGGAACAGGTTCAATATTTACTAAACAGACCCAGGACTTAGCAGATCCAGGACTTAAGAGACCCAAGGGATGTCCTTCTGTCTTAGATATCTTGAGAACAAAAGCATTCTTAGTTGAAGAATAAATTTCATTTTAACGATAATAACATAGATTCTTGCGGAAGAGAGTGGTTAAAAAAGATTAACAATCCTTTGTAATGAGCCCTCGTAGTAGAGCACACCTCTCCATGATTTTTGCTTTATTGTCTTATAGATAAACAAGTACTGTACCTAAGGTGGAAGTGTTCCTCCTCTTGCTTTGAATGCCCTGCTCTCTCTACAGAGTAGGCACCCTTTTATTCCTTTACTTTCTTAATAAGCTTGCTTTCACTTTAGTCCGTGGTCTCACCTCAAATTCTTTCTTGCGTGAGATCCAAGAACCGTTTCTTGGGGTCTGGATCAGGACCCCTTTCCAGTAACAGTTCTACCTTAAAAGTATATCCTGAATCTGATCACTTCTTGCCATGTTCACCGTTAAGACCTTGATCTAAGTCTCCATCATTTGTTACCCAGATGAGTTCAGTTAATGCTTTGGAAATAAACTAAGACCCATCCAATGAGAACAGGGAAAGGCTTTCTACTCAGAGCTTGCTACAGCAAGGGAATCAGCTACCACCACTTGTATTTTGGCAGAGACTCAAAGCTAGGCAGAGGAGTGGAAGAGCTTTATAGGGGAAAAAAGGGAAGGCCTGATTGAAGGCTGTTGTCATGGGGAAGCTGGAGGCAGGCTGACTAGGAGCAGGGCATCCTATGTGATTGCTAAGGGTGCATATTTGGCTTTCTAAGTTGGTTCTAAGTTGAAAGGAGGAGCAAGATTTAGTGAAGCTGTCAGTGAATAATTAAGTCCTGCCTGTTTTAGGCTAATTGTTACAGGGGTTATTATTTGGCTTCTTGGCTTGTTTGTTCTCTAGCAAACAAAGATCTAGTGGTCTGACTTCCTACAAGTCTGTCTTGGCTGGTTACTGAAGATAATGGGTTGCTTTTCAGGGCTGGTGGCAGATTGTGGGTTAGAGTTTGTAGTTTTATAGATGGTCTGGTCATCGTATACTTAGTCTTTCATGCTGCATTGAAGTTTAATGGTACCCCTTTGGCAAACACTGATACCAAGATGATTTTGAAGTAGCTGCTATTATAGTCATCTCTCTTTTTTTTTTTGAGACGGAGTCTCACTCTGTTGCCCAGGCTGGAGTGCAATGGCACAATCTCGGCTCACTGCAACCACGGCCTGCCGGGTTCAAGCAATTCTGCTGTCTCATCCTCCAGAGTGGCTGGGATTACAGGTGTATGCCACGATGCCCGGCTAATTTTTGCATTTTTAGTGGAGATGGGGTTTCACCATGTTGGCCAGGCTGGTCTTGAACTCCTGACCTCAGGTGATCTGCCCGCCTTGGCCTCCCACAGTGCTGGGATTACAGGTGTGAGCCACTGCGCCCAGACGGTCATCTATTTTTTACCGAGGAAGAACCCAAGGGTCAGAAAGGTTAAGTAACTTGCTCAAGATTACACAGTTAATAAGGAGAAGAGCCTGGCTTCACACCTTGGCAGTTTCACTCCAGAAATCACTGCCTTAAGCCTTAAGCCTCCTCTAGTCACTTAGAGATGGGGTTCACCCAGTCCTTGCCAATGTGTTAGCAGACAAACTTAAAATGGAACCTCTCTAAGTACAGAATTTGCACTTAGCTCCTCCAAAGGGTCCCTTCTTGAGGACCCTTCTGTAAGACCTAACTCATCTTTACTGTCTCAGTGAAACTTGACCCCATTCATCCCATTTTCCTTCTACGTACTCATCAGACTTTAAGACACAAAGAAGTGAATCTCTGAGAGGGAAATGATAGGTGCCATAGCATCCCTTGTATACATGCTCAGGAGTCAGGCTGCCTAGGTTTGATTCTCAGCACCCTCATTTAGTAGCTACAAACTTGGGGTTGATCTCATTTACCTAAGCCTCAGTTTCTAAATCTGTATATGGAGATGATGCTAATATACTACCTCCCCTCTGAGCACAAGATTGACATAACAGACATAAAATGCATGTATAATAGCAGGGCAGATGGAAAGTGCTCAATGTGAGTTAAAATGCAAATATCCTAGAAGACTCTTTCCTGTACCCTTAACTAACATAATATGGAAAGTGAGAATTGGAATTGTTGACAATTTGGGCTGGGAAGAAAAATAATAGATATTACTCTTTTTCAAAAATTGGGAAAAGTGAAGACTTTTTGAAACAGTTGACAAAATGTGGCATTTTACCCCTTTCCCACTCATTCCCACACATGACTCCTCACTCCATACATTATTTACTTTTTGAGATCGTCCAATGATAACAAAGGAAAAAGGCTGAATAAAATTTAGTTTTTACTGATTCAACCAAACGACTGCTCATGTTAATCCAAATAAACACATGATACATGAAGGACTTCAAATCCTATTTTATTTTTCTTCTCTGGGTCACTATAGTACTTGTAATCAGTAGAAGCCAGATAAATAGGCATCCCCTGCCTATTTACTGGAGGAACAATACAGAGATGAAACAATGGCATATCAAAGGACTTATCCTCTACTTGGGTACAGAGCACAAAAGAATAATTTAAATCACTGATTTAATAAAAGAAAAGAGATCCATACCCCCAACATGGCTCTTGTTCTGTCCAAGTGGTATCATGCAATCATCAGGTTACCTAGAGAAATTGGCACAAAGAGGGCAGAATATTGGCTTAAAGACGCCACAAGAGCTGGAATCCCTGGGTGGCCAGAGGGATGGCCTCTGGAGTCCTATGTCACAGCCATAGGCAGGGTGGCAGAGAATGTGGGTGCAAATGTAGAAGAGTAAAGTAAAGATGGGGACTTGTGGAAGTGCCTCTCTGACTGTCTCATTTTCTTAATGATTTAGAGAAGCCAAGTCAGTGGCTGAAAATGGGGGTGGGGGCTTGAGGTTTGAAAAGAGAGGAAAAGGCATGAAAGAGTCATTGCCATAGTAGGGTGGGAGGATGAATAAGCTAGCAGAAGGAGCTACTTGAGGGTCACGGTTATGACTTTGCAATGACTCAGTGGGCATGGTTGTGCTTTTTTTCCAGACACTTTCAGCTCAGGGTGCAGGTGCAGAGCAGACAGAGACTTGGTTTTAACCAAGAAAGGAGTACTTTAGCCAAGTGACTTTGACAAAGTGAGAAGAGGCCAGTGGGTTGGGCAAGAGTGAGAGATAGTAACAGTGGACCAAGGAATCTGAGCCATGTCAGGACAGACAGCCAGTGAGGACTTGGTGTCAGGGAGGTGAGACACAGTGAACAGGGGTAGAATCCATGGATCATAGGTTCCTGGGGGGTTAAGGATCACAGGAATCAGGATATTAAAGGGGGTGTTTATAGGAGGTATGACAGTGGTGCTTAGAGAGTGGGATGCTTGAAACTGAGATTTCAGAGGGGCTTTAGTGATTGCTAAAGACAAGGTCTAGGGTCTAGGGTGAGACTCTGGGAGTGAGTGGCTGAAGTGGGATGGAGGAGAAGCTCATCGAAGGTGACAAAATGAGGGAACTGAGTGAGCAGGATATAGGAAGGATCAACAATGTAGAAACTGAAATCACCAATAAGACAGGAGTGGTATTGGAGAGAATGTCAGTGAGGCAGGAGCAAAGTAGCTAAGGAACAGAGGGTGTAACCCTGAAAGGAGGACTGTAGCAAGGAGGGGTAGTGGGTGGTATAATGTGACGATATGGATTCAAAGCTGCAGGATGTTACAGAGGAAGGAAGGAGAGTGGTCTAGAAGAGAGGAAGATGGATACTACTTCATCTCCAGGCCCACTGGATGGGAGAGAGCACAGTTCTCACTTGAGAAATCTTCAGGGAACATTGCACTTTTTAGGGAGAGCTGGGATTCTGTTAATGTGGTCTTTTGGAAAATTCAGTGAACAGGTTAAGTGTATAAGCAGTCATACAAAAGAATAATAAAATGAGGCTGGGTGCTGTGGCTCACGCCTGTAATCCCAAAACTTTGGGAGGATGAGGTGGGAGAATTGCTTGAGCCCAGGTGTTCAAGACCAGCCTGAGCAATATGGTGAAACACTGTCTCTACAAAAAAATACAGAATGTTAGTCAAATATGATGGTGTGCACCTGTAGTCACAGCTACTCAGGAGGCTGAGGTGGGAGAATCACCTGAGCTGTGGAGGTTGGGGCTGCAGTGAGCCGCAATTGCACCACTGCACTCCAGCTTGGGCGACAGAGCAAGATCCTGTCTCAAAAAAAAGA
This sequence comes from Homo sapiens, assembly GCF_000001405.40. Classification (NCBI taxonomy): domain Eukaryota; kingdom Metazoa; phylum Chordata; class Mammalia; order Primates; family Hominidae; genus Homo; species Homo sapiens. The sequence goes on from NC_000005.10 coordinate 160,540,857, forward strand.
ACAATAAAATGAGATATGAATACACATGTTGCTATGATTGCTCAGAGGAAGAAAGAATATGAAGGAGGATGACGGAAAAGAAGGCGATATTTAGTAGTTGACCTGAGTCTTAAAGGATGGCTTAAAGTTCTCCAGTTGGATAGGAAGGAAGGAAGAAGGAATGAAGGAGAAAAGAAGGAGAAAGCAAAACATGAGCAAAGGCATGATGGCATGGTTGGATTTGGGGAATTGGAAATAGATTGGTGAGAATAGAGGAGGACGGCCGAGGGGCTGGAGAGTCAGAAACAGAGACCTCATCATGAAGGGCCTTGAATGCCACATTTTGAGTTTGAACTTTTCTTGGAAATGGTAATGAGCCATCAAAAGAGGATAAGCCAGACAGTAACTGGGTTTATAAAAAAGAATGTTGAATTAAATAAAACAACCATTCTGTGATTTTCATTTGTTCATTCACATATGTATCTATGAATGCACACATATATATGTTGGGTTATGTGATGCCAAATATGAGGTTGATTGAAATTGCTCCATCTTAGATTATTTTGGCATCTGGACTCAATCAAAAAACTGAAGATTTAAGGCAGAGGCCAGAGCACTAAGTGGCTTGGTGAAGGGAGCTAAAGACCCTGAGTGGTAGGAGGCTTTATGGACACAGAGATCTGAATTTGATTCCCACGTTGTCACTTAACAATTTATACCCTAGGACAAATATCTTACTTTCTCTGACCCTCCTTATAAGTAAAATGGGAATAATAGTCCCTACTTGAAAAGTTCGTGTGTGGATTAAGTGAGATCATGTGGTAACATATTTAGTAGGGTGACTGTCACATGCTAAGTGCTCAGTAAATATTAGTTACTTTTATGGTGCACTAATTTCAGGCTCACGTATCTTCTACATTACTTTGTGGTATGGCTGCACACGGAATACCCAGTTTTTAAAAACGTGCATACGTTGGCCCCACCCACGGGGATTCTGATGTAATTTATCAGGAGGATGGCCTAAACGTTTTCATAGCTCCCCAATGTGATTCTCATGCACAATGGAGGTTGCTGCTGATTCTCAAAGGGCTAGACTCTGAAGGAGCAGCATTAGCATTGCCTGGGAACTAGTAAGAAATATAAAACTTCTCCCATCTACTGAATCAGAAATTCTGGGATTAGGGGTCAACAATCTGTGTTTTAACAAGCTCCCAAGGTGATTCTAACATACACTTAAGTTTTCAAACCACCAAACTAGGGCTAGAAATTCAGAGTGGTCAGTTTAGCCTTTAGCATCTCTTATACCTGACATGATATATATCTGAAATCCCCTGACCATGCCCCACTCCAAACAAAATATAGGTGCCAGGTACTGATGATATGCAGCTGGATGAGGAAGACAGAATTCCTAGTGCCATGGAATGCCCAGTGTAAACACAAACAAACAAAAAAACCTAGGTAGCTGCTCTGGCCTTGGGCAGACTTGCGAAGGGTGACTTAGGTCCTTAGCGTGTCCATATCATACCTTTCTCTTCCTTAATCCCCTTCTTTCTGTCCTGCCCACGTGAAAACTTGCTCTCAGGTATGGCTCTAACTTTAGTCATTTTTAATTTAGTTCAAGCTATTCTGAGGATGAATCATGTTTGCAAGCCAGACAGTGTGCCCCTGGGGGAAGGGACTGTGTCTCTATTTCTTTGTATGGACACGCTTCTCTCCTAGCCCTCTTCCCAGTTCCATTTCCTGCAATAACATGTTGCTTGCATTTTAAGTAGTATAGTGCTGAAGAGCACTAGCTTTGGCACCATGGACTTGGGGGTTTGAATCTGCAGTTTCTTAGCTGTGTAATCTGGGGCAAATCAAGGCACTTCTTGGCAGCCTCAGTTTCCTCATCTATAAAATGGGCTTGATAATTTTTAACTTCAGACAGTTGTGAAGACTGTATAAAATAATGCATGGAACATGAGGAAATCTAGGATATAAAGAACACTCAATGAATGGCATATTGTTATCAATAGTTATTAAACTTCCTTTTCTTATATGGAAGAATAGGTTTTATCTGGAGTATATGATAAAATGAATGTCAGACTCCAGTGAATTGTTTAGAAGCTTTGGGGAAGAGTCTGTTTTCCCTGAAGCACAGTTCCAATATTGATAGTCCCTTTCCAAGCAGCCTGGAACTCACATCTTCTAATGCCTCCAGAATCACTCATTGCCAAACCCTTCCGATGCTTTCCTATGGTCTCACCAATGCTGATGCTAAAACCAACTCGAGCCAGTCCTAAATCTTCTCTTCAGGGAGTTTAATGCCTTGAAAAGGCTTCAAGCTTATTTTAATTGAATTATTTCATTCAGTGTCAGGCTTAAAGAGCACCCTACAGGGCTCCAGCTCTGAATGAATGCATTAAAAAATCAAATAATACAGATTATGGCATAATCCTTGAGGGAGATATAAATAGAATCCCCTCTGTTGCCTTTTTATTTCTCTATGTTGGTTAATAAACACACTTCTATAGCATTTGCTTTTCCCTTTTCTCCCCTAATGCTCTTTAGTTGCCTTCGTAAGGAAGAGAATAAAACTCAGAATATAACAAAATGTTGGGGAAGAATTTACCATATGAATATTCAGGGCTGGAAGGGATTTTAGACATTATCTGGTCTAATTTCTACATAATTTACCTGGTGTGGGCAGAGGTGTAGAGAAGGAGATGGGTTGGCCAAGGTCATTGAACTTCTCTTCCAGCTCAACATCACTCATCATCAGAAAAATGCAAATCTGAACCACAATGAGATATCATCTCACCCCAGTCAGAACGGCTATTGTCAGAAAGACAAAAAAATAACAAATGTCAGTAAGGCTTTGGGGAAAATTATACACTGTTGGTGTATACACTGTTGGTAGAAATGTAAGTTAGTACAGCCCTTATGGAAAACAGTATGAAGGTTTCTCAAATAATTAAAAATAGAAATAACTGCGAGATGGTCTGGCAGTACCCACCATTGGGTGTTTATCCAAAGGAAAGGAGATCAGTACATCAAAAGGACAATTGCACCCCCATGTTTATTGCAGTGCCATTCACAATAGCCAAGATGTGGAATCAACCTAAGTGTCAATCAATAGATGAATGGATAAAGAAAAGGTGGTATATATATGCAATAGAATACTATTCATCCATAAAAAAGAATGAAATCCTGTCATTTGCAGAAATATTGATGGAACTGGAGATCATTATGTTAAGTGGAATAAGCCAGGCACAGATAGACAAACTTTGCGTGTTCTCACTCATAAGTGGGAGCTAAAAAAGTTAATCTCATGAAGGTAGAGAGTAGAATGATGGTTACCAGTGGCTGGGAAGGGTGGAGGTGAAGATGAATGGAGGTTGGTTAATGGGTATAAAATACATTTAGATAGAAGGAATAAGTTCTAGTATTGGCTGGTATAGTAGGGAGACTATAGTTAACAATAATTTATTGTATATTTCAAAATGGCTGGAAGAGAACATTTGAGATGTTCATAACACAAAGAAATGACAAATGTTTGAGGTTCTGGATAGCCTAAATACCCTGATTACACATTGTATGCATGTATCAAAATATCACCTGTACCACATAAATATGTATAATTATGTTTCAATAAAATTGAGATTAAGGACCGTATATTCTCAGTATTCATTGTGTGTATATATGGGATTTTGATTACAGAATACTGTGTATAGACACACACAGACATATACACATCAGTGGAGACAACTCCATTCATTAGGCTGTTTCTTGGGGAGCACACTTTGTCTTAAAAAAAAGACTTTGCTTAGGGTAGGGTGAATCTTAAGTATTAAAAAATGCTGCTTAATTGTTCAAATAGTAAAGCAGGTGTTTTGGAGGGAGGCAGGATCCAACGAGGCTGGACATTGTGTGGGAAGAAGAGAGAAACTCGATATTCTTTCCTGGCCTCCCTTCTACTCTTTCTTCTTGACCCCTCCCTGCCTTTTCCTCAAGCAAAGCCTAGGAGGGCCTTAGAGAACAGAGACCTAATGAGGCAAATGAGAAGTGGTTACTATGGGGCATGTGATGTGAACCCCCTTCTCCATGTTTCCTCTGAGATCTTGTCTCACCTGTTGTTCTCTGCTTCTTTCAGTGAGTGTGGAAGATGTACTTAAAGTGTTGACAGTTGTTGGGCAATATAAATTTGCCTTCTTTCCCTTTTTTTTTTTCCTTCGTTGCCCAATTAAAACCTTTTCGCTGCTTGGGTGAACTCAGAGGTAGTGATCAGCCTCTTCTGGATCTTCCCTTGAGGCAGGTTTTTCTGGGGTGTTCCTTCCTCATGGAGCAGGGCATGTGGCTGGCTTCAGCACTGGCCCTTCACAGCAGTAGCCATAGGCGTGGGGGCCTTTTTGGTCATCATTATGGGAGAGTCTGTTCATGATGCTCTGATAAAAGTTTATAACCTGGGGTTTTGGATCCATACCATATTCATAGTATTTCATTTTCTCTCTATCTTGGAGAACAGACTTGGGGAAAAGAAAGACAAAACCTGACACATTAAGTTCCTGCAAAGTTTGTTTCATTTATTTTTCACATCAGACCTTATTTTGCAGGTGAGAAAACTGAGGTATAGAGAGCTTGATGATGTACAGAAAGTTACATAGTAGAGCAGGGATTATCTAAGATCAGTCTGATACCAAAGTGAGCTTGTTTGTTTTTAATAATTCCAATGGACCAGAGATGAACACTTAAAGAATCTAGCTGGAGTTAGTTAACTTAGGGGTGGGAAAAATGTTTTACTTATAGAAAATATCCTTCAAAAGAAGGAAATCCTGCCACTTGTGACAACATGAATAAACTCAGAGAGGATATTATGTTAGGTAAAGCAGAAAGACAAACACTGCATGTGCTCACTTATATGTGGAATATAAAGAGACTGAACTTATAGAAACACAGAGTAGAAAAGTGGTTGCCAGAGACTGGGGGTGGGGGAACTGGGAGGATTTTGATCAAAGGGTAAAAATTTTCAGTTACAAGATAATAAGTTCTGGAGATAAAATGTACAGCATGATGAGTATAGTTGATAATAATGTATTGTATGCTTGATATTTGCTAAGAGAATAGATCTTAGATCTTAAGCATTCTCTCCACATGCATGCACGCATGCACACACACAGGCACAAAAGTAGCTAGTCATGAGTCATTTAATGACAGGGATGTATTCTGAGCAGTGTGTCATTAGGTGATTTCATCTTGGTGTGAACATCATAGAGTGTGCTTACACAAACCTAGATGGCAGAGCCTACTACACACCCAGGCTGTATGGTCTAGCCTATTGTTCTTAGGCTACAAACCTGTACAGCATGTGCTAAATACTGTAGGCAATTGTAAAACAATGGTGTTTGTGTATCTAAACATAGAAAAGGTAAAGTAAAAATGCAGTATAATCCTATGAGACCACTGTTGCATATGCCATCCATCCACTGAAATGTGATTTGGCACATACCTGTATAGGAGGTATGAATGTGTTAATTAGCTTGACTGTGGTAATCGCTTCACAGTGTATATGTATATCAAAACATCACATTGTGCACACTAAATATCTACATTTTTTGTCAATTATAACTCAATAAACATGGGGGGATATCTACAAGCCTCTATTTTTTCCTTCTGAGCAAGAAATAAGAAGAGACAAAAACTGCCACTTGAGGGGATGAGGGTAGTAATTAAGCAAAAAAGAATCCTTGACAATGATGAGACATTCATTGGACATTGGAATCGGTTGCCAAGTATTTAAACAGGCTGAGCTTTTCCTTAAGGGTGATCTTATCTATTAACTGCCTGAGAGGGGAAAGCATAGACAAGATGATGTCTTCAGCCCCTTGAAAGCTGTGTTTGGCAAAGAATGGTCTGAGACCATGTATATCAAAATTGCCTGGGGTGCTTGAACTGGAGATTTTCATTTTTTACAAGTTTCCTTTATCAATCATGGTCCAGTCAGAAAAACAGCAATGGAGAGAGATTTAATGCAAGGAATCAGTTACTGTATCAGTTATTTATTTTAGGGTAACAAAACATACTAATACCAGTAGCTTAAAACAGAATGTTAGAAATAAACTTTCGGTGCTGCAAAAGAAATAGCACTTGAGCATAAATTTTTTCAGCAAGGCAATTTACTTCTATAGAAGGGTGCATCTCACCAATGGAGCAATGGTGAAAGCACACCGGACAAGGGAGGGGAAGGGGTTCTTATCCTAATGCAGCTGGTCCCTACTGCTGTGTCTTTCCCCTATTGGCTAGGGTTGGACCACACAGTGTAAGCTAATTACAACTGGCTATTTTAAAGAGAGCAGGGGTACAAGCCAGAGTGGCGGGGTGAGTAGTTAGGCGGGAAGGATGGTTACAGAACAGGTGACTCAGGATGACTAGGAACAGAGCAGGTGACCAAGGATGACTAAGGTCAGAGCAAGTGACCAAGGGTGACTAAGGTCAGAGCAGGTGATAGAGGCTGGGAGAGGGTTGTTTACTGAAACTGGGGGCAAGGAGAAGTAAAGAACAAGGGAGTTAAACTTTAAAATGAGGAACAAAGGACAGGGGAGCTGAATATACTGATACATTGGTTTTTTATCTCAGAACTCATTGCACTTAACAATTTACAGGCTAAAACCTTTGAAGAGAAATTTATTATATCCTACACAGAACAATCATTTATTACTGCTCATAAGTCTACTGGTAATTGGAATTGTACTGGGTTCCCTTGTATGCCTGAGGTGAGTGTCAGGCCAGTGGGGTGGCTCTGATTCTAGGGTCTGGATGGTGTATTAGTCTGTTTTCATGCTGCTGATAAAGACATACCCAAGACTGGGTAATTTATAAAGAAAAAGAGGTTTAATGGACTCACAGTTCCATGTGGCTAGGGAGGCCTAACAATCATGGTGGAAAGCAAAAGGCACGTCTTACATGGCGTCAGACAAGAGAGAATCAGAGGGCCAAGCGGAAGGGGTTTCCCCTTATAAAACCATCAGCTCTTGTGAGACTTATTCACTACTATGAGAACAGTATGGGGGAAACTGCACCCATGATTCAATTATCTCCCACTGGCTCCCTCCCACAACATGTGGGAATTATGGGAGCTACAATTCAAGATGAGATTTGGGAGGGGACACAGCAAAACCATATCAGATGGTTATTGGCTGGGGCCACTTGCTTCTACTCCGTGATGTCTCTCATCTTCTAGCAGGCTAGCCTGGGCTTGTTCATATGGCAGCACAGCAGGATTCCCAAAGTAACAGTGGAAGCATGCAAAGTCTCTTTAGATTTAGAATCAGAACTGATACCATAATGCTTTGGCTGCAATTTATTGGCCAGAGAAATTCATAAGGCCAGCCCAGATTTAAGAGGTAGAGAAAAGACCAGCCCAGACTCAAGAGGTGGAGAAATGGAATTAATATTTTGATAAGAGAAGCTTTAAAGTCACATTGCAAAGCATTGTGGAGAGAGGGAAGGGATTAATTGAGACCACTTTCTGCCAATCATCTACCATAGTTATAAAGGTGTTAAGAGGGCTGGAGGAATAGAAGGAAGGAGTATGCTAAGGATTAAAAAGAAGAAGGAGGTCTCTTGGTAAGGATGCTGCTGGTCTGGAGCTTTCATGGGCAGTGCTGGGGCCTCAGAGGGACATGTGTCATGCTGCTGCTGCTAGAATTGCTGAAGAGACAGCAAACTCTGCCAATGCTAGAATCAGGATGACTTTTTTTTTTTTTTTTTTTTTTTTTGAGACGGAGTCTGGCTCTGTCGCCCAGGATGACTTCTTTCTTGCTGCCAATGAGTCACATTGGCTGAACCTAACCAACAGCCCTGGCAAGGGAATCTGGGAAGTGCAGCATGTAGGCTTCCAGGGCTGGCAGTATAGAGCAGAGTACAGAAGCTGTGGGATTCTTATCATTGCAAAGACCCATTGCTCTAATATGCTATGATTCCAGGGCAGTAGTAAAATGTAAGCCCCATTCTATAGAGGAACACTGGCTGAGTCAACTGTGAAGTGGTGAAGGATTCCCAGGGAATTACTCTTGTTGATTTCGCACTGTGGCTTGGCTATGGGTAGAGTTGTGATTAGATAACTCATTTGAAAGGGCAAGAAAGTCAGATTTTAATCACATCATTATCTTGAAAGAGGTTATCTCTATGGAGAAAGAATAGATATAAAAATCTGATGTTTGCCAGCTGATGTGCTGTTTGGTGAATTGTCTTAGCTATTAGGACAGAGAATATTCACATGCATGTGTACGTGAGTGGGGTGTAGAGGGATGGACAATCAGAATGAAAAACTTCAAGGATGTGAATCACATGGAAATGATTAAGCAAAAAGCCAGTCTGCCAAAAGTCTGTCAGAAGACACAACTCTAGATTCTTTAATGAGAAAAAGAGATTTATAGGCATATTATTAGAGAAATCCAGTAGCTGCCATTTAGAGCCGATTACAAACTACTCCAGTTGTGTGGACACCCACAGGATGGGGTAAGGGGCAGGAAGGCAGAAGAGAGGGGAACAAATAGCACAAGGACATTTGCTACTGGGTAGTTTATAAAAATTCCACACTGAACACCTCAGATGCTTAATTATGGATCCTGTTGACATTTAAACACACAATGGACTGATGTGGAAGACTAATGTGTTGAAAATATGCATGACTTTCCTATAAGAACTATTTATCAATGATTTACCCTGGTCAATTGCTGTTTAAAATTGGCTTGCAAATGTGAAAAAACATAGCCACATAATCTTAGCTCTTTAAGACACTTTAGAAATCACTGGGCCGGGCGCAGGGGCTCATGCCTGTAATCTCAGCACTCTGGGAGGCCAAGGCGGGTGGATCATGAAGTCAAGAGATTGAGACCATCCTGGCCAACATGGTGAAACCCTGTCTCTACTAAAAATACAAAATTAGCTGGGTGTGGTGGCACACGCCTGTAGTCCCAGCTACTCGAGAGGCTAAGGCAGGTGAATCGCTTGAACCCGGGAGGCAGAAGTTGCAGTAAGCCAAGATTGTGCCACTGCACTCTAGCCTGGCGACAGAGTAAGACTCCGTCTCAAAAAAAAAAAAAAAAAAAAAAATCGTTGACCCCTTTCCCCTCATTGTGCATATAATGAAACTGGAGCCCAGAAACTAAAGCAGATAGTCTGAGGCCACACAGCTGTCTAGAACTCAAGCTTCATGGCTCCCAGCCCAGTGGGTTTATATTCCCCCCAACTTTGACAATATTTGTACCTTGTAACTTTTTTTTTGTTTGTTTTCTTGAGACAGGGTCTCACTCTGTAGCCCAGGCTGGAGTACAGTGGTGTGATCATAGTTCACTATAAACTTGAACTCCTGGGTTCATGCAATCCTCCCACCTCAGGTGCCACCATGCCTGGCTGTACCTTTTGTTTTGACAGAGGCTTGGTCTATATCTAAGTGAAACTTGAATGCCATGTTTTCTAGATTCATCAGAATCACCTATGGGGACTTTTTCAAAATAGATATGACTTAGACCCAACCCAAGTCTTCAGAGGCAGAACTCAGAGGTGAGGGAGCAGAGACTTAGGAGTGTTTATTTAAAAATAAACCTTGTTATGAGATTCTGAAGCCCTGCCTGCCATTTCCCTTGCCCCACCTTGTGCTAAGAATATATTTTAAGGCACTGTTTAGCAGAAAGGAGATTTCTTTCCTGTCTACATACTTTCAGTTGGGTAAGTCTTTTGCCCAAAGCTGATCCTCCACTGAGGGACTTCCCGGGAGGCTCACATGGAATACACACCCTCAGTAGAGATCTCTGTGGGCACGTCCTTTGCATTGAAGGATCAGCATGGAGTCATGATAAAGGCATTAGCCATCATCAAGTTGACTCCTTCAAGCTTCTGGAGTCCAGAGAAGTGTGGAATGATGTCCAGTTCAGGCCACCTTGAGGACTGATCCCCAGGCACCAGGCTGTTGGTGTGTTCACTCAATGGTGAGTGCCAGTTACAATCAGGGAGGGGAGCCAGCGCTAGGGATAAGTGGGTCTGAGGAGACCTTGTCTTTCTTGTCCAGTGCAATATCTGCAGCTCCTAGAACATTTCCTGGCACATGCTAGGTGTTCAGTAAATATTTGTTGATTGAATGAATGAAACGGAGTCCCTTATGGGTGTCAACGGTGAAACATCTGATTTTAATGTATCTTGAGTCACTCCATGTTCTCTTTCTAGAAGTGTGGTTGGATTCTGAGTGTAGTTGGGATTCATCCAGTAAAGCTCCATGAGGCTTAATATGTGATGATAAATCATAACCCTCCTAGGTGCTCAGAATCAATTTCACATCTCATCTGTTATCATGAGCAGAAGGTGTGAGAAAGTCCCCTTACAGCGGTAATACATCAGCTCACAAAAATCAAAAATGCCTGAAGATTAGAGAAGGGAACACTGTTATAGTCCATGGTGCTTAATCAGCTACCCAGACATTGATGGATTTCAGGGGATATTTACATCTGAATCATGGCATCCAGAATGTCCCAAGCAGAACCCATAGTTTATGGGCAGCATAGAAGCAATTTATAAAATTCATTTCTTACTATCTATAGTCAGAAACTAGGTCTCTCTTTGTAGAAATATTCTCTAACTAGAAAAATAAGAACAGAACTGGAGATGAAGCACTCTCTAGAACAATGAAAGTGCAAGGCTGCCAGAATCCTCACTGTGCCCATGACAGATAGGACTAACTGGTCGTAGTTTACTTTCCTGCCATGCCTGGGAGCAGCCTCATTGCTGCTTCTTCTTCTTTTTTTTTTTTTAAAGTTTTATTTTAACTTCAGAGGTATCTGTGCAGGTTTGTTACATAGGTAAACTTGTGTCATGGGGGTTTGTTGTACAGATTATTTCAGGTATTATACCTAATATCCATTAGTTATTTTTCCTGATTCTCTCCCTCCTCCCACCCTCCAATAGGTCCCATTGGGTGTTGTTCCCCTCTATGTGTCTATGTGTTCTCATCATTTAGCTCCCACTTGTAAGTGAGAACATGCAGTATTTGCTGTTCTGCTCCTGCGTTAGTTTGCTAAGGATAATGGCCTCCAGCTACATCCATGTCCCTGCAAAGGACATGATCTTGTTCTTTTTTAGCCTCATTGCTTCTTAATCCAAGGCTCTAAGAAGACACTGCTGGTTGATCTGAGGTAGAATGCTGAACTGAAACTCATTGACCATCACTGATCTAGAGTTTGTCTTTGATTATTATTTCTCTGGAAAGATATTAGCAGGCAATAAGAGAGAGTAAAGGGGAAAGCAAATGAAATACCAGGGGTTTGGAAAGAATCTTGAATTAGATCAGCTGGTCCTTTCCCTTTCTTCTGGGCAGGGTAATATTCAAAGTAATTGACTGAAGAATTCCTCAATGGCAGTGTTTCACTAATGGAGATTTTGGAGTCTATGCATCAGAATCACACTGGTGATAATGAAGGTACTTGTGCTTCTCTGAAGACTTACGGAATCAGGACCTCTGGGTTTGAAGCCAAGGACACTGCATTAGGACAAGCATCCCAGTGTATCTTAGTGACTTTAAAGTTGGAGAGACACTGCCCTATGGAGACCTGGATTCTAGTCCCAGCTCTGCCATGCAGTTGCTTTGTGAACTTGGGAACGTCTCTTTCCTAAGCCTCAGTTTTGTCATCTTAAAGAGGAATAATAACATTTGTTCCATCTGTCTGCCTCACAGGGCTGTCATGAGGCTCAATTGAGATGAAGGCACCTGAGAATGCTTTGGAAAGAAGTAAGTGCTGTAAACATGGGATATATTTTTGTCCACCTGTTAAACTTGATAGAGAGTTGGGAAACTGAGTTGGATTTTTAAAAGTGCATTATAAATTTACCAGGAGTCAGTGATCTATGAAAAAACGTGATGACATAGAAAAAACAAAACAAAACAAAACAATTCTGTTGAGTAGACCAGAGCGGTTGTTATCAACCATGGTTACAAATTAGAATCATCTGGGGATATTTTAAAACTACTTAAGCCAGGGAGCCATCAAGGCAGAGTTAAAGGAGAACTCCTGGGTAGGAGCTGGGCAATGGTGAGTTGTTGCATTTGGCTGACATCTAATACTGGATTTGAGAATCAGTTGTTGGCACTAAGGTGCTATTGAAACTTTCTAAGCAGGTAAGCGATGTCTCCTGTCATGATAGAAGCTTAAGACTGATCCAGAACAATCCAGACTTTGGTGGGTAGGAACACAGGTTTTGGGATTGGAGGAACTAAAGTTAAAATCCAGCTTTGCCTCATACTAGCCATGTGGCCATTTGTAAATAACTTAATGTCTCTGAGCTTTAGTTTCCTCTCTAAAACAGAAATGGAGATACCTTGTATGGATATCCAAGATAAGAGTTGTAGGCAGAGCATCAGTACAGGACCTAAAATACTGTAAATGCTTAAGAAACGGTAGTTATCATGGTGGGCACTCTTATTATCCTTCTCAATCCCAAACTTTCTGAGTGCTGGATAGTTGTCAGGGTTAGACGGGCTTGGTGGCCTGGGCTCTAATTGGTAAACTGTGCATCCTGATGTGATTTAGCACTGTGTTCAATGCCACCTCCTTTCTCTGAAGGACTTCTGGAGAAGTTGCTATGCTTAAGCAAGCTTCTTTCCCTACAGCCATGTCTCAGGGATACAGAGTCAAAGCGTTCCCATTTAGGATGACAATATATAAATCACATGCACATTTATAATTTAAAATGCAAGGGAGGAAGTAGAACTTTTCAGAAGGCCACAAAGAATAAAAATATAATTCACATAAAGACATTGGCATTTTCTTAGTGCTTACTGGCAGGTGGTTCCATTTTGGCCATTCTACAGTGAGAACTCCTGGGCTGGGCATAGTGGCTCACTCTTGTAATCCTAGAACTTTAGGAGGCTGAGGTAGGAGGATTGCTTGAGCTTAGGAGTTTAAGACCAGGCTGGGCGACATAGAGTCCATTTCTACTAAAACAAAAAAAAGCTGGATGTAGTGGCACATGCCTGTAGTCCCAGCTACCTAGGAGGCTGAGGCAGGAGGATGGCTTGAGCTTGGGAGGTTGAGGCTGCAGTGAGCTGTGGTCATGCCGCTATACTCCAGCTTGGGTCACAGAGCAAGAGTCTGTCTTAAAAAACAAACAGCTGCAACAAAAACACCCCAAACCCAACCAAAAAAAGTGAGAAATTCTCAGCCAAGACTTACTGATGGCAGAAACACAAATAACTGATTTCATCTTGGAGGATCCAAGGAGATGTATTTTAGGTTTTGGAGTTTGCCTGTATAAAATTTTCACTAAAGGTGGGGGATACCTTCCTTATTATCGAAGCTTATGAGGGTGAGCAATGCATCCCTTCAAGAGAGAAGGGGCAGAAAATCTTATCGATCTGGATCTATCTGCCTGCACCAGGGGACTTTGCTGGGATTTCATGTTCATCTTTTTCCTTCTTCTGTCTCCCTCTCATATCTCTGTGGACTTTCAAAATATACAGCTGCTTCTGTACTAGCATGGTGGGTTCCTTACACCTTTTCAGTCCTTACTACTTTATAGACTCTAGAGGTTTGGAGGATTTTAGAGATCATCTGGTGGCTTCAAACTTGTGTCCTACAGATTAAAATGAAGAATTTTCTTTACACAAAATCATAGGGGAATGCCTGGAATGTGAAACAGGTAGGATGAAAGCAGCTTTAGTGATGTAGGGAAGGAGGCCTGACCTTCTGCACCCTATGAATGGGAAACACATCTGAAAGCAATAACTTAAGCATGCCCTGAGAATGACCCTGAAAGGGAGACACACCTGAATGTGTCTTCTGAGTTTGAGAGTCCGGGAGTGGCCAACCTGGAGATTTCGTTCCTTGTCTATGAGGAACATCTGAGCCATTGGCTCATCCTGTAGGAATACAGGCCATACAGGGGATTGAGGCCCCAAATTTTGGGTTGAATGAAGTTTGCTAGGTGGAGATTGTTAGGGGGAGTGTTAAGTGAAAATGCTATAGAAACTGCATGCATTTTGTAAGTGGCTGTGGTTCTTCTGCCCAGCCTACCAGCACTGGACTCTATGTAAGGTGGTTTTCCTGTCCATCTCGCTGCCGCTGGACTGTATGTAAGGCAGTTCTCCTGTCCATTTTGCTGCTTCTGGACTGTATGTAAGGTAGTTCTCCTGTTCATCTCACTGCCACTGGACTCTCTCTCTGTATTTAAGCCCTAAGTCAAACTCCACGTCTTGTTTTCTGGCTCCGGGTCTGTCTGCAGCCAGCCTCTCAAACCTGGTGCCTTCCCCACTGCAGTCACTCACAGTTGCTCACATCTCCCCAGGCGTTTTGCAGAGCTAGGTTTAATACAACTGAATACAACTGGTCCCATGAACTCTCATTTTGAAAATGAGCTGAGTCCCCAACAGGGAAAGTAATTGGCTCAAGGTCACGCACTGGATCAGTCCAGGACTTGAAATGAGACTTCCTTACCCTTTGCCACTACCCCTAGATCCACAGATAGAGAAATCTGAAGGGTGACTGGAGACTGGAAAGTGAATGGCCCAACAGTGGATGCCTCCTCTTAGCCAGGCTGCCCCTTTCTTCAAAGCCTTATAACCCTCCACTCCATCTAGAGTCTTGAAAGAAAAATCATAAATAAAACTTCTCCCTGAACTGGCCTCTTTTCTGCCCAATATTTGTGTCCTTCTGGCTTGTTAATTTTAGTTTGGGAGTCAGAGACCTAGTGACAAACACTATCGTGCACTCTCCTTTGCTGCTCAATAAATGCTAATAAACCATAATCTGCAATCCTATCAATCGCTGCTGCTGAACCAAAATGAAAGGGCAAAGATTACTTTGGTCTGAATTGGATTTGAAAAGGCTGAAAGAACAGGCTTTGAGTGCACAGTGGAAATGCCAGTTGAATATTAATTATAGCGGTACCGCTGGCCTGCAGAAGATGCAGTGGTTTAGCAATGAGAACTGGAGAGGGGTGATCAAGTGTGGAAAACATACTTGCACATGTGGAAGCTGAGAGTGTGGTTTCAAATGGAGCCAAGGGAGCCTTGGGGTTGCTTTCTGCAGCTCTCCTGGTGCTCAGAGAGGTCTTTCTGGCCTTCTAATTTGCTCTTATTTACTGCTCAGTATCACCAGGAAGACTCAGCCAGGAGCTATCTTAGGGGCATGTTTTAATTAGTGGCCTGGGGATTCAGTATGGAGCAGCAAGGTAGATGAGGGTTCCAGACCCTCTTTGCCCCACTAATTATTTTCTACATTCCAGGAATGAGATGCTCATGTCTCTAGTGATCCAGACACATAATTACAGTAAGTCTGCTTTGCGCAGTGGGGGCCTGCACACAAACACATGAAGCATTAATGGGATGGGGGCGGGGGACAGGGAAAGAAATTTGCTTAAGGTCCTAGTTAGCCATAGGGAAGGGATGATTTCTGTCTGTCTCAACCCGTGGCAAACTTTTAAGTTATGTATACTGAATAATTTCCTACAGATCAAACTGCCCAATAGATTGTGTGACTAATTATTTCTTTCCACTTAAAATGGGAACCTCCTGGTAGGCTGTATGTTCTGGTGCAATTATGTTGGCCCCAGGCCAGGGCCAGGCCATTTTAGCCACCTGAGGAGTGTGCTAATTGTCCTGAAGTATGCTGCCTGGTGTGTGTCTCATTGCTGTAGTGGTTTTAATGGGAACTTCTAATTAAAAATGAGAGAGTCTGAGCTGGTGCATTCCTTCGGCATCAGAGGTTCAGGCAGGGCCCCTTCGAACACGCTGATGTGAGCCAGCCCATGATAGGAGCCAGCTGGGGCAGAAATTAATGTGCCTCTGGTTTGGTTTGGTTTTTCTACCAGGCATGGCTCTGGCTGTTAGAGTTGTAATTAGAACTGGGCCAACATTAACATGTCTTCTAGGGCACCAATCCTTCTCTCGGCTCTGTGTCAGTGTTTGTCGACTGTGTGCCTGTGCAGAAACTGGGAAGGAAGGAGCTGGGAAGTTTGAGCAACTGCCTGGGCCATGCCTCATAGACCAGAACCATCAATTTTCCCAGAATTTTGACAATTAGATCATCATCTGGTCTTTGCTTATGGGGAAAAGAAGGGGAGGCCGAGATAGAGACCACCTGGTATGGGGAAAGCCGGGGTGGGGGAAAGTTCTCTCCACATCTCTGCCTCCTGGTTTTGTGGTCAGGACGAGATGAGAGAACATTTTTATGAGCTAGTCCACTACTGTCATTGGCCAAGGCCTGGTGCTAGCCTTGGGAAGACCTAAGGTTGAATCATTCATGACCTGTGACTTCAGGCTCTGACATTCTAGCAGGAATGACTAAAAAACCCAACATAGACATGAGTAACTAGAAGCCTGTCTATATTAGGTTCCACAGTGTGACGTACAAAGAACTTTGGAAGTTCAGTGAGTAGGGATAGCTTTATAGAGGAAGTGGTCCTTAGAGGTCTGAATTTGAGATTTGGGCTTTGAGCAGACATTCTAGGGAAAGAAAATGGCTAGAGCAAAAGCACGAGGTTGCAAAGTACAAAATGTGTTCAGAATGCCAACAGTGTGTAAGGGTCCCTGTAAGGTTCCCATGAGCATAGGCTCTGGGCTTGGTGAGGTGGGTCAAAGTCAGGTGATGGTGGCTGAGGGAGCACCTGGTTCAGGAATTGGGGCACGAATTCGTGATTTTTAACTTATTTACTTTGGGAGTTATCTTAATATCCTTCAGGTTCCTTTCTTACCACCTGCGTACCCCGTCTGCCTCTCCCATCCAAAATCTATATTTGTGATTTGCTAATGCTTAGCCAGTCAGCATGTTTTCAGTTGACTTACTGGTGGCTTTAATTATCCTTTCCAGGAGCTGGATCAGTCTGGCTTCTAACATGTCTACTTAAAAAAAAAAAATTTCTTATTGATAGCTTGAGTGAAAGCTTCAAGGGCACTTAGGTGTAAACTGAATATGAGAACCATTAATTCAGAAAAATTTGGAACCCTGAGAAATCCTCTAGGCTAACCTCCTCATTTTAAAGGAGGAGAAGGAGAGGAGGAGAAAAGTCTCACAAGAAATTTGCAGATCTAGGAGCCCAGATCTCTTGACTCTAAATTCAGCCAGAGTTTTTTTCACTATGCTATAGAAGGAGGGCTGCCTAGTGGGTGATATTTTGGACCCCGAAGTTGGGCAACTTGAGCTTGAATCTTGGCTCTCAGCCACATACTTGTCTGCTGACTTTGGGAATGGTATCAAGCCTCAGGTTGCTCATCTATAAAATGGAACAAGGAAGTCAAATGGAAAAACACATTAGCATTTGTAGGGAACAAGGAAAGGAGGTATATTCCCTGTTTATCCTGTTGTATCAGCAGCAGTCTGATGTGTAGGCAGTCACTTCCATGGGGTCTTTTGGCCAAAGGTGATTATCTCCCCACCATGGCCTGCTGCCCTGCCCTGAGACCTCTCACTCCTACTCCCTCTTCAGGATGAAGTACTCTAAACAGCTGATAAAATAGATGAGTTACCAAGACAGAATCTCACATTAGGTCATGATGTTCATTAAAACCATGGTCTGAATGATGTCCTCTGATTATCTTGAGCCAGTTGACTGATGGTGGGGCCAGGAGGATGATGCCCTGGACCCTCATTGGGTATTTGCAGCTTCTTAATAGCCACAAATCTGAAAAAGGCAACCCAGGACCTCAAAAAGCTATAGGGGTCCAACCCATTATCTCCCCTTTACCTCTGTCTCTGAGAGCAGCCCTCACTTATGATTTTCTTCAGTAGCAACAATCACAGTATTCCTGGGCACTTCCTACTTGGGAAAGCGTCAATGGGTCCATTTGGTAAAAGCCCCCATTGAGTGGTATCCCAGAAGTTCCATTTCCACATGAAACAGACCTTCTAAATCACTCTCTTCTGGCCACCAGGCAGGCTCATGGGGGTAACTAAGAGTAAAAGAGGTGACTCTCAGCCTCTGGTAAGTTCACATCTTTCTCGACCTCTATTCCTTGCTCTTTAAGAGGAGGGCTTGTCTAGAAGCCTAGCAGATGTTAAGATGTTAAGCAGGTCTTGGATTTCCTTCTTAAAAGGAAACCCTCACTATCCGACATACCAGTCTGCTATAACTGGGGAAAGCAAATGTGTGCTTCTCTTTACATATTTGTCTTGTGCATCCAGTAAAAAGAACAAATGCTTATAAATATACATTTCTTTTTCCTGTGGGAAGAAGATAAGGTCATTTTAAGGGCTCAGAAGCAACAGTTGGTGGTGCTTTGGAATTCATTTCTGCCTCTGCAGATGAGAAAAGAAAACACTGAGAGGTGCCTTCTTACTAGCGTAGGCCACCCTTCAATTCCAGGCTGCCCTCTGCAAACAAGGTGATATGAGGAGTTCTGGAAAGATCTTCTTGTCAAACAGATCTACTGAGTCCCCTGCCATGTAGCCTAATACTTTATTATTTTACCCTTTTGGGCAAATCTTTGTATTTTTAAACATTCAAACAACCTTGGAAAGAATTGCCTGTTCATGTCTGATGAGATTGTTGAAGAGCCCTTGTTGAGGGGTGTCAGGAGACCTCAATTCTAGTCCCAGCTTTGCCTCCAAATTGCTGGGTGACCCCAGTCACATCTGCCTATCTCTTACTTGAGTTTCATTACCTGCATGAAATGGTGACATTTTACATGCAGGAATATCTTTCCCCTCGTCTTGTGGGCACATAGGTTAGCTGGGATAGGAAGAGCTCTTGACATTGGAGAAAAACATTTTCCCCAAAGTCAAGTACCTGCTCAGTCAGCCTCCCTTTGCTGTTCTGGGGTCTTCAGACCAGAAGAGAAGCACACATTTGCTTTCCCCAGGCTCTGAGGATCCTACTGTATCCCAGGTGGTCTTGGTCCCTGCAGCACCTGGGCTTGCTTTTCCATAGGCCTGACCTGTGAGGAGTTGGCCCCTCTCACAGACCTACTAAGAGTCAGGGGAGACACCGTGGCAGTCTGCATATCCTCAGAGGAGGGGCTTCCAGGCAGGGCAGTGCTTGGACAGGGGCACTAGAGACTTGTCTTGGTGTTTTAATTACCTAGTAAGCAATTATGTTTTGTTGGGGGTGTGTGAGCGCAGGTGTTGATGGAAGTTACAGGAGATGAAAGCTCCTCTTCCCCACTCCTTAGCATACCTTAGGGCCTGCATGAGGAAAAGAGGTGTTCTGGCTTGGGTTTGCCTCCTGACAGTTGGGGAGGGCAGATGCCCTGGACTCTCATCAGTTATTTGCAGCTTCTTAATAGCCACTAATCTGAAAAAGGCAATCCAGGACCTCAAAAAGGCATAGGGGTCCAACCCATTATCTCCCCTTTACCTCTGTCTGACAGCAGCCCTCACTTATGATTTTCTTCAGTAGCAACAATCACAGTATTCCTGGGCACTGCCATGTGCCAAGCACTGGGAACACAGCAGGGAATGAGTCCAGGGTTCCTCCCTCATGGGATTTTTCCACTGGTGTGTGTGTGTGTGTGTGTGTGTGTGTGTGAGGGAAGGGGAGGGAGGCAGAGAGATAGCTGCAAAATAGTAAATCACAAGGCCTTGAATATACTAGAGGTCATTCCCTCCCTGTAATCAGCCTCCCCAGATAGCTTGAAGAATCACAGCATGTTGGAACCAGTCTTGTTCCCACCTCGAGAGTTTGAGGAAACAGGTTGAAACCTGGTGAAAGGATTTGTCCAGAGGCCTCATGGAAACTGCTGGCAGACCCAAACTTGAAACCTGGCCTCTGACTTCTGGCTTCATCACCCCACACTCTCTTCACACAACCTGCCACCCTCAGTCCTGTTTCCCCTGCCCCTGATACAGGAAGAACCCCCAGTGAGGTACCTCCTCCACCGATGCTAGGTGGAGGCACCAGAACACCTTCCAACAAAAAGACTCCTGGACTTGGCTCCTGTCTGAAAATGCCCACAATCTCATTGTGGGTGTCCTGAAGTTTTGTCTGGGCAGCGCTCCTCTGGTAGTACCCTCAAAAGGCCTGCCTGCTCAGGGCATTGCCCCGAGTTTATAGGCCCCACCTCCTTTATCAGTGGAGTCCTGCCTGGGTCCCAGGTTCCCTTGGGGCTTCTCTTTTTGGGGTACCTGGGAGGATTCACTCCTTTGTGACTGCCTTCTCCTGGGGGCTCTCCACGCCCATGGGAAGGTCTGGCTGGGTGACCAACTCAGGGCAAGATATGTTAGGGCAATATAGGCATGAATTCTGGTTCTTCCTAGGTGCTAGTATCTTCCTTACTTACTGAAGCTTTTGTCTTGGCAGCAACCTGGCTGGACACGTTGTGTTGTGGTCCTTTCCTAGGTCACGCTGTAGGTCTATGACAGTTGGATGAAATTCAGGCTTGCTAATTTTCAAGCCTGCACTGCACCACCTTGCCTCTCAAGAGAATGTTGATATGACATGACAAGACCCTGTGTTACCTGGTCACCACCTGCCCTCCAGCCTCATCTTGCAGTTGTGTAGCCCCGTGATCAAAAGTACAGCCTCAGCCAGGTGCGGTGGCTCATGCCTATAATCCCAGCACTTTGGGAGGCCAAGGCAGGTAGATCATCTGAGGTCAGGAGTTTGAGATCAGCCTGGTCAATGTGGCGAAACCTCGTCTCTACTAAAAAAAAAATTAGCTGGGTGTAGTGGCAGGCACCTGCAATCCCAGCTACTTGGGAGGCTGAGGCAAGAGAATCGCTTGAACCCAGGAGGCAAAGGTTTCAGTGAGCTGAGATCATGCCACTGTACTCTAGCCTGGGTGAAAGAGTGAAACTCCAACTCAATAATAAAAGAGTACAGCCTCTGGTTTCAGACTCCACAGATTAGAATGCCACCTCGCTGCTTGTTAATTATATGACTGTGATATGTTTATAACACATCAGCTTCAGCTTCTCTGTGAGAATGTGGATGTGGTAGATTTCAAATGGCCTCAAGTTTATTTACAGCTCTTCTCATTAAAACTGGAATGTATTTTCCTATACCCTTGAAACTGGGCTGGCCTTGGGACTCGATTCCATAGAATGTGGTGGGTAGTGATGATGTGTGAGTTTGAGCTTAGATCTCAAAGGCTTTGCAGCTTCTGTTCTCACTCCCAGAGTGTTGCTGCTATGTGACAAGGCCAGGCCGACCACCTTGAGGATGAGACGTTACGTGGAGAGAGATCCCAGTCATACCAGCCAAAGCCCCCAGACAGAAGCAAGTTCAGCTGATTCTGTGTGGAGCAGAGGTGAGATGTCCTGGTGGAGTCTAGCCCAAGTTGCCTACACACAGCATCATGGGCACAGAAATGATTGTTGCATTAATTTACCAAGTTTTGGGGTGGTTATGCAGCAGAAGCTAACTGAAATAGGGGAGGGTAACTACCCTTACCTTATAAAGCTGCTGTGAGGTTTCCATGATGATGTGTGCTTAAGCCGTCACCTAGCACACAGCGAGCAAATACAGTTGTTACTACTAACGTGATCCTGTGGCACCTCCTCTGTCTTATTGGCTTCTAGCCACACCAACCTCCTTCCTTTTCCTTAAATATGACAAACTCTTCTTCTTTGGGGCTTTTGTACTTAATTCTCTGAAAGGGCCCTTCTTTGCTGTCTTGTTCTCATGATTAAGGTCTCAGCTGAAATGTCTCCTTCTTGGACAAGCCTCTGATTATCCTGGGAACCTTCCTCTCTTTTCATCTCCATTCTCGCTTCCTCTCATAATGTGTAATATTACATTGATTGACTTCCTTAGTATTATCTGTCTCCCTTTCTAGGTTGGGAATTTTTTTAAGGGCAGGAACTGGGCCTGTTTTTATTCCCTATTTTATCCTTGCTGCCTATCACAGTGCTATGTCTAACAGGCACTTAGTTGATACTGATTGAATAAAAAAAATCAGTCTCGATTTGAGGTTGGTGCTGGACCAAATCAGTCTTGATTCGAGGTTGGTGCTGGGCTTCCAGAAGGAGAGGAGTAGCTAGGTTAGAGTTCCAGACTGCACGTGCTGCTTCTAATTCTTGCAGCCCTTTTGGTTTGTGTCATACTTCCATGTTGGGTCAAATAGCCGAATATGTTCCTGATACTCTATACGTTCAGTGGGGGTTGGCAGCATTGGATGCTCAACAAATATGTGAGCTTCTCAAAGACAGATTGAGCTCCTCACAGCACCTCGCAAATTGTCAGGCATCTAGCAGGGGCTTAACAGAAATTTATTAGATAGATAAATGAATGAATGAATAAATGAATGAATGCAAAAGAGGATGGGTGGATGAGAAAGTCCTCAGAACTAGTGATAATGATATAAAAGAAGAATAATGTGAACTTAGGTTGGCAGGCAACTATGGAAAACCATGTTTATTTTTAATAAAGGATGACATTTCCAATCAGTAAAATATCATAAAAGTATAAAAATGTACTAAGTACAATCATTAGCATTATGTTATAGGGGAATAGTGGTTATAACTTTTCCCTGTAAGATGGCACATTGGATGGTCACAGTTGGCTTGATTTACAGAGGGGCAAGAGTAGGTGACCAGTTGTACCAGTTGCTCCAGTTTCCTAGGATTTGGGACTCTGTAAAAATGAGAAAGTCCCAGGCAAACTGGGACGGTTGGTCCTACAAGAAAAAGAGCAGCATCAGAGTGTTGGCTATAGTTTGGAACTTAGGAACAGGATCAGACATTATTTTTTAACTTCTCCACCTATTTTCCCTTTAGCTGTGAAATAAAAATCCCTTTTGTTATTACTGAGGGTGTTACAGCTTTCAGAGGCTTTTTTACCACTGGGTTTCATGTAATTTTGACTTAATACCTATGTCAAGCCTGGGAAGAAAGGCAGTTCTAATCAACTTGCAGGTGTGGCATTCTGCTTCAAGCCACCTGCATCCTAGAGAGCAAGGATTCAAACTCAGATCTCCTGAGGCCACTGTTCTGTTCTTTCTGGCTTTTAGTAGTAGCCAGAAATTGGGGGAAAAATTGAGGTACCTGAGATCCAAGTTTTGACTCAATCCCCTCACTGGAAACAATTCACATCATCATCACTTTGCCAGGTATGTGTACCTGCCCCTTATTGGGCAATCCTCATGCAGGATTCCTCCAAATACCCACCAGCTGGCTAGTGCTGGCATCATTATATGGCAGAGGCAGTGAAACAGTGTATTAGCTCCAGGACAGTGCTGCAAATGGCCCTTCCAGTCCAGGTTTGCCAGGAAGATGGTCAGAGGGCCAGCTCCCTGTGTCATTTGCCAACTTGATTGAATGTTTTCTGGCATCTTTGCTGAGGAGGTTCTCAAGTGATAGGTCAACTTATGGCTGGTGGCATGACTCGTAGGCTCAAAGACTCACCACACTTATTGCATCTATTTCTGTACTTTTTGCCTACTATATAGGTACTAGCTTAAGGTGGCTCAGTAACCCTTTCTGGCTTATTTTACAAGACTAGGGTTAGGCTATACTTGCCCACAGCAGACCTGGCTTCTTTGGACAGCCTATTAAAATTCTACTGTTCATTCCTTTAACACTGTTTTGAGCTTTTTTTATATAGTTGACATTTATAAACTCTAGGGATAGGAAGTCTATATAATCCTTCTTTTCCCTGTGAAGTGACACTTGCTCTGACTCTAACTGATGCAGGCCAGTGTCTTCCAGAGGCTGGAAGGGGGTTTCAGCCTATCCCCATTCTGGAATAGGCTGAATGGGGTTTCAGATTAGTTCTACCCTTGAAGATGTCATTGTTTAAGCTCAGGGTTGCCCTATCATATGGGCCTATTCTGGGTGCAGATGTGCTTATATCTCCTGATTTACAGGGTTTTTTGCTTTTGTTCTAAGAGCTGAATGAGGATGGGCAATTTTATTTAAAAATAGATACAATAAATAGCTTTAAAAAAAGAGTGCCACCTATGTCCTCTTGTCAGATTCCCCAGCTGGTGGGACATATGGTCTGTCAGCCAAAACAGGGGTCTCTGGTGCACCCGTTCCCTTTTGCATGTCTATTCTTCATGCCTCTTACACTAGCTGTGACCCTAAAACACTCAGAAGAGTCTGTGACACTGAGTTCAAATCCACTTTTCTTTCTGGCTTTTAGTAGTAGCTTTTTAGATGTGGCTTTTCTTTGGCTTACAGGCAAAAAGCAGAACCAACTCGCTGTGCCTGGAAGGGATGTTAACCCCGATTCAGCCATTACTGCAATACACTTGAGATGAAGCCCTTATGTGCACAAGTCTCTTCTGAAACTTTAACTCTGGGCACTGAGGGGTAAATAAACCCAGAAACTTCCATATCCTGAGATATTGCCTGGGTTGATACACTTCTTGAATCTTGGAAACTTACGGCACTGGGTTGTAGGCTACGCTTATCTAGAGGGTCAGAAGAATGGCTTTGGTCTAAACCGATTTGAGAACTCGATTCAACAAAAACAGCCTCCTTCTCCAAACTGTTTGCAAGATGTGCTGCCTGAGAGCAGCAGAAAACTAGAGGCCGACTGGGTTTCCCGTCTTTGTGTCAGACCCCTTGGGGCCAGCACTTCCTCCATGGAAGTCAAGGTTGTTGAAGAAAAGAATAAGACTGGCACATTGTTTCCTCTATGAAGAAGAAGGGGTCAAGGGTTATGTGGACCAGTGACTAGGTGGCCTCTGTTGAGTTTGTACAGATTTCTGCAGCTCCTCATATGGTCAGTGAACTCTGGGATCGGCGATGGCTGCTCCTCTTTGAGCACCGGCACATATCAGTCTGTCCTCTTGAGTAGGCCATTATCCTGTTAGGTCCCAGCAGGTGCTCCCCGGATGAGAGTTGAGCTGAGGAGTCCCCTGAGCATGAGTCATCCCTCATGCACTCCGTGCCACATCTCTGTTCGTGGAGTACTGACTCTTCCACATGCTTCCTCTTGGGAGGGTTAGAGCTCTTTGGGGTGCTGGCACTGAAGTCCTGTCCTGTGATAGATGACACTGGGTGGTGAGTTGGTCGAGCCACTTCGGGGACAGGGGCAGGCCTCTGTCTGCTTCTCCAACTCTGGATTTCCAGGTTTCTTTTGTCTGGGGGGAGTTTGTCAATTTTCTGAGCTTTTGAGATTAGAGACTTCCCACAAGTTCCTTGCAGAGACAGGAAAAAGTATCTGGTGGGAAACAACAGAATAAAGATATTTCTGATTTCCACTGACTTCATAAACTTCAGCATTAAAAGATAGTCTTTAGAATCCAACTCCCTGCCTGGAGCAAGATCCTCTTTACTGCTATTAAATCCATGTCTGGGCACCTCTAGTCTTGGGTAGCTCAACAACAAAAATAACAACAAAACATAACAGCTAACATTTATTATACACCAGGACTATTCTAAGTGCTTTATGTATTATTAACTCATTTTCTTTTCCCAACAATCTCATGTGGTTATTACTTTTGTTTGCCTCTGAGTACACTTGAGGAAACTGAGGGACTGAGAGATTTAATGATTTGTCCACAGCCACACAGTGGTTGAGCTATGGTCAGAACCACACTCTCTGAATCCAAAGACTTGTCTCTTTTTTGCCATGCCCAAAGCAGTCCATTCTATTTCTGGGCTACTCCAATTTAGGCAAATTTAATTGCTCTGTCATGTTAAGCCTTTGTGAAACTTGATGATTTTAAAGTACTTTTAGAATCCACATTCTTTTCTTGAATCTGTGGGCCTTGCTGTACTTGACAGTGTCATCATATTACTATGATTTGCCAGATAAAGAAATAGGGGCCCCAAGAGGTGAGGTGAGATTCCTAAGGTCTCCTGAGACGTTAACGGATCTCCCTGTTGACTGACTCAAGGATTTTATCCCCCTGCCAAGCTGCATGCAGTCTGTAGTAGACTCTGGAATTGGAAGTCTTTATCTGTGTCTAGAATCTTCTCTCTGTTCAAAGTGTAGGCAAGGAAAGGGGTGAGAATGTGAATATAACTATGCGGTGTATGGAGAAAATATACACAAGCCGTGGCAGTGGGCAACTCACATCCACTTTCCAGATGTCTGTTGCCTTATCTGAAAAGTAAAAAAGTAATCTATCTGACCTGGAGGACATCTAAGGTCATTCCCAAAGATAGTCTTTAAATATTTTTTATGTTTGAAGTCTTATAAGCAGGAAGGCTTCTATTCTTCCACTATGTCTAAAAGCTGCAAGGTGACCCCTCTACCCCTGGCCAACCCCTGCCAGTGGGCAAGAGATTTCTGAAAATTACAGTGGATCTCATGGAACCAGATAAACTTTTTTTGTTCTCTCACATCTCACCCAGTGAGGTAGTAGGGGCCATGTATGTGTCCCAGGAAATATTTGACTTTTTGCTTCAAAACTGGAATTTCCTTAGTATAAACCTTTTCCTCAAGCCACTGCCTTCCTCCTCTATTCATTTATTCAACAAATGCTTTTCAATTTCCCACAATGGGCCAGGTCCCCAAGGGATTAAGCCATGAATAGGAAAGACAAGGTCCTTGCTGTCACGTAACATGTGAATATAGTTATAAATGGAGAAGGCAATGAGAGTGTCGAACATCAAACACCTGATCACTGAAATTAAATATTTCTTCCTCAAGGAAGGAAGTGCTGACAGTTCCACCGGCCATGTATTTCTCAAATCCACGCCCTTAAATGTTTCTTCCTTGAGGAAATGCCCCCTCCATTTATAACTATAGTCACATGTTAAATGACAGCAAAAATCTTGTCTCTTGTGTTCATGGCTTAATCCTTTGGGGGCCTGGCCCATTGTGGGGATTTGAAAAGTATTTGTTGAATAAATGAATGGAGGAGGAAGGTAGTGGCTTGGGGGAAAGGTTTACACACAGTAACCTTTTAAAGCTGAAAACTGCAGGATGCATAGGAGGTAGCCATGCCAAAGGGATGAGAATCAAAACCTAGGCATGATGGCTGAAGCTTGGGGAGTGATAAGAGTAGGGGAATATGTCCTAGGAGGAGTTGGCCCAAGCAGAGCAGGGAGGAATTGGGGGCCAGGTTTATGGTTTTTGTGCTTTATTGCAGAGGTCTTGGGAAGCCCTTGGAGGGTTATAAATAGGTGACATCACACTTTGAGCCAATGATAATGGACTAGAGTAAGATCCAATAGGAGACTACCGAAATAATTTGGGGTGAAAGGGTAATAGTCTATTGGTAGTAGTGGCTGTAGAAATGGAAATAGTAGATGGGTTTGAGAAATACGTAGTGGATAGAACTGTCAGTACTTGGTGAAAGGCTAGATATGGGCATGAGTTAGCAGGTGATGTCAAGATTAATTCCCTGGGGCCTGCCTTTGTCCCAAGTGGGTAGCATTTGCTGAAAGAAACTCTAGAGATACCCAGATTTCTGGGGTGGTGCCGGTGATAGAGGGTGGAATGATGAATTCAATTAGAAATGTCTCCCAGTTTCCTCAGACTTAATATGCCCAGTAGAGGTGATGAATAGGTAGCTAGAAAGATGTGTCTGGAATTCATAAGAGAGGTCTGGGGGGAATTTATGGTGAAGAGTCGTCTGCTAAAAATTTTTAAATCCATGATAGTGATTGCTTTTTATGGAGAGAACATAAAGTTAGAAGAGAACCTAGGGGCAAGAGAACCTAGGGACAAGAGAAACTAGGTTAAGCAAACCACCAAACTTATTAAAGGAAGTAAGGCCTGTTGATAGGTCTCTAATTTTGGGATAAAAAGTTTTGTATAATTGTCTATTTGCTATCGCTTAAAATGATAAAATGGCTTGATTGCGATGTTCAGCGTGGTGAGATGGAGAGAGGCTAAGTCTTTCCTATGGGAACATCATCATCAAGTTCACTGCTCTGACTAGAGAGAGTGGGCTGCGGAATAGAACACTGGCCTTTGAGTTGGGAGAACCTAGCTCTGACTATGATCTGTGGTAGGCCTGTGAACACATTCTGGTCCCTCTTGGTACTTCAGCTGTCCCATGAGTGGGGTACTAGAACCATAGCTCTGCCCAACACTTAGCTCATGGCAAAAACAAAATGAGAGGCTAGATGGGAGAGCCTATGTCAAGAGTGAGCTCCAAGGCAAGGCAAGGCAAGGCATTTATAGTTGCTGTTGCTATTTTTCTGGAAAAGGCACATTTACTGCAGAGGGTTTAACCTGGAAATATCTGACATAGTCCCTGGGCATGGATTATTTGTCTAATGCAGGTCTTGTATGGAAGGTGTGTGTTTAAACAAATTTGAATAGTATTTAAACACTGGCAATTTCATGCACAATTTGAATTTCTGGGAAAATGCTGAAGCTCTGGAATGTTTGACTTGATCTTTCCTTGTGGCCATGATAGAAGCTGAGAAGCTCTTTCTTCCAATATCTGTACTCCATCTGGCTTGCTGAACTTGCTGGCCTGTCCCTGTAGGCATTTGAGTATAAGATTCCTGGACTAATACAATAAAGGACCATAGAGCTTCTCAAAATAATTCCTTACTACACAAAAAATTTGTAAGGCAGGAGGGTAGGAATTGATACTCCCATTTTATAGATGTCACAACTGAGGTCACACTGATTTGGTGACTTTGCTACTTTGTGGCTAACCTGGGACCACAGTCCATGTTATTTGCCTCCTTTGTCATTCATTGTTCTTTCTGTCCCATCTCTCTGTTTCTGAAACATTAGCCTCAAGGATGCCAGCAGAAGTCAAACTCCTGACTCTTGGGTTATAAAAATGGCTTATTAAAGGGAGATTGGTAATTTTAGGAAAGAAACACAGCCCTAGTGCTCAAACCTTGGGAGAAGAGCAACAACTGGTGTGAGAAAGCAGACGAGGTAGAAAGTGGGGTTTGAGAGCTGGCCTTCCATCACCCAATAGGGATTGGTGGGGCTGTTGCAGATGACGCAGGTGGCATTGTACAGGAGGGATACCAGAAAGTACATCAGGAAGCTGCCGAGGAGCACGACTCCGTGGAAAATGGTCTGTGGAGGGAAATAAGCAAACACTGTTGAAGGTATAGCTGAGATTAGGAGGCAGGGTGATCAAACTACTTGATTAACTTTGTTTCAAACTATTTTTGAAATGCAAAACACACAAAATTCAAAAAAGTGTGCAGCTTAATCTATCATTATAAAGCAAACACCAGATTGCTGCCATGTAGAATTGAACACACATACCCCAGAAGACCCTATTCTGTCTCACCCCTGCTTTTGGTGATAATTTCTATGCTATCCTTTGTAGGTTTACCACCTATCTAGGTTTTCCAACATAGCCTGTTTTTAAATGGATAAATAGAATCATGTTTCGTATGACTTTTTGTTTTTTTTCCCTCAATATTATGTTTGTGTGATGAGCCCATTTTTTCCACATGGCAGTAGTTTATTCATTTTCAAAGCAGCGCAGTATTCTGTTTTTTGATCGTATTTTGTCCTGCCTGTTTTGTGCTTTTCTTTTCCCATCCTTGTCTTTTATTTTTATTTAATTTTAAAAATTGATACTAGATGTATATATTTTCAGGGTACATGTAATAATTTGGTATATTCATATATAATTAGGGTAATCATGACATCCATGACTTTAAATATTTTCTTTATTCTAGGAATATTCAAATGATTCTCTTCTAGCTATTTTGAAATACACAATCGGCTAATGTTAACTATAGTCATTCTATTGTTCTTTTAAACATATTGACTATTTTGTATAATTTTGGGACTATTCTTTTAGTGATTACTCAATAAGTCTAAACAAGCAAATATACTGCAGTCTAAACAAGCAAATGTACTGCAGTCTAAACAAGCAAACTTACTGCAGTCTAAAGCTTACAACTAGTTTTCCATCCTCCTGAATTACACACGAGATTTAGAGCACTTTAACTCTCTTTACATCCCTCCTGGCTAATATGTTTTGCTGCTGTTTTAATTCTGTCATCTTTTAAAATCACTCAACTCACTGGCATTATTGTTTGTATGGTCAGTATTCACTAAGATCTACTCACATGTTTATCACTTCTCACGCCTCCATTCCTTGGACCCTCCACCCGAGGTATCTTTTTAAGTGCATCCTGTAAAATGTCCTTTTTGGGAGTCTGACAGTGATATGCTCTCTGATGCTTTATTTCATTGTTCTTGAAATTTGTCTTTTGATGAATATGGAATTCTTGTTAGGCAGCTATTTTCCTTCAATGTGTTTAATATGGCATTCCACTGTCTTCTGGCTTCCATTATTGCTATTAAGAAGTTATTAATCTCCACTTGTTCTTCCTTAGAAGGAAATCTTTATCTCTTAAAGCCTGCTTGCTTTTATAACTTTTTTTTGTCTTTTTGATCTATAGTTTTCTATGACAGAGTAAGTATGAATTTCTTTTTATTTATCTTGCTTGGGTTTTGCTGAGCTGGAATCTTTCATCACTTCTGCAAAATTCTCATCACAGTCTTTTCAAAGATTGCCTATATTTCATTCCCTCTCTCATTTCTTTCTGAGACTCTGATTAAATGTTTGTCAGACCACTTAAAATATCATTCTATTTTCTTAATATTGCTTCTATAATTTTCATTACTTTTCCTGTTTTATAGTCCAAATACTTCTTTTGACCAATTCAATAATTCTTCCCTTAGCTATATCTAATTTTCTATTAAGCCAACCATTGAAACTTATAGTTATTGTAGTCTTTATTTCTAAATTTTCTATTGATTTTTCAAATCTGCTAGGTTGCTTTATATAGTTTACCAATCCCTGCAGATATTTTAAAGCTTATTCTTTGTTTCTTTAGACATAGTAAACATAGATTTTCCTTTAATTTATATTTGATAATTCCAGTTTCTAAAATATTTGTTTCTGATATTTGGTTTTTCACTCATGGACTCATTCTTTTATGAGGTTCATTATTTTTGAATATGCTTATTGTGCTAAAAGTTAGACACAACTTGAGGCTTAGAATAAAGGTAACTTTCTCTAGAAAAGAATTGTGTACATCTGCATATGCATGTGTGTGTGTGTTTGTATTTTGCAATCGTTGGGCACTGCTAATCTTGAGGTACTTTAAGCTCAATTCATAGGTGAAAGTTTGGCTCACCCAGGTAACATGAACCTGGGCTACATATGTACCTGAGGCCAGTCTGTGGTCACAATTTCCCCAGGGCAAATTGGTGCTGATTTCTTTCTGCTCTCTTCAGCACAGAGGAAAAAAATCTTTGCAGTCCCAGCTGGGGAGGGAGTATAATTGGGTGTACTTCTGAGTATATCCTTACCTTGAAGTCACAGCCTTTGGGATCCTATTTTAATGTTGTCTCTTAGACTCCTAACTTAGGAGCCTAGGTATTGATTTCTGAAACTTTTGCTCAATCAAGTCTGCCAAAACAAAAGTTCATTTTTGGGATAGTTGCCAATACCCTTAAGAAAAGCATTGGCTCAATTTGTTTCTCTAGCATCTCCTTTTCCCTGAGGTTTGGTCATTGCTTTCTTGTCAGCTTGCTCATGCTTTTAAAGAGTTTTTTTTTCCCCTTTTTTAAAGTTATCCAGTATTTTTTGTTGTTCTCAGTGAGGGATGTGATCTAAATAACCTAGCGCCGTTTCCTGAAGAAGAAAGCAATTAGCTAACTTTTTCAATTGCTTTAATGGGGACTGAAACTGTCAAAGCTCTTAAAATTCTTGTTATATTTCTATCCAGGGAAGAAATAGATTCTCTTCCTGCTTCAAGTACTTTCAAAAGGGAAGCATTATTTTTCATAATTATTTTAGTAGCTGACTCCTTTCCCCAAATCACCAGAAATCACCAGTAACTATTGAGGGTACCTAGTCTGAAGATAGATTAGGTGGCTTAATAGTGCTAAAAGAGTACTTTTTCTCTTTTAAAGCAGATGGCTTCAGTGCTTTGAGAAAGAGGACTGAGTGTTCAATCAGAATACAGAATCTTTAGTCTCACCACTCATTTAATATAATGTTGAGTTCTGATTAAAAATCTTTCAGGACATTAAATCTTTTGAATGGTTTTAAAAAATCTAATGATTAAGAGAGTCATAGAGAGGAGAATTCCTTTTGGAAAATATCTTGGACTAGTTTTTAAAAGTGTAATTAAATTGCTGTGAAATATTTCATGCTTATAGACAATAAACCTCATACACCCAACATTCAGCTTCATCGGTTTTAACCTTATATTTACTTCAGATTTTATGGAAAGATTAAGTCTTACAGATACAATTAAAGCAAGTGTATATCTCTTGCAAATGACCTCTTTCATCTTGAACACAAATTCAGTGTGTATCAGTCTGACACGTTTCATACACGTGTACATGTTTACCCATGTTTATGGATGCTTTTTTGCTTTATCATATATGTATCCTTCTAGTATGGGCTGAATGTTTATGTCCTCCTACTCCCAAGTTAGTAATGTTTAAACCCTAATCTCCAATGTGATAGCATTTTGATGTGGGGCCTTTTGAAGGTGATTAGGGGGAGCCCCCATGAATGTGATTAGTGCCCTTATAAGAAAAGACATGAGAGATTTGATCCTTCTCTCTTTCATTCAGCCATGTGAGTGATAATATAGCTGGAAGGCAGCTGTCCAGGAAGGAAGAGGGCCTGAACCAGATGCTGAATCAGCTGCTGCACTGATCTTGGGCTTCTAGCCTCCAGAACCATGAGAAATGAATCTGTTATTTAAGCCACCCAGTCTATGGTATTTGTTATGACAGCCTGAGAAGACGCAGACAATTCTGCAGCTTTTTTCGCTTGCTTTTATACTTTAAAGAAGAGGGGTCCCCAGCTCCTGGGCCATGGACTAGTACCAGTCCATAGCCCATTAGGAACTGGGCTGCACAGCAGGAGATGAGTGGCTGGTGAGTGAGCATTACTGCCTGAGCTCCAACTCCTGTCAGATTAGTGGTGACATTAGATTCTCATAGGAGCACGAGAACTCTATTGTGAACTGTGGATGTGAGGGATCTAGGTTGCATGCTCCTTATGAGACTCAAATGCCTGATGATCTGAGGTGGAACAGTTTCATTCCAAACCACCTCCACCCCTCAATTCTATGGAAAAATTGTCTTCTGTGGTCCCTGGTGCCAAAAAGGTTGGGGACCACTGCTTTAAAATTTTATCTATGTTGAAAGACATAGCTCTAGTAGGTTCATTTTAACTATTACATGGTATGAACAGGCCGCAACTTATTTTTCTGATCGATGAATATTTAGGCCCCCTTTTGGCTATTAAGAACGATGTAACATTCCTGTACATGTCTCCACATATATGTGTGCAAGAGTGTTTCTGAGGTATGTACTTAGAATTGTGCCAAAAAAATGAGTACTTTACATTCCTCTAGCTGTTTTCAAATAACTCTTCAGAGTTTATGATCTACTAACAGGATAGGGAAGTTCCTTGGTTATGCTTTAACATCTTTAACACACTCCCAAAATGACTTGTCCCTATTTTATTTAGAATTTTCTACATCTGGCTGGGTGCGGTGGCTCACGCCTGTAATCCCAGCACTTTGGGAGGCCATGGTGGGTGGATCACTTGAGGTCAGGAGGAGTTCAAGACAAGCCTGGGAAACATGATGAAACCTTGTCTCTACTACAAATACAAAATATTAGCTGGGCTTGGTGGTGTGTGTGTATAATCCCAGCTGCTTGGGAGGGTGAGGCAGGAGAATCACTTGAACCCGGAGGCGGAGGTTGCAGTGAGCCCAGATTGCGCCACTGCACTGAAGCCTGGGTGACAAGAGTGAGATTCTATCTCAAAAAAAATTTTTTTTCTACATCTAATGTTAGTGAGATTGGTCTGTAATTTTCTTTCCTTGAACTGCCCATGCCCATTTTGATATCAGTTATTATAGCCATGAAAAACAAATTGCTTATTGCTGTGGTTTAAATGTATGTGCCCCCTCTAAACTCATATGTTGGAACCTAATACCCACTGTGATAGTATTAAGAGGAGGGGCCTTTTGGAAGTGATTAAGTCATGAAAGATCTTCCTTCATGAATGAATTAGATGCCCTTATAAAAGAGGATGATGGAAGCATCCTAGTGCTTTTTTTGCCCTTTCACCATGTGAGGACACAGTGTTTGTTTCATCTCTTTTTGCCTTGTGAGGACACAGCATTCATCTTTTTTTTTTTTTTGTGCCCTTCCCAAAGATGCAGCAAGAGGACACCATTTGAAGCAGGGAGCAGTGCTCACCAGACTCTGAACCTGCTGGTGCTTTGGTCTTAGACTTATCAGCCCCTAGAGCTATGAGAAATATATTTCTATTCTTTGTAAATTACCCAGTCTCAGGTGTTCTGTTGCAATAGCATAAACTGACTAAGACACTTATCTTTTTCTATTTTTTTATTCCATGAAAAAATTGATATAATAGAGATTAACTGTTCTTTACAAGTTTGATCAAACTTTAAATCCTTTGGGTCTAATGTTTTTGGGGATAGGATTTGGCTTATTCAGGCTTGCTGAGTGATCTTGACTGGATTTTGGTAAATTTTACCAAACTTAACATTGCTAAAATTAATTTAACATAGCTAAAATTTTTTTACATTCATATTTTGTTAATTGATCCAATAATGTCCTAATGGTGTGTTTTTTTTCCCTTCAGCACAGAATCCAGTTTAGGGTCAAATATTACATTTAGTTTTCATGTCTCCTTAGTCTCCTTTAATCTGGGCTATTTCGTAGCCTTTGGTTTTTTATGGCAGTGACATTTTTGAAAAATACTGGAATACTCTCACCCTACCTACCACCTTTTTGTTTAAAGAAAGAATAATGCTCATTTTGTATTTGTCTGATGTTTCCTTATGAGCATATTCAGATTATACATTCTCTACCTGGCCATGTGATCCTGGCAATTCAGATACCCTCTTTGAGCCTCAATTTCCATATCTGTAATTAAAAAAAGCACTGGATTAAATGATGATTAAAATCCCCTCCTAGGATTCTATCTAGGATTCATTTTTCATATAACAACAACCCACTAAATTCTTTTTTTCTTCTAAAAAGAAAACAATGGATTAAACAAATAAAAAAAAACCCCTAAATAGCCACAGTCAATTTGAGATTCATTTATTTAACAGATAGTTATTGTTCACACATTGGCCAGGCTCTTTTGACTAGATGGTACAAAAAACCAACTATGACTGAATTGAGCTATAATAAGCCTAGAGGTAGGATTAGCTTCAGGCAAAGCTGGATGCAGGCACTCAGCAATGTCCCATGGAATCTGCACCTCTCCCTTTCTTCATCCTGCTTTCCTCTCTGTTGGTCTCATTCTCCAGTAGTCCTTTCTACATTACGGCAAGAAATTGCCAGTTGCTCCAGGCTTCCAAACAACTGGCTCAGCAACCACAGCGGAAAGACTGCTCCTGCTTTCCAACAAAAATCCTAAGGCAGGATCTCATTGGCCAGGACTGGGTCATATGTACATGCCTGAACCAATCACTGTGAATGGGGTCGGGTAGAATTGTTTGGATGGGGTTCTGGGTCATGTCTCCATCTCCAAAACCAGGAGACAGTGTCTGCTCTGGATTGTGTATCAGTCAGGGGAGAAGAGTTACTGTGAGTGTCTAGGATAAGAGATTTACTACAGGGACTAGACCTCCCATAATTGTGAGAGGAGTGAGAAAGTGAAGCCCAGAAAAGGACTTAAAGGATAAAAGTCACCAAATTGAGAAACCAAGCACATCCAACTACAGACGTGACTGCAAAAAAGTGATGGAGGGGTCTATGGGAAGCAGTTATCTTTGAGTCTACAGCCAAGAATCTGGCCATGAGCCTAAGCTCACATTTGGTAATCAGGGCCAGAAGTTAGGAAAGGGAGCTGGAAGCAGCATAGTGCAGAGCAATTATGAAAACAATCACAATCCAGTTCAGTAAGTGTTTAATAAGAGAAATCACAAGACACAATGGGAGCCCCAAGGGGTTACAGAATCCAGCCTAGACACCAAGGAAGGCCTCTTGGAGGAGACAACATTTGAGATGAGGCCTGAAGGATGAGAAGAGAGCCAGAGGAAATGGGAGAGAAATTAGCAAATGCAGAGGCCTAGAAGCAAGAATAGGGTATTTGAGAACTAAAAGTAGCTTGGTCTGGCTGGGGTCTAAGTATGAAGTAGGAAGCATCACTGGTGATGCCAGGGGGCCAGCAGGACCCAGATATTACAGGTTCGTAAGTGAGGAGTTTGGACTCTGTCCTAAGAGCAATGGGGAACCATGGTAGGATGTGAAGCAAAGGAGAGGTAAGTATCATAGGTAGATGTTGGCACATTGGAGATAGGAGGATCTTCTGAACACATTTCCCTCCCAGGAAAAGTCCAAACACCTCAGCTGGAATGCTGATCCCTGTACCTTCAAGGGTTTGCTAGCTTTAGCTTCCTTCTCTGAAGGTAATCTGAGGAATATGGCATTGGGAATGTGATGGCATTTGTTACATTTTCAACTGCAAGTGACAGTGTGCCTGACAGCAGCTTAATCAAAGAAGAAATATCATCTTTTATAGCAAAACATCTTAAGGTTGGCAGCCAGGGGCTCAGTGTGTCCAAGAATCCAGGCTCTTTTCATCTTTCTGCTCTGGGATCTCTAGCAGTAGTTGGCTTTGTCCTTAAACTCATTGCCCAAAACAGTGGCTGCAGTGCCACACATCATTTGGTCACAGGGCACTGACAAAAGCAGGAAGGAAAAGGTGGGACAAAAGGCTTTTACCTCATGACTCTATCTTATTGATAATAATAATTAAAAAAACAGGTATCCCTTGACCTCTCATTGGCTAAGAGCTGGATCATGTGCCCACCCTGGACCAATCACTGCTGAAGGTAAAGGAATTACTGCTCCTACTTAAGACAGATCATTATTGATTTTCTGGGGCTGGAGAGCACCGCGTCCTAGGGGATTTCTAATCCTTAGGTTGGTACATAAGTAATCGTGGATTTTGCCATTAAAAGTGCTAGTATTTTTATAGACATTGAGCAAAAGGTATTTAGAATTTCCATCATGACTTACTCTTTATTTCATAAGTTGTTTAGAAGTACATTTTGAAATTTCTAAGTTTGTTAGGTTTTATGTGGCTACCTGTTTATTGCTGGTTTCTAATTTAAATAACTTGTCAGAGAACATAAACTTTATGATTTTTTTTTTCTTTCAAATTCCTTTGTGATTTAGAATTGTCTCTCTGGTAACTGGTTTGTGTATGTTTGAAAAAATGTTATCTGTTTTGAGCAAAGTTTTATATATTAGGTCAAACAATTTATTAAAAGTTTCTATACCCCTTCTATTTTTTCATCTATTTGATCTATACCAGTTTCTTATATAGTTGTATGAAAATATCAAACTATGATTGTGAATTTGTCCATTTCTTATTTTTGCTGGATGAAAAAAATCCAGTCTGTAATTTTTTTAAAGGAAGAATTTAATCTACTTGCATCAACTATGAGTACTGATATATTTCAATTTAGTTAAACATCTCATTTTGCATTTTTTGTTTGCCATCATTTTCTTTGCTCTCATTTTATTTTTAAAATTAAAATGCATTTTTTCATTATACTTTAAGTTCTGGGCTACATGTGCAGAATGTGCAGGTTTGTTACGTAGGCATACACGTGCCATGGTGGTTTGCTGCATCCATCAAACCATCTACATTAGGTATTTCTCCTAATGCTATCCCTCCCCTAGCACCATCTGACAGGCCCAAGTGTGTGATGTTGCCCTCCCTGTGTCCATGTGTTCTCATTGTTCAACTCTCACTTATGAGTGAGAACATGCAGTATTTTTGGTTTTCTGTTCCTGTGTTAGTTTCCTGAGAATGATGGTTTCCAGCTTCATCCATGTCCCTTCAAAGGACAACTCATCCTTTTTTTATGGTTGCATAGTATTCCATGGTATATATATATATGCCACATTTTCTTTATCCAGTCTATCATTGGTGGGCATTTGGGTTGGTTCCAAGTCTTTGCTATTGTGAACAGAGCTGCAATAAACGTGTGTGCATGTGTCTTTATAGTAGAATGATTTATAATGCTTTGGGTATATACCCAGTAATGGGATGGCTGGATCAAATGGTATTTCTGGTTCTAGATCCTTGAGGAATCGCCACACTGTCTTCCACAATGGTTGAACTAATTTACACTCCCACCAACAGTGTAAAAGTTTTCTCCACATCCTCTCCATCATCTGTTGTTTCCTGACGTTTTAATGATCGCCATTCTAACTGGAGTGAGATGGTATTTCATTGTGGTTTTGATTTGCATTTCTCTAATGACCAGTGATGATGAGCTTTTTTCATATGTTTGTTGGCCACATAAATGTCTTCTTTTGAGAAGTATCTGTTCATGTCCTTTGTGTACTTTTTGATGGGATTGCTTTTTCTTGTAAATTTAAGTTCCTTGTAGATTGTGGATATTAGCCCTTTGTCAGATGGATAGATTGCAAAAATTTTCTGCCATCCTGTAGGTTGCCTGTTCATTCTGATAATAGTTTCTTTTGCTGTGCAGAAGCTCTTTAATTAGATCCCATTTTCAATTTTGGCTCTTGTTGCCATTGCTTTTGGTGTTTTAGTCATGAAGTCTTTGCCCATGCCTATGTCCTGAATGGTATTGCCTAGGTTTTCTTCTAGGGTTTTTATGGTTTTAGGTCTTACATTTAAGTCATTAATCCATCTTGAGTGAATTTTTGTATAAGGTGTAAGGAAGGGGTCCAGTTTGTTTTCTGCATATGGCTAGCCAGTTTTCCCAACACCATTTATTAAATAGGGAATCCTTTCCCCATTGCTTGTTTCTGTCAGAGTTGTCAAAGATCAGATGGTTGTAGATGTGTGATGTGATTTCTGAGGCCTCTGTTCTGTTCTGTTGGTTTATATATCTGTTTTGGTACCAGTACCATGCTGTTTTGGTTACTGTAGCCTTGTAGCATAGTTTGAAGTCAAGCAGCATGAGGCCTCCAGCTTTGTGTTTTTTGCTTAGCATTGTCTTGTCTATATGGGTTGTTTTGGTTCCATATGAAATTTAAAGTAGATTTTTCCAGTTCTGTGGAGAAAGTCAGTGGTAGCTTGATGGGGATAGCATTGAATCTATAAATTAATTTGGGCAGTATGGCCATTTTCACAATATTGATTCTTCCTATCCATGAGCATGGAATGTTTTTGCATTTGTTTGTGTCCTCTCTTATTTCTTTGACCAGTGGTTTCTAGTTCTCCTTGAAGATGTCTTTCACTTCCCTTGTTAGCTGTATTCCTAGGTATTTTATTGTCTTTGTAGCAATTGTGAATGGGAGAGTTCACTCATGATTTGGCTGTTTGTCTATTATTGGTGTATAGGAATGCTTGTGATTTTTGTACATTGATTTTGTATCCCAAGACTTTGCTGAAGTTGCTTATCAGCTTAAGATTTGGGGCTGAGACAATGGGGTTTTCTAGATATACAATCATGTTATCTGCAAACAGAGACAATTTGACTTCCTCTTCTCCTATTTGAATACCCTTTATTTCTTTCTCTTGCCTGATTGCCCTGGCCAGAACTTCCGATACTATGTTGAATAGGAGTGGTGAGAGAGGGTGGCATCCTTGTTTTCTGTCGGTTTTCAAGGGGAATGTTTCCAGCTTTTGCCCATTCAGTATGATATTGGCTATGGGTTTGTCATAAATAGCTCTTATTATTTTGAGATACGTTCCATCAATACCTAATTTATTGAGAGTTTTTAGCATTAAGAGGTGAATTTTATCGAAGGCCTTTTCTGCATCTATTGAGGTAATTGTGTGGTGTTTGTCATTGGTTCTGTTTATGTGATGGATTACATTTATTGTTTATGTATGTTGAACCAGCCTTGCATCCCAGGGATGAAGCTGACTTGATTGTGGGTGGATAAGCTTTTTGATGTGCTGCTGGATTTGGTTTGCCAGTATTTTATTTAGGATTTTTGCATCAATGTTTAACAGGGATATTGGCCTGAAATTTTCTTTTGTTGTGTCTTTGCCAGGTTTTTGTATCAGGATGATGCTGGCTTCATAAAATGAGTTAGGGAGGAGTCCCTCTTTTTTTATTGTTTGGAATAGTTTCAGAAGAAATGATATCAGCTCCTCTTTGTACCTCTGGTAGAATTCGGCTGTGAATCCGTCTGGTCCTGGGCTTTCTTTGGTTGGTAGGCTATTAATTACTGCCTCAATTTCAGAACTTGTTATTGGTCTGTTCAGGGGTTTGACTTCTTCCTGGTTTAGTCTTGGGAGAGTGTATGTGTCCAGGAATTTATCCATTTCTTCTTGATTTTCCAGTACATTTGTGTAGAGGTGTTTATAGTATTCTCTGATGGTAGTTTGTATTTCTGTGGGATCAGTGGTGATATCCTCTTTATCATTTTTTATTCTGTCTATTTGATTTTTCTCTCATTAGTCTGGCTAGTGGTCTATTTTGTTAATCTTTTCAAAACACTAGTTCCTGGATTCATTGATTTTTTGTTTTTGAAGGGTTTTTTGTGTTTCTATCTCCTTCAGTTCTGCTCTGATCTTAGTTATTTCTTGTCTTCTGCTAGCTTTTGAATTTGTTTGCTCTTGCTTCTCTAGTTCTTTTAATTGTGATGTTAGGGTGTTGATTTTAGATCTTTCCCACTTTCTCCTCTGGGCATTTAGTGCTATAAACGTCCCTCTAAACACTGCTTTAGCTGTGTCCAGAGATTCTGGTACATTGTGTCTTCGTTCTCACTGGTTTCAAAGAACTTCTTTATTTCTGCCTTAATTTCATTATTTACCCAGTGGTCATTCAGGAGCAGGTTGTTCAGTTTCCATGTAGTTGTTCAGTTTCAAGTGAGTTTCTTAATGCCGAGTTCTAATTTGATTGTGCTGTGGTCTGAGAGACTGTTTGTTATGATTTCCATTCTTTTGTATTTGCTGACGAGTGTTTTACTTCCAATTATGTGGTCAATTTTAGAATAAGTGTGATGTGGTGCTGAGAAGAATGTATATTCTGTTGATTTGGGGTGTAGAGTTCTGTAGATGTCTATTAGGTCTGCTTAGTCCAGAGCTGAGTTCAAGTCCTGAATATCCTTGTTAATATTCTGTCTTGTTGATCTGTCTACTATTGACAGTGGGGTATTAAAGCCTCCCATTATTATTGTATGGGAGTCTAAGTCTCTTTGTAGGTCTCTAAGAACTTGATTTATGAATCTGGGTGCCCTGTATTTGGTGCATATATATTTAGGATAGTTAGCCCTTCCTGTTGCATTGATCCCTTTACCATTATGTAATGCCCTTCTTTGTCTTTTTTGATCTTTGTTGGTTTAAAGTCTGTTTTATCAGAGACTAGGATTGCAACCCTGCTTTTTTTTGTTTTCCATTTGCTTGGTAAGTATTCCTCCATCCCTTTATTTTGAGCCTATGTGTGTCTTTGCATATGTGACATGGGTGTCCAGAATACAGCACACCAATGGGTCTTGACTCTTTATCCAATTTGCCAGTCTGTGTCTTTTAATTGGAGCATTTAGCCCACTTACATTTAAGGTTAATATTGTTATGTGTGAATTTGATCCTGTCATGATGTTAACTGGTTATTTTGCCCATTAGTTGATGCAGTTTCTTCATAGTGTCAATGGTCTTTATAATTTGGTATGTTTTTGCAGTGGCTGCTACTGATTTTTCCTTTCCATACTTAGTGCTTCCTTCAGGAGCTCTTGTAAGGTAGGCCTGGTGGTGACAAAATCTCTCATCATTTGCTTGTCGTAAAGGATTTTATTTCTCCTTTGCTTATGAAGCTTAGTTTGGCTGGATATGAAATTCTGGGTTGAAAATTCTTTAAGAATGTTGAATATTGGTCCTCACTCTCTCCTGGCTTGTAGGATTTTTACAGAGATATCTGCTGTTAGTCTGATGGACTTCTCTTTGTGGGGAACCCGACCTTTCTCTCTGGTTGCCCTTAGTATTTTTTCCTTCATTTCAACCTTGGTGAATCTGACAATTATGTGTCTTGGCCTGTCTTGCTAGGTTGGAGAAGTTCTCCTGGATAACATCCTGAAGAGTGTTTTCCAAGTTGGTTCCATTCTCCCCATCACTTTCAGGTACACCAATCAAATATAGGTTTGGTCTTTTCACATAGTTCCATATTTCTTGGAGGCTTTGTTCATTCCTTTCCATTCTTTTTTCTCTAATCTTGTCTTCAAGCTTTCTCATTAAGTTTATCTTCAATCTCTGATATCCTTTCTTCCACTTGATCGATTCAGCTATTGATACTTGTGTATGCTTCACAAAGTTCCCATACTGTGTTTGTCAGCTCCATTAGGTCATTTATGTTCTTCTCTAAACTGGTTGTTTTAGTTAGCCATCCCTCTAATCTTTTTTCAAGGTTCTTAGCTTCCTTGCATTGCATTAGAACATGCTCCTTTAGCTTGGAGGTGTTTGTTATTACCCACCTTCTGAAGCCTACTTCTGTCAATTCATCAAACTCATTCTCCATCCAGTTTTGTTCCCTTGCTGGTGAGGAGTTGTGATCTTTTGGAGGAGAAGTGGCATTCTGGTTTTTGGAATTTTCAGCCTTTTTGTGCTGTTTTTTTCTCATCTTCATGGATTTATCTACCTTCGGGTCTTTGATGTTAGTGAACTTCAGATGGGGTTTCTGTATGGGCTTTTTTTTGTTGATGTTGATGCTATTCCTTT
This sequence comes from Homo sapiens, assembly GCF_000001405.40. Taxonomy (NCBI): domain Eukaryota; kingdom Metazoa; phylum Chordata; class Mammalia; order Primates; family Hominidae; genus Homo; species Homo sapiens. Next base: position 160,583,305 of record NC_000005.10, read on the forward strand.
CTGTTTGTTAGTTTCCTTCTAACAGTCAGGCCTGTCTGCTGGAGTTTGCTGGAGGTCCACTCCAGACCCTGTTTGCCTGGATATCACCAGCAGAGGCTGCAGAACAGCAAAGATTGCTGCCTGTTCCTTCTTCTGGAAGCTTCATCCCAGAGGGGCACCCACCAGATGCCAGCCAGAACTTTCCTGTATGAGGTGTCTCCCAATCAGGAAGCACAGGGGTCAGGGACCCACTGGAGGAGACAGTCTGTCCCTTAGCAGAGCTCGAGCGCTGTGCTTCAGAGCTGGCCGTCAGGAACGTTTAAGTCTGCTGAAGCTGTGCCTACAGCCACCCCTACCCCGAGGTGCTCTGTCCCAGGGAGAGGGGAGTTTTATCTATAAGCCTCTGACTGGAGTTGCTGCTTTTCTTGCAGAGATGCCCCACCCAGAGAGGAGGAATCTAGACAGGCAGTCTGGCTACAGAAGCTATGAAGTGCTGCAGTGGGCTCTGTCCAGTTCGAATTTCCTGGTGGCTTTGTTTACACTGTGAGGGGAATACCACCTACTGAAGCCTCAGTAATGGTGGACACCCCTCTCCCAACCAAGCTGGAGTGTACCAGGTCAACTTCAGACTGCTGTGCTCGCAGTGAGAATTTCAAGCCAGTGGATCTTAGCTTACTGGGCTCCATGGGGGTGGGATCTGCTGAACTAGACCACTTGGCTCCCTGGCTTCAGCCCCCTTTCCAGGGGAGTGAACAGTTCTATCTCTTTGGCATTCCAGGCACCACTGGGGTATGGAAAAAAAAAACAAAACTCCTGCAGCTATCTCCATGTCTGCCCAAACGGCCACCCAGCTTTGTGATTGAAACCCAGGGCCCTCGTGGTGTAGGCACCCGAGAGAATCTCCTGGTCTGTGGATTGGGAAGACTGTGGGAAAAGTGTAGTATCTGGGCCAGAGTAGACTGTTCCTCATGGCTCCTCATGGCTTCCCTTGGCTAGGGCAGGCAGTTCCCCAACCCCTTGTGCTTTCCGGGTGAGGCAATGCCCCACCCTACTTTGGCTCGCTCTCTGTGGGCTGCAACCACTGTCTAAGCACTCCCAGTGAGATGAGCTGGGTACCTCAGTTGGAAATGCGGAAATCACCCACCTTCTGTGTTGATCTTGCTAGGAACTGCAGGCTGGAGCTGTTCCTATTTGGCCATCTCGCCAGCCACCCCTGCTCTCATTTTTTCATCTTTCCTACATCTGCAGAATTGACAGTTTTCTAGATTTTTTTCTTTTTCCCTTTTAGTGATTAATCTTAAGATACTAAAAAAACTGAACTCTTATGGAAAAATGTATAGTTAAATGTGTATTTTTATTCTTCTATCCACTATGAAGGCTTTAGCATAAATTACCTACCTATTGAATAGCCCTTCTTTATGTTGTGTCTTATAGTTTTAGCTTTTGTTTACATTCTTGCAGAAGTATGTTCCTTTTTTTGTGAGGGCCTATGGGTAGTTAACCTTATAGAGTTTATTTGAAAATAGGATTTATCTTGCCTTACTCTTAATAGTGTAGCTTTTCTAGTTTTATTTTCTCCTTCAGGTTTTTTGAAGACAATTACTCCATTGTCTCCTGGCTTTTATTGTTTGGTCACCAGCATAGCTGTTCCTTTTCAAGTAATTTGTCTATAGTCTCTGGCAGACTTAAGGGCTGCCTCTGTATGTTTTATATTATACAATTTAATTATGATATATCCAGGCAATACATCCAGATTTTTGATAAATTTTCATTCTCAATGACAATTTCTTCAAATATTGCTTCTCCATCATTCTTTTTTCCTCCTGATATTCCTATTTAGAGAGGCTGAAGCCATTTGTTCTAGCCACCATTTCCTCTTATTTTTCATATTTGTGTATCATTCTGGATAAGCTCCCAAAACTACATTTCAATTTGGCAGTTTATTTTTTGCCAGTGTCTGATCTAGAGCAGATCCTACAAATTGTAGTTTTAATTTCAATGACAATATTTTATTTTCAAGAATTCATTAGCTTGGTGGTTTCTAGTATCAAACAGCTTCTGATAAAACTATACCTTCTTGGGAGGCTGAGACGGGCGGATCACGAGGTCAGGAGATTGAGACCATCTTGGCTAACATATTGAAACCCTGTCTCTACTAAAATTACAAAAAATTAGCTGGGCATGGTGGCACGCGCCATAGTCCCAGCTACTGAGGAGGCTGAGGCAGAAGAATCTTTTGAACCCAGGAGGCGGAGGTGCAATGAGCCAAGATGGCGCCACTGCACTCTGGCCTGGATGACAGAGCGAGACTTCATCTCCAAAAAACAAACAAAAAACCAAAAACTATACCTCCAAACAGCTTGCCATTGTTATCTTTTCTTTAGATTTCTTTCTTGAGTAGGAGAATTTTAGACCCAGCAGTAGATGGGGTTCCAGTCTGCCCTACCCCGCAGGAGCCAGAGTCCCCATTGCCATGATCTGTGTCCTGTCCCAGTTCCCAGAAAGTCTGCAGTTTGAGCCTTCCCAGTGCCTTCTCTTCTTCTTCCCTTCCTCATTGTATTGCAGCCTCTTCTGGTGTTTCTGGCCCATGAAGAAATTTGTCCTGTACTTAAGCCTGGCTATGCCTTTTTTTGTCTTATCACTTTGTTCTGTCATTGGTACACATTGGAGCAGGATTTTAAAAAATTTTTATTTTACTTTAAGTTCCGGGATACATGTACAGAACGTGCAAGTTTGTTACATAGGTATACATGTGCCATGGTGGTTTGCTGCATCTATCAACCTGTCATCTAGGTTTTAAGCCCTGCATGCATTAGGTATTTGTCCTAATGCTCTCCCTCCGCTTGTTCCCCACCTCCTGACAGTCCCCAGTGTGTGTTGTTCCCCTCCCTGTGTCCATGTGTTCTCATTGTTGAACTCCCACTTATCAGTGAGAACATGTGGTGTTTGGTTTTCTGTTCCTGTGTTAGTTTGCTGAGGATAATGGCTTCCAGCTTCATCTATGTCCCTGCAAAAGACATGACCTCATTCTTTTTTATGGCTGCATAGTATTCTATAGTGTGTGTGTGTACCACATTTTCTTTATCCAATCTGTCATTGGGTATTTGGGTTGGTTCCATGTCTTTGCTATTGTAAATAGTGCTGCAATAAATGTTTGTATGCATGTGTCTTTATAGTAGAATGAATTATAATGCTTTGGGTACATCCCCAGTAATGGGATTGCTGGGTCAAATGGTATTTCTGGTTCTAGATCCTTGAGGAATAACCACACTGTCTTCCACAATGGTTGAACTAATTTACATTCCCACCAACAGTGTAAAAGCGTTCCTATTTCTCCACTGCCTCGCCATCTACTGTTTCTTCACTTTTTAATAATCGTCATTCTGACTGGCGTGAGATGGTATCTCATTATGGTTTTGATTTGCATTTCTCTAATGATCAGTGATGTTGAGCTTTTTTTCATGTTTGTTGGTCACATAAATGTCATCTTTTGAGAAGTATGTGTTCATATCCTTTGCCCACTTTTTGATGGTGTTTTTCTTGTAAATTTGTGTAAGTTCCTTGTAGATTCTAGATATTAGCCCTTTGTCAGATGGTTAGATTACAAAAATTTTCTCCCATTCTGTAGATTGCCTTTTCACTCTGATGATACTTTCTTTTGATGTGCAGAAGCTCTTTAGTTTAGTAAATTTTCATTTTTGTTGCAATTGCTTTTGGTGTTTTCGTCATGAAATCTTTGCCTGTGCCTATGTCCTGAATGGTATTGCCTAGGTTTTCTTCTAGGGCTTTTATGGTTTTGGGTCTTATGTTTAAGTCTTTAATCCATCTTGAGTTAATTTTTGTATAAGGTGTTAATTTTGTATAAGGTGTAAGGAAGGGATCCTGCATATGGCTAACCAGTTTTCCCAGTACCATTTATTAAATAGGGAATCTTTTCCCCATTGCTAGTTTTTGTCTGGTTTGTTGAAGATCAGATGGTTGTAGGTGTGTGGTGTTATTTGAGGTCTCTGCTCTGTTCCATTGGTGTATATGTCTGTGTTGGTTATTGTAGCCTTGTAGTATAGTTTGAAGTCAGGTAGCATGATGCCTCCAGTTTTGTTCTTTTTACTTAGGATTTTCTTGGGTATATGAGCTCATTTTTGGTTTCATATGAAATTTAAAGTAGATTTTTCTAATTCTGTGAATAATGTTGATGGTAGTTTGGGAATAGCATTGATTCTATAAATTACTTTGGGCAGTATGGCCATTTTCACAATATTGATTCTTCCTATCCATGAGCATGGAATGTTTTTCCATTTGTTTGTGTCCTCTTTTATTTCCTTGACCAGTGGTTTGTAGTTCTCCTTTAAGAGGTCCTTCACTTCCATTGTTAGCTGTATTCCTAGGTATTTTATTCTCTTTGTAGCAATTGTGATTGGAAGTACATTCATGATTTGGTGCTCTGTTTGTCTATTGTTGGTGTATAGGAATGCTTATGATTTTTGTACATTGATTTTCTATCCTAAGACTTTGCTGAAGTTGCTCATCAGCTTAAGGAGTTTTTGGGCTTAGATAATCTTTTATTTTTTCTTTTGAGATGGAGTCCTGCTCCATAGCCCAGGCTGGAGTGCAATGGCATGATCTCGGCTCACTGCAACCTCTGTCTCCCAGGTCTCAGTTTAAGCAATTCTGCTTCAGCCTCCTGAGCTCCTGAGTAGCTGGGATTACGGGCACATGCCATCATGCCTAGCTAATTTTTGTATTTTTAGTAGAGATGGGGTTTCACCATGTTGGCCAGGCTGGTCTTGAACTTCTCACCTTGTGATCTGCCCACCTCAGCCTCCCAAAGCACTAGGATTACAGGTGTGAGCCGCCGCACCTGCCCTGACAATGGGGTTTTCTAAATATACAATCATGTCATCTGTAAACAGACAATTTTACTTTCTCTCTTTCTATTTGAATACCCTTTATTTCTTTCTCGTGCTTGATTGCCCTGGCCAGAACTTCAATACTATGTTGAATAGGAGAGGGGGTTTTCAAAATGAGAACTCCATGATCCAAAACTACCTTTGAGTGGCTCTTATCAGCCACTGCCCAGCTGGTTATGGCCTGCTTTAGCTTGTGATAGTGGTGGTGGGAGGCTGGGGTGGAGAGTTCCATTGCAGAATGTAGGAACATGCTGAGCCTACTTGGGGCTATTTTCCAAATTTTTAATGCTTGTACTTCCAGAAAGCCATCTGAACTTGGCTAAGGACACATCTTTCTGTAAAGTGTTCCCTGTGTACCATTCAATCTTATCTACTTACACTATTAGCATGGATGTTAAAGGCTCACGTTAAACTGCCAGGGTTCAAAACTTGCTTCTATCTTAAACTGCTTGGGGGCAAGTTAAACCTTATTGCATCTGCCATATTTCTAAATCTGTAAAATGGGAATATAAAAACACCTAACACAAAGGGCTCTAGAGGTTAAATAATACACGCTAATCATGTAGAGAGACACTTGGTATAGACAGAATTGTAAGCTATTAGTTTTTATAGTTATTACTGACTAGAAAAATCTAATCAGAAAGGTGACATTGCCTTCTTAGATATCAAAATGTGACATTTGGATATGCTTGAGATATGGTTACCTGGAGGCACGTTTCTAATCATTCACCCTAAAATTAAATGGGGAGAATTCCTCCCTAACACAGCCTCAGGTATGTATGGTCAGTGTTTTCCTTGTCTCTGAAACACGCCTGAACTGTTTTTGTTTTTTGTTTTTTGAGATGGAGTCTCACTCTGTCACCCAGGCTGGAGTGTGGTGGCATGATCTTGGCTCAGTGCAACCTCCGCCTCCCATGTTCAAGCAATTTTCCTGCCTCAGCCTCCCGAGTAGCTGTGACCACAGGCGCCTGCTACCACACCCAACTAATTTTTTTATTTTTAGTAGAGACGGGATTTCACCATCTTGGCCAGGCTGGTCTCGAATTCCTGACCTCAGGTGATCTGTCCACCTCGGCCTCCCAAAGTGCTGGGATTACAGGTGTGAGCCACCATGCCTGGCCATACCCCTGAACTTTTTATCAATTATCTATTTTTGCAACTAATTGTCTCATTGTTTTAATATATGTTAGTTTTAACATCCTGGCTAGATGAAAAGCAAGTTGATTCCAGAATTTTATCTTTTTCACCCCTTTCATCCCTGTACAGGTAGGACATAGGGTAGGAGCTTAGTATGTATTTATTGAGTGGATTGATAACACAGAATGAAACAATTCAGAAATTTGAGTATAGTCAATGGGCAGGAGCACAGTTTTGAAGCCAAAGGGGCTCTGGGACACTTACCCATGTCTTCATTTCCATTGCCTGGTGCAAAAGGATTGTGGTGAGGGAGATGGTGTTGATTGGTGTCCCAAAGGTAAAGACATCTATATCAGAGCCCTTATAGGCCTGCAGAGGAGGAACAGACAGGCATTGTCAGGTATGTCTGTGGACTAACTTTGGCTTTGACACAGTGATTATAAAGCATCAATGAAGGCAGTTGTCAATGGAGAAGGAGGTACCCAGCTGCCATCTGTGTGGTACTGATCCGAGGAACAGGTCAAGGTAAGAAAGGAATTGATAGGACTAATTTAGAAATGGTGTTTGCAGGAGTAAGCCAAGATGGGGATTGTGAAACCATTGTGGAATGAATGAAGACAGAATTCATTGAGAGCCCATCAGACACAATGCTAACAGCTGAGGATACTTCTGTGTTTGCCTACAATGAGTTTAGTCTATTAGGCAGTGCGGATGTGGTACAATTTAAGGAAGTACGTGCTATAATAGAGGCAAGTACAAGGTACCCTGGGAACACAGAAGAGGATATATTAGCTGAGACCAGAATAAGAGGAGTTAATCACTTGGAAAGAGAGGGTAAATGCAGTTCCAGAAAAGGTCAGAACGGAGGGTGAACACAGACGGTTTGTAGAACTCCAGAGTCCTACATTGTAGGTCTGTTGAGCATATTCAAGGGCAAAAGATATAGCAGGAAAGCCAAGCAAAGACCTGGCCAGGGAGGGTATTGTAAGCCAGGAAGTTCAAGCAAAACACAAGATCCCTGCCTCCCCTAACTCCATCATCTTGCTAATTATGAAAGAATATGAGCCCAGAGGTTGGATAAGCAACAGTGTTTACCTGGTGGCAATTGCTTCCCATCCTGTTCCGTGTGTCCAGGAAGAAGACATATATTGTTTGCTACCTAAATTCTCACTATTTAAACTGAGGAATCAAACTGAGATTGGGCTGGTATCCCTTGCTATCTGCATTCTTGCTACTTTTTTTCAGATAATGTAGTATCTCATTATCGGAACTTGCTGCCTCTGAAGGCTAGCTTCCTTGACCTTCAAAGCACAAGTGTATATAAAAATCAAGGGTAGTAAATTCAAATACCTTCAGTGTTCAAGTAGGAAACAGTTAATGAGTAAAGATAGCCAGATGTAAGACAAAGGGGAGTGGTAGAGACTAAGGCAAACTGGAGAACATGCTCACAAGGTGAGCCCAGCTGCAAAGTCAAGTCCAGATTTTTGCTATGAGGGAAAAAATGACCCAGTATAAATATAGCTTTCAGTTTTTCAAGAGCCAGCAGAAATCAAAATGTTTGGGTAGTGTTCTGACTTTTCAAACACCTTGGGTTGGATGTAACCTGCAGGCTACCTGTTTGAGCCTCTGCTCTAAAGTGTCCAGAAGGACACTACTGGTCTGGAACTTTATATAAAAAGGACCAGTTCTTCTCTGCAATTTATGTGGTTAGAATGGGACTACATGACTTACCAGGTAAGGGATAAAGAAACAGATGAGGCTCTGGTAGAATGCATCCACCATAGAAATCCAGAAAGTCGACAGGTTATAGCACTGCCAGGAGAGAACACACCAATAATTATCACCCTTATAGCAAGCCTCTATTCTTTGCAAGCAACTTTCTTGCATGTGGCTGCGACAGACAACCAGACGCATACAATGCCTCTTGTATTTGTGGTAGTAGAATGGAGTAATTAGGAGTGTAGACTTGGGGGTGACAGACTTCAGTTCAACTGTGTGACCTTGTGAAAATTACTAAACTGTGCGGAGAACTAGTTTCTTCTTCCATTAAATGTGGGCAAAAATAACACAGCCTATCTCCTTGGGGTTCAAGAGGAGTAAATGCAATTGTGCCTACCTAGTAAGTACTCAGGCCTTAGTGCCTAGCCAAGTACTCAGTTATTCATTGTTATCAATCATTAGTTCTTTTGCTACTGTTGCTACAAACCTGGCAAGTGTAAAGATTCTAAAGTTTCTAAGTGGCATCTGAGAGATCTCAATCGTAGCTCGAATCACAGGTTCCCCCAAGTTTCTGAAGTTCAACAGCTCCAGAAACAAGGCTTCTCAGGCATCAGCGGCTCCAGAAACAAGCCTTCTCAGGCATTAATCTTTGTGCCTTCCCCAGGAAAAGTGAAATCTTTACAGTTTTTGGGTCTTGCTTAACTTTTAGATACTCAAGGAATTTGCTATGCAGTCAGCACTTTGATGGGAAGGGTAAACTTAGAAGAGCCCAAGGTGAACATGCACTCTCACCATGCCCCCTTCGTCTGGACTGCTTGGGTTTCTGTGTTGCTCTCTCCTCTTGGCTTTGGGCTAACAACTGGGCTTGCTGTTAGTCTATAAATAATTGCCAGATCTCAAATACTACACTTGGCTTTGCCCTTCTTTCCTCCAGGTGCAAGACACTCTCTGGCATTGCAAAGTCCCTCTTCCCAGAGCTCCCTCGATCCAGCTTCTTGCTGGTGCTGGGAGTGCATGCTGTCTGACTTCTCCAAATCATTCAGGGCTGCAGTGTGGCCTCTCTGGGCCTCCTAGGATGCCACCTGATGGCTTCTCAGGCCTGCCTTAGTCTATTTGATACCAGCAAATTCTAAAGCACATGTAATTTTGAGTTCTAAGTTTTGCCTTCCCTAATATGAAATAGAACCATTGTATACCTTACCCAATGAAAAGCAAAGTAGCTATAAATCCCAAGGGTTCTCAAACTGGGCTTTGGGGGTTCTATAGATGCATCTCAGAGCCTGGAGGGGATGGCTGAAAGGTATAGGATCCTTCTGCATGGCTCTTCCCCTTCGACTAGGGCAGTCCCATATTAATGTGTGATATAATTAAGAAATAATTGGGGCAGCCAAGATGGCCAAATAGGAACAGCTCTGGTCTACAGCTCCCAGCATGAGCGACACAGAAGACGGGTGATTTCTGCATTTCCATCTGAGGTACCGGGTTCATCTCACTAGGGAGTGCCAGACAGTGGGCACAGGACAGTGGGTGCAGTGCACCATGCACGAGCCAAAGCAGGGCGAGGCATTGCCTCATTCGGGAAGCACAAGGGGTCAGGGAGTTCCCCTTCCTAGTCAAAGAAAGGGGTGACAGATGGCACCTGGAAAATCGGGTCACTCCCACCCTAATACTGTGCTTTTCCAACAGGCTTAAAAAATGGCGCACCAGGAGATTATATCCTGCACATGGCTTGGAGGGTCCTACGCCCATGGAGTCTCGCTGATTGCTAGCACAGCAGTCTGAGATCAAACTGCAAGGCAGCAGCGAGGCTGGGGGAGGGGCGCCTGCCATTGCCCATGCTTGCTTAGGTAAATAAAGCAGCTGGGAAGCTCGAACTGGGTGGAGCCCACCACAGCTCAAGGAGGCCTGCCTGCCTCTGTAGGCTCCACCTCTGGGGGCAGGCCACAGATGAACAAAAAGACAGCAGTAACCTCTGCAGACTTAAATGTCCCTGTCTGACAGCTTTGAAGAGAGCAGTGGTTCTCCCAGCACGCAGCTGGAGATCTGAGAATGGGCAGACTGCCTCCTCAAGTGGGTCCGTGACCCCTGACCCCTGAGCAGCCTAACTGGGAGGCACCCCCTCAGTAGGCGCAGACTGACACCTCACATGGCCGGGTACTTCTCTGAGACAAAACTTCCAGAGGAACAATCAGACAGCAGCATTCGCAGTTCACAAAAATCTGCTGTTCTGCAGCCACTGCTGCTGTTACCCAGGCAAACAGGGTCTGGATTGGACCTCTAGCAAACTCCAACAGACCTGCAGCTGAGGATCCTGTCTGTTAGAAGGAAAACTAACAAATAGAAAGGACATCCACAGCAAAAACCCATCTGTACATCACCATCATCAAAGACCAAAAGTAGATAAAACCACAAAGATGGGGAAAAAACAGAGCAGAAAAACTGGAAACTCTAAAAAGCAGAGCGCCTCTCCTCCTCCAAAGGAACGTAGTTCCTCACCAGCAATGGAACAAAGCTGGACAGAGAATGACTTTGACGAGTTGAGGGAAGGCTTCAATCAAACTACTCCGAGCTACAGGAGGAAATTCAAACCAAAGGCAAAGAAGTTAAAAACTTTGCAAAAAATTTAGATGAATGTAGAACTAGAATAACTAATACAGAGAAGTGCTTAAAGGAGCTGATGGAGCTGAAAGCCAAGGCTCGAGAACTACGTGAAGAATGCAGAAGCCTCAGGAGCCGATGTGATCAACTTGAAATGAATGAAATGAAGTGAGAAGGGAAGTTTAGAGAAAAAAGAATAAAAAGAAACAAACAAAGCCTCCAAGAAATATGGGACTATGTGAAAAGACCAAATCTACGTCTGATTGGTGTACCTGAAAGTGACGGGGAGAAAGAATGGAACTAAGCTGGAAAACACTCTGCAGGATATTATCCAGGAGAACTTCCCCAATCTAGCAAGGCAGGTCAACATTCAGATTCAGGAAATACAGAGAATGCCACAAAGATAGTCCTCGAGAAGAGCAACTCCAAGACACATAATTGTCAGATTCACCAAAGTTGAAATGAAGGAAAAAATGTCAAGGGCAGCCAGAGAGAAAGGTCAGGTTACCCACAAAGGGAAGCCCATCAGACTAACAGCTGATCTCTCAGCAGAAACTCCACAAGCCAGAAGAGAGTGGGGGCCAATATTCAACATTCTTAAAGAAAAGAATTTTCAACTCAGAATTTCATATCCAGCCAAACTAAGCTTCATAAGTGAAGGAGAAATAAAATCCGTTACAGACAGACAAATGCTGAGAGATTTTGTCACCACCAGGCCTGCCCTAAAAGAGCTCCTGAAGGAAGCACTAAACATGGAAAGGAACAACCAGTACCAGCCACTGCAAAATCACGCCAAATTGTAAAGACCATCGAGGCTAGGAAGAAACTGCATCAACTAACAAGCAAAATAACCAGCTAACATCATAATGACAGGATCAAATTCAAACATAACAATATTAACTTTAAATGTAAATGGACTAAATGCTCCAATTAAAAGACACAGACTGGCAAATTGGATAAAGAGTCAAGACCCATCAGTGTGCTGTATTCAGGAAACCCATCTCATGTGCAGAGACACACATAGGTTCAAAATAAAAGGATGGAGGAAGATCTACCAAGCAAATGGAAAACAAAAAAAGGCAGGGGTTGCAATCCTAGTCTCTGATAAAACAGACTTTAAACCAACAAAGATCAAAAGAGACAAAGAAGGCCATTACATAATGGTAAAGGGATCAATTCAACAAGAAGAGCTAACTAACTATCCTAAATATATATGCACCCAATACAGGAGCACCCAGATTCATAAAGCAAGTCCTGAGTGACCTACAAAGAGACTTAGACTCCCGCACAATAATAGTGGGAGACTTTAACACCCTACTGTCAACATTAGACAGATCAATGAGACAGAAAGTTAACAAGGATATCCAGGAATTGAACTCAGCTCTGCACCAAGCAGACCTAATAGACATCTACAGGTCTCTCCACTCCAAATCAAGAATATACATTCTTCTCAGCACCACATCACACTTATTCCAAAACTGACCACATAGTTGGAAGTAAAGCACTCCTCAGCAAATGTAAAAGAACAGAAATTATAGCAAACTGTCTCTCAGAGCACAGTGCAATCAAACTAGAACTCAGGATTAAGAATCTCACTCAAAACCACTCAACTACATGGAAACTGAACAACCTGCTCCTGAATGACTACTGGGTACATAACGAAATGAAGGCAGAAATAAAGATGTTCTTTGAAACCAATGAGAACAAAGACACAACATACCAGAATCTCTGGGACACATTTAAAGCAGTGTGTAGAGGGAAATTTATAGCACTAAATGCCCACAAGAGAAAGCAGGAAAGATCTAAAATTGACACCCTAACATCACAATTAAAAGAACTAGAGAAGCAAGAGCAAACACATTCAAAAGCTAGCAGAAGGCAAGAAATAACTAAGATCAGAGCAGAACTGAAGGAAAGAGAGACACAAAAAACCCTTCAAAAAATCAATGAATCCAGGAGCTGGTTTTTTGAAAAGATCAACAAAATTGAGAGACTGCTAGCAAGATTAATAAAGAAAAAAAGAGAGAAGAATCAAATAGATGCAATAAAAAATGATAAAGGGGATATCACCACCGATCCCACAGAAATACAAACTACCATCAGAAAATACTACAAACACCTCTATGCAAATACACTAGAAAATCTAGAAGAAATGGATAAATTCCTCGACACATACACCCTCCCAATACTAAACCAGGAAGAAGTTGAATCTCTGAATAGACCAATAACAGGCTCTGAAATTGTGGCAATAATCAATAGCTTACCAACCAAAAAGAGTCCAGGACCAGATGGATTCACAGCCGAATTCTACCAGAGGTACAAGAAGGAAGTGGTACCATTCCTTCTGAAACTATTCCAATCAATAGAAAAAGAGGGAATCCTCCCTAACTCATTTTATGAGGCCAGCATCATCCTGATACCAAAGCCGGGCAGAGACACAACCAAAAAAGAGAATTTTAGACCAATATCCTTGATGAACATTGATGCAAAAATCCTCAATAAAATACTGGCAAACCAAACCCAGCAGCACATCAAAAAACTTATCCACCATGATCAAGTTGGCCTCATCCCTGGGATGCAAGGCTGGTTCAATATACTCATATCAATAAATGTAATCCAGCATATAAACAGAACCAAAGACAAAAACCACGTGATTATCCCAATAGATGCAGAAAAGGCCTTTGACGAAATTCAACAATGCTTCATGCTAAAAACTCTCAATAAATTAGGTATTGATGGGACGTATTTCAAAATAATAAGAGCTATCTACGACAAACCCACAGCCAATATCATACTGAATGGGCAAAAACTGGAAGCATTCCCTTTGAAAACTGGCACAAGACAGGGATGCCCTCTCTCACCACTCCTATTCAACATAGTGTTGGAAGTTCTGGCCAGGGAAATTAGGCAGGAGAAGGAAATAAAGGGTATTCAATTAGGAAAAGAGGAAGTCAAATTGTCCCTGTTTGCAGATGACATGATTGTATATCTAGAAAACCCCATTGTCTCAGCCCAAAATCTCCTTAAGCTGATAAGCAACTTCAGCAAAGTCTCAGGATACAAAATCAATGTGCGAAAATCACAAGCATTCCTATACACCAATAACAGACAAACAGAGAGCCAAATCGTGAATGAACTCCCACTCACAATTGCTTCAAAGAGAATAAAATACCTAGGAATCCAACTTACAAGGGACGTGAAGGACCTCTTCAAAGAGAACTACAAACCACTGCTCAATGAAATAAAAGAGGATACAAAGAAGTGGAAGAACATTCCATGCTCATGGGTAGGAAGAATCAATATTGTGAAAATGGCCATACTGCCCAAGGTAATTTATAGATTCAATGCCATCCCCATCAAGCTACCAATGACTTTCTTCACAGAATTGGAAAAAAACTACTTTCAAGTTCATATGGAGCCAAAAAAGAGCCCGCATTGCCAAGTCAATCCTAAGCCAAAAGAACAAAGCTGGAGGCACCACACTACCTGACCTCAAACTATACTACAAGGCTACAGTAACCAAAACAGCATGGTACTGGTACCAAAACAGAGATATAGATCAATGGAACAGAACAAAGCCCTCAGAAATAATGCTGCATATCTACAACTATCTGATCTTTGACAAACCTGACAAAAACTAGCAATGGGGAAAGGATTCCCTTTTTAATAAATGGTGCTGGGAAAACTGGCTAGCCATATGTAGAAAGCTGAAACTGGATCCCTTCCTTACACCTTATACAAAAATTAATTCAAGATGGATTAAAGACTTAAACGTTAGACCTAAAACCATAAAAACCCTAGAAGAAAACCTAGGCATTACCATTCAGGACATAGTCATGCACAAGGACTTCATGTCTAAAACACCAAAAGCAATGGCAACAAAAGCCAAAATTGACAAATGGGATCTAATTAAACTAAAGAGCTTCTGCACAGCAAAAGAAACTACCATCAGAGTGAACAGGCAACCTACAAAATGGGAGAAAATTTTTGCAACCTACTCATCTGACAAAGGGCTAATATTCAGAATCTACAATGAACTCAAACAAATTTACAAGAAAAAAATAAACAACCCCATCAAAAAGTGGGCAAAGGACATGAACAGATACTTCTCAAAAGAAGACATTTACGCAGCCAAAAAACATGAAAAAATGCTCACCATGACTGGCTATCAGAGAAATGCAAATCAAAACCACAATGAGATACCATCTCACACCAGTTAGAATGGCAATCATTAAAAAGTCAGGAAACAACAGATGCTGGAGAGGATGTGGAGAAATAGGAACACTTTTACACTGTTGGTGGGACTGTAAACTAGTTCAACCATTGTGGAAGTCAGTGTGGGGATTCCTCAGGGATATAGAACTAGAAATACCATTTGACCCAGCCATCCTGGGTATATACCCAAAAGACTATAAATCATGCTGCTATAAAGACACATGCACACATATGTTGTTGCGGCACTACTCACAATAGCAAAGACTTGGAACCAACCCAAATGTCCAACAATGATAGACTGGATTAAGAAAATGTGGCACATATACACCATGGAATACTATGCAGCCATAAAAAATGATGAGTTCATGTCTTTTGTAGGGACATGGATGAAATTGGAAATCATCATTCTCAGTAAACTATTGCAAGGACAAAAAACCAAATACCACATGTTCTCACTCATAGGTGGGAATTGAACAATGAGAACACATGGACACAGGAAGGGGAACATCACACTCTGGGGACTGTTGTGGGGTGGGGGGAGCAGGGAGGGATAGCATTAGGAGATATACCTAATGCTAAATGACGAGTTAATGGGTGCAGCACACCAGCATGGCACATGTATACATATGAAATTAACCTGTACATTGTGTACATGTACCCTAAAACTTAAAGTATAATAACAATAAAAAAAAAATTAAAAATACCCACTAGTCTGGCCCAACACCCTCAATAGCAAGTAAGAAACGGGTCAGGAAAGGAGAGAGGAGTTACTCAAAGTAAATGATGGAACAGTGGTCAGAATGCAGGCTTCTGACCCCAGCATACAGCTCTTTCTCTGATGCCTCCAGAGGGGAGGTAGAGGTCAGTAAGAAGCTGAAGTCACCTCCCTTTGGCTGCCCGATCTCCTTACCTCAGAGTTCTGGCCACTCTTGTATAGCTCAGGCAATGCCAGGAGTGTTTCTGCAGAGATGTCTTTGTCAAGGACTCCAAAGACAAGAGGAGGCAAGGAGGTAAAGAAGAGATTGAAGAATATCATCTGCCAGTAATCAATCATGGTGGAGCTGGAGAAACCACAGAAGAACTGATACCAGAAGAGCAGGTTGACGTAGCACTGCAGGCAGAGAGCATGGCCTTGTGAGTGGGGCTCCATGTGCAGCCGGTCACCAGCTCCTGCTTGGGACCTCTGGGAGCTGCTGGAGTGGCAGTTGCCTCATTTATAACACACAGGGTTATGTAAGGATGAGAGAGAATTCTAATCCTCGGAGCAGTAGCTACCACTGTTACTACTACTACTATTGCTACTAACATTCTTCAGGACCTGAAGGGAATTCCACTAACTTGTTTAAAGGGGAGTGGACAGTAAGTCTTCACTTAACATTGCCAATAGGTTCTTAGAAACTGCAACTTAAAGCAAAATGATGTATGGCAAGCCCCGGAATAACATTGCTTAATTCAACATCACATTTTCTAGGAACCTATTGAGGACATTAATTGAGGACTTGGTGTACTATGATGGTTAAAAGTACAGATTTTGGAGGCAGAGAGGCCTGGTTTTGAATCCCCAATTCTGTCACTTACTAGCTGTGTGACCTTGGACAAACTACTTAATCTTTCTGAATAGCATTTTATCATCTGTCAGCTGGGAATAGTAGTACTTAGACCAATGGCATGCGAAATATGAATGGCAGTGGAGTGGTAATAGAAAGGGATGTCACTGACAAAGGGGTAATAGAAAGACTGAACCATGAGCAGGACACCTGGTAGGACGGTGACCTCGTGAGAAGGTTGACTTCACTGTACTTTCCTAATGGTCATGCAGCTCAGAAGGGTGAATGACAAAATCTGCCTAAATGTTGTTCATTTTTTTCTAAAGCTCTTTCTCACTCAAGATCTCCTCTCTTGTGGGTGGGCTGGGTCACTGTTATTGTCTACCATATTGCGATATGGTTTGGTGATTTGACCAAGGTCATACATATAAGCAGCTGGTCCTGGAGTTAGAACTAGAACTTCTCAGTTATGTGGGGCTGAGGCACAGAGATGTGAAGGGTCTTGCAAGAAATCATTCAGCAGGTTTGTGTTCAAGCTGTAACTCCTATTTCTGAACTGCTGGGTCAATGTTATTTTGGAGGGGCTCTCTATTTTAACATATTGCCACTAGTAGTAACATCATTTGTAAAATTTGACCTTCTATATGTGCCAGGAGTGAGATATACATCAGTATATCAGCATATAGTACATCATTGGATGTGCAATACACACTATAGATTGTCCTAACAACCTTGCAAGGTTAATATTGCTATAGTAGTACTACGTTATTGTACTGATATATCACATGTTGATATTAACAATAATATTAACATTATTAGGCCCACTCTACAGATGAAGAATCCAAGGTTCTGACATACTGTTGCCCCCTGCCCAAATTCAGAGCTAGAGAGTGGTACAATCAGCATCTGAATTTTCAAAGTTCTTTCTCTTTTTAACTACCTCTAAACTTTCTCAGTCCTATCTTTGGCTTATACGATTAGACTTTTCTAGACACATACAGCCTGCAAAGCTGAAATATTTATTATCTAGCTCTTTGAAGAAAAAGCTTCCTGAGACCTGATGTAGACAGCCTCACGCAGGCCATGATTGGCTTGATTCCTGCTCTATACCCATTGCTCAGCCCTGTTCCCGACATACAGCAGACATTCAATTGTTATTTGAATCAATGTAGTTAATCTTAGCTCTATGCTAACACCCATCCTGGAGTTTCAGCGTTACAGAGTGCTTCTTGCCTCCTGAGGCCCTGGTAAGATCTTGCTTGTTTTTCACTTCTGCCTAACTGGAATCTTTGTACCTTGCAGGGAGTGCATTGAACCCCATGGCAGCATTGCTGATATTGGATGCCTGCTCTTTCTCTCAAGAAGCTACAGTGCGGTAATTAATTCATTGTTCAAATTTCAGAGCAGGCCAGGTTTTAATCCCCTCTGAAATTGGTTTCATATGTGGAAGTCATAGTTCTCCACCTTCTAATTGCAACAGGGAGATAATGCGGCATTAGTATCGCAATTTTGAGCATGGCATTGGGCTGGAAATAAATATCATTTAAGCTTTGAAAGCGTGGCTGCTTGGAAACGTTTTCTTTCCTATTTCACAAATTTAATGCAGAGAAGAGGCTGTGCTTATTCAAAAGAATTATTCCTTGAGCTGCCAAAAAAATTAAACAGGAGCATTTTGGATTCTAAATAAACAGTCTTTCACTCTCAAAGTGAGTTTCAAGTCAGATGGAGTGACTTGTTTGCGTAGACTTGCTGAGATAATATTACCATCAAGTTGATTGAATTTACATTACTTTTTGTCATGCTGTTTATCTACATATACATTGAACTTTGCACAGAAAGTCATTCCTGAGCAAAGGTGACTGTGTCAGAGTCTGAAAGAAAGACTGGAGCAAGAGGAAAAATTGCAATTTTGTAGCTACTACCTGGCTAATGTTTCTCTTCCATCACCTTGGTCTTAATCCTCCCCTTTTACTTATGCAAAGAGGAGTCAAATTGTTTGGAAATCTTGGGGTTTATTAAAAGCCTTTGAACTAGATAATGAAAAACTCTTTTGTTCCCTCCATTAGCCTAGCACGGTTCTGACTTCTTCCTATTCCCATTGTTAATAAAGGGCTTTTCAAAGAAGAGTCTTCTGACCGTTTTAATACCTCAGTTGGTATGTGTTTGCTTTAGGCCCTCATCAACAAGACAAACCAACATAGTTTTAGAATACACAACTTATTGTTTGTATTTTTATAGGGCTATATGTTTTTCAGAGCTCTGACACTAAGGCCTCTTGACACAGAATTATAGTTTCCCCATATTATTGATGAAAAGATTAATTAATCTCTGTGAGCTTCAGTTTCTTCAAGGTCATACAGCATGCTGGAGTCAGGTAAGACTACCCAGACAAACTCTGCACCTCAAACATCTTTGCCAAGTAGATATTTTATTTAGTATCCTGCCCTCCAGCAAATCCCTGAAAGAAAGCCCAGGGGCACTGAAGTGATATGCAAGTCCCAAGTTGAAGCCATGGGCTCCAGGCTTATATTCTGTGACGTACTTTTCACCCTCACTCTCCCAAGGCATGGGGTATAGCTCTTGCACTGAGCTGGCTCTATATACAGAGGAAATCTGATACAGTTCAGACTAGCTCTTCAAATCCTTCTTTGTTACAATAAGAAAATCTCATTTATGAGACTTAACTCCAAGAGTAATGACAGCAACAATAATAAAAAAAAGGCTAACTTTATAAACGATTACGATACGCTAATCACTTTATATACAAATTCTCATTTAGTCCTCATAGCAAATATGAGAAAGGTACTATTACCACCCATTTTACAGATGGTAAAACTGAGATTTGGGGACATTATCACATATGGGAATCTGGATTTAAACCCAACGTGTCTGACTCCAGAGTCTACACTTGCAGCTATTCATGCTGCCCTCTGTGTGCCAGGTGCTTTTCATACAGCATTGCCAATTCTCACAATAACTTCACAAAAATAGAAAGTGAAGAGTCTAGCTCAAGGTCACAGAGCTATTAAGGAACAGTTTCAAGATCTAACACTATGCCAGCCTGACTCCTTCCTTTATGCTGAGGTGCTTTGCCCACTGCTAGGGAGAGATCTGGCCCCGTGGCAAGGCCTGCCAAAGCCCTGGGTGAGAGGACGCCATAGGCTACTTACCACGTTCTTGTAGAGGTAGTACACCACCATCCTGGCCAGGCGCGAGTAACACCAGTGGCCATGCACGAGCAGCAACTTCTTGAGATGCTTAAAGCGGGTGATGGCAAAGTCGCTGGACATGACAGCCTGAGAGGTGAGAACAGACACATCAGCTTCCATCCATGGCTGCCAGTGCCCCAGAGGGACTCTCTCAAGGGCGTTGCTTTGGTCTAGGCCTACGGCCAGCAGAGTCCTAAAGACCCCTTGTTGTGGTCACTCTTGGGTAGCTTTTTGGATTCTGACACCCCACCCTCCCTTCTGGGAAATCCAAACCTCTCTAGAATCCAAGGAGGGCAGATCAGAAGGGATCAGTGGTCTAGGCTGGCTCTTCATCCGTTTATCCAGCAAGCATTGACTGTGGCCCAGTAAGTGTCAGGCACCGTGCTAGGGATGTGATGGTTAACCAGAGAGAAGGGGCTTCCATTCAAGCAATTTACAATCCTCTGAACACCTTTCACCACCCCCTGAGTCAGGCCATTGGCTCCATTCACAGATGGAGCTAAGTGACAGCTCTTCCTTTACCTGGAGCTGAAATATGTCTTCTGCCCCTGGGATTACTCAGAACAAGGCACAGTTTATAGTACTCTTTTAAAAACATGAACACTGAACATGCCTGTTTATAAGTCCTGGTATAAACTTTGGTCTAATTCCCTGTGCCTCAGTTTCCCCATCTAAAAAATGGAATAGCAATCCCTTACAGGGTGTGATGATTATTAAAATTCAATGAGATCCTAAATGTGAAGTGTCTAACACAAGCTTGTCCAACCTGCAGGTCGCATGTGGCCCAGGATGGCTTTGAATGTGGCCCAAAATTATGAGACTTTTTTTGCAATTTTTTTAAAGCTCATCAGCTATAGTTAGTGTGTTCTATGTGTAGCCCAATACAATTCTTCTTCCATTGTGGCCCAGGGAAGCCAGAAGATTGGATACCCCTGGTCTAACAGATTGCTGGCATATAGGAGATACGCAAAAGTTAACATTTCAGAACTATTCTGCAGCTTCCCAGTCAATGCTCTCTATCCTCATCAACAAATTTAAGCAGTGCCAAATGTTTACACTGGTGGTGGAAATACAATTGTTAATGGCTCAAAACCCACAAAATGTCTGTTTAAATGGGAAAATTTAGCAGTCAAGTTAGTTTGCTTCTTCCAAGCTGAATTTTGACACTACGAAAGTGTACATTTGCAAAATGATTTCAAATGTCCTTATGTCTGTCATTGCTTATGGAGGGCATTGCAACTTTGGATGTGGGTGGAAGTTCTCAGGGAGAAGTTTCTCCAACACTCTGGATATTTCCTTGTATCTCAACTAAGGACCAAAGAAAGAAGAATAGTTGCAGAGAACAATACCTGCATGCCTTCCTGTCCAGATATTCCAATTCCAATATCAGCAGCTTGAATCATGCTTACATCATTTGCTCCATCACCTGAAAGAGAGGTCATAACGTGTCTTTATTTTTGGTCCAACTGCTCAGTGACAATGAGGTAGCTCTAAAGTGTCCCCAGTTACATACAATTGAATCCTTTTAACATTACTCTAGTGCTATAGAAAGTCATTGCTATAGTGCTTAGCTTGAGAGATGTCATTTCTTCTTTGGAAAATAAGTCCTACCATTTTCTTTACCATTCAGCAAATATAGGACTTACCAAGTGTCTTTTTTTCTAGGCACAGTGTTAGGTATTGGGGATATAATGGTAATCAAGAGACTTGGGCAGTTTTCAAAAAAATGCCTTCACAAATGTTACAATGAACTTTACTGATGAGCAAATGGAGAATTTGAGCAACTTAGAGACTTGGCAAGGGTAATTCCACTAGAGAAAGGACCCAGGAGAAATGGAACTCATATCTTTCAGATTCCAGGGCCAACACACTTCCCTCGGTCAAACTTGAAATACCATATCAAGACAACTGGACAGTTTGGAGAGTGAAATCATCAGAAATTGTCAATGGTTTCCAAGGAGAGGGATGATATTGTTTTGTTTCTCAGTGTAGAGAAATGAGATTGATTCATGTTTTTGAAATATATTTAGTCACACTGAGTTTCCATTCAATGAACTGAGTTGTTTCAGGAAACTGGAGGTAAGGCATAGACACACACACACACATAAACACACACACACGGTCTCCTTCTATACCAAGACTGTTCAAGATCTTTCCATGATGAGGGAAACGTTCTATATCTGCACTGTCCAATATAGAAACCAGGAGCCACATGTGTCTATGGAAATTTTGCTGGTGAAATTCGATTTAAATTTAAGTAGCCACAGATAGCTCTATACAGTGAGGCCTTCCCCAGAAGCCAAACTCTCCCCAGTGCTTTTTCTGTAAAGGGTCAGGTGGTAAATATTTTAGGCTTTGTGAGCCAAGAAGCAAAATTGAACAGTTATTCTTGCTGAAAGACTATTAATCCTTTATAAATTTTACATTGAAAAATAGAAAAATAATTCTTAGTATCCATACAAAAACATGCCATGGGTTGGATTCAGCCTGCAGGCCATAGTTTGCCAACCCTTGTTCTTGTAGACTATGCTGCCTTCATTCTTTTCCTGGCCCTACATGTTTTCTAGCAGTTTCTCAGAATAAGCCACAATTAAATTTATATTATTATGATATAGAATATAAAATGGGAGGGAGAGAATGATTCTTCTAGTTATCTGATGACACATTTATTGGTCTTAAAAGTTTTGCCATAAGTAGCCTTTATTCTAAAATATTTCTTGATTGCATAGCAATGCATAATTTTCATCTTCCCCATGCAAAACAAATCCAACCTTTAATCTCTTCTGTTAGTGAGCCAGGAGAAGTAGAGGTGTGAAACCATGCTATTTCTCGCCACACTGGTTTTGTTTCTGTTGCTATGGGAGTGAAGCCAATATCTGACCTCAGAGAAAATCATTCTTGGGCTATTGCCTTGTGTGTGTCTGAATTTCTGAAGAGGACAATTCCAGGCATAAAAGTAGGATGTCGTTGCTAAATTTGTTCTCTGCTTTCTTTCTGCCCCACTCTTGTTATTCTCTACTGTTCTTACCTGAAAACCAGGAACAAAACCATCACGTTTAATAGGGTTTCTATTTGAAATGTTAGGAAAGAAAATCTTATCCCATGCCTGTGTAGGAGGAGGAGAGGCTGGCACCATCTGTAAGAACATCCCTAAGAGAAGGCAATATTTACTACATGCTTGGTATGTGCTGGGCAGGGGATCCAAAAGTGAATAAGGCTGACATCTTTCTACTCGAGGAACTCATGGTCTACTGAGGAGGCCATCACAGAAGGTATGACAGTGCTTTGAGCTATGCGTACTGGGTGCTGTGGGAGCCCCCAGGGGAAAGCAAAGTTAGGTAGGATTGGAAGAAGTGTTTTACAGAGGAAATAACTTGTGCAAAGGCCCAGAAGTGAGAGAGGACAAGGCCCATGGAGAATGGTAAACAGTTTCATTTGTTGGAACATGGAAAGGCAACTGTTGGAGAAAGAAAGGTGGCCACAATAAGAGATATGGCTGAGGGTAACAGAAGATCACGAAGATTCTTTTAAACCAGGTTTGGTTGTTCCTGAAAGGTGTTAAGTAAGTGCAGTTTTCATTTCTCTGTCCCAACATGATTAAAGTTTAGCCCCCTCTGAAAAATTCTTTATCAACCAATGCTAGCATCTATTGGTGATATGCTTTGTGCTGGCCTCCTATTTAGAAATAAACACACAAATTAAACATGAGACAGTACCAATCTTTAAAATCTCCCCACCAGCCATCAACACTCAGAATATCAAATCCCTAAACACCTGAAGTTGTGGCATGCATAAAGTACTAAAGGGAAAATGATCTGTATCCCAGAATTAAGATGATCTGAATATAATTACTGGCAACATTTCTTGAGCTATCTGGATTCACTGAATTCAAGGCCCCTGTTGGTTTTGACCTCCATCTAAACCCTGATTTATCTTTAGCTGACTTGCTAGTCCCAAGAACTTTGATGCACTGTCCCACTTCATCCCCTAGTTGCTGCATCTTGATTGTCATTTTGAACTCTCTCCCTCTAAGACAATGACTCACAGCCTAAGCATTCTGACTTTGAGACCTGACCTCCCACCTCTGGTCCAGCCTTTCATCAGATCATCCCTGCCAAAGTGCCACCCGCATCTCAGTATGATGGGTACCTATGGAAAGGGTCATGACGCGCAACTTGTCTCGCACCAGCTTGACTATCATACTCTTCTGGAGTGGCGTGGAGCGGCAGCACAGGACGGACCGACAATACTGGGTCAATTCCAGAAACTTCTTCTCTAGCTTTCCCTGGAAGATGGCATTCAATGTCTTCCCATCGATGACCAATCCAGCTTCTGGAACCACAGCTTCTGAGGTGATGGATGGTGTCTTGGAAGGTAAGCGGAATCCAAAGAGCTTGCGGTCTGGCTTCTGTAGTTCACGAAATTGCTTTAGCTCTTCCAATGCACAATTGAGGATGGATTCACAGGTCTCCTATAAAGAAGCATAATAATACAGTATTTGTAAGCAACCTTGGAAATGCATGTTAACAATTTCAGTTTATTCTTTAGTAAGATAGTCATAAAACTCTACTACCATAGAGATTATTTACAAGCTATTCTCCAATTTTTATATTTCTCTGCAATATTTGACATAATATCAAAGGAATATTAATTTGGAACCAAATTAACAGCCAAAATAGAAGACACTGCTTGTGAATGGGAGTGAAAGTAGCTCAGCAAGATGGAGATAGACACAAGGATGGCATAAGATAATAAATAATACTAATATAATGGTAGATAATGACAATACGTCATGCTGGTATGGTGCTTTCTATTTCTCACAGGTCATTTAAGTTCCCCTTTGTTCCTCAGAACATTCCTGCGTGGTAGATAGGGTGTGTATTCCTGATCTTAGAGATGAGGAGACTGAAATGAGATCTTTAATAACTCACCCAAGATCATCCAAACTTAGTAGTGGAGTCAGGATCATTACTACTTGAACTGTGGCTTCCTAACTGAAAAAAATACATTGTACCTGTGTTTATCAATTGTTGTATTCCATGAAGGGTGCTAAGAACTGTGGCATGAAGCATTGATCACATTGGTTTGAACGGACTACGGTTATAAAAGTCTTATTGATGGAAATAAACTTATTAATTTTTTTCTGGTGTTTGCCTTGAAATATAGTGAGAAAGTATTTCCTTTTTCAATTTTTTCTTCCATTACTTTTGATTATATCAAAAGTAGTCATATTTTGATTCAAATTTATTCTTGATATCAACTTCTCTGAACATCACTTTTTAATAAAATCATGGCAGAAAACAGCATTATCAATTCATTTATTTTTATTATACTTTAAGTTCTAGGGTACATGTGCACAACGTGCAGGTTTGTTACATATGTATACGTGTGCCATGTTGGTTGGCTACACCCATTAACTCGTCATTTACATTAGGTATTTCTCCTAATGCTATCCCTCCTCCATCCCCCCACCCCACGACAGGCCCCGGTGTCTGATGTTCCCCCACCCTGTGTCCAAGTGTTTTCATTGTTCACTTCCCACCTATGAGTGAGAACATGTGATGTTTGGTTTTCTGTCCTTGTGATAGTTTGCTGAGAATGATGGTTTCCAGCTTCATCCATGTCGCTACAAAGGATGTGAACTCATCTGTTTTTATGGCTGCATAGTATTCCATGGTGTATATGTGCCACATTTTCTTAATCCAGTCTATCATTGATGGACATTTGGGTTGGTTCCAGGTCTCTGCTATTGTGAATAGTGCCGCAATAAACATATATATGCATATGTCTTTATAGTCGCATGATTTATAATCCTTTGGGTATATACCCAGTAATGGGATGTCTGGGTCAAATGGTATTTCTAGTTCTAGATCCTTGAGGAATCGCCGCACTGTCTTCCACAATGGTTGAACTAGTTTACACGCCCACCGATAGTGTAAAAGCATTCCAAATTCTCCACATCCTCTCTAGCACCTGTTGTTTCCTGACTTTTTAATGATCTCCATTCTAGCTGGTTTAAGATGGTATCTCATTGTGGTTTTGATTTATATTTCTCTGATGGCCAGTGATGATGAGCATTTTTTCATGTGTTTGTTGGCTGCATAAATGTCTTCTTGTGAGAAGTGTCTGTTCATATCCTTTGCCCACTTTTTGATGGGGTTGTTTGATTTTTTTCCTGTAAATTTCTTTAAGTTCTTTGTAGATTCTGGATATTAGCCCTTTGTCAGATGGGTAGATTGCAAAAATTTTCTCCCATTCTGTAGGTTGCCTGTTCACTCTGATGGTAGTTTCTTTTGCTGTTCAGGAGCTCTTTAATTTAATTAGATCCTATTTGTTAATTTTGGCTTTTGTTGCCATTGCCTTTGGTGTTTTAGTCATGAAGTCTTTGCCCATGCCTTTGTCCTGAATAGCATTGTCTAGGTTTTCTTCTAGGGTTTTTATGGTTTTAGGTCTAACATTTAAGTCTTTAATCCATCTTGAATTAATATTATCAATTTTAGTAGCATTGTTTTCTTCACATAGGTCTTCATTTTACAGTGTTTCTTCATCCATGGCAAGGGAGGATGATTTTACATTTATTGAAGTGCTAAAAGTTTCTTCTAAAAATAATATTCAAAGTGAGTCAAATTATTAAGTAAAAAAAAGTACAAGTCATATACAGATTTTGGAAAAAACTGTGAAAGCAGTTCTGAAGGGCCAGGGTTGGGGAACATTGATCTAGAGATTTAGAGATTTCTGTGTGGGGGAATATGTCTGCCATAACTTATTTTTTTTTTTTTTTGAGGCAGAGTCTCACTCTGTCACCCAGGCTGGAGTGCAGTGGCATAATCTCAGCTCACTGCAACCTCTGCCTCCTGGGTTCAAGTGATTTTCATGCCTCAGCCTCCCAAGTAACTGGGATTACCAGCATGCGCCACCACACCTGGCTAATTTTTATATTTTTAGTAAAGACAGGGTTTCACCATTTTGGCCAGGCTGGTCTTGAACTCCTGACCTCAAGTGATCCACGTGCCTTGGCCTCCAAAGTGCTGGGATTACAGGCGTGAGTCACTGCACCCTGCCCTGGCATAACTTATTTTGGAAAGAATAAAGACATAGTTTATTATTCCTGTGTCTACCTTTTAAGATGCTAAATTGAGTGTTGCAGGCACTAGAATATGCATAGAGCCCAGACGGGCCACAGGAAGCAGTTC